>NC_000016.10:70320075-70623106 GCF_000001405.40 Homo sapiens | reverse complement strand
TGTTACCTATCTCAGCATAATTCTTCATAAAAACACAGGTGCTCCCCCTGCTGCTCGTGTCCGATTAATCCCCCAAACCTCAATCCCTTACAAAACAACTCCTTTTCTTCCTAGGTATGGTTAGTGTGGTCAGAATTCTTATACAAGAGCCAGGACCGCACCCTGTAGCCTTTCTGTCCAAACAATTTGACCTTAATGTTTTAGCCTAGCCCTCATGTCTGCATACAGCGGGTGCCGCTGCATTAATACTTTTAGAGGCCCTAAAAATCGCAAACTATGCTCAACTCACTCTCTACATTTCTCATAACTTCCAAAATCTATTTTCTTCCTCATACCTGAAGCATATACTTTCTGCTCCCCGGCTCCTTCAGCTGTACTCACTCTTTAAGTCCCACAATTACCATTGTTCCTGGCCCGGACTTCAATCTGGCCCCCCACATTATTCCTGATACCACACCTGACCCCCATGACTGTATCTCTCTGATCCACCTGACATTAACCCCATTTCCCCAAATTTCCTTCTTTCCTGTTCCTCACCCTGATCACGCTTGATTTATTGATGGCAGTTCCACCAGGCCTAATCGCCACACACCAGCAAAGGCAGGCTATGCTATAGTACAAGCCACTAGCCCGCCTCTCAGAACCTCTCATTTCCTTTCCATCGTGGAAATCTATCCTCAAGGAAATAACTTCTCGGTGTTCCATCTGCTGTTCTACTACTCCTCAGGGATTATTCAGGCCTCCTCCCTTCCCTACACATCAAGCTCAGGGATTTGCCCCCGCCCAGGACTGGCAAATTAGCTTTATTCAACATGCCCTGAGTCAGATAACTAAAATAACTTTTAGTCTAAATAGACACTTTCACTGAATAAGCAAAGACCTTTCCTACAGGGTCTGAGAAGGCCACCACAGTCATTTTTTCCCTTTTGTCAGACATAATTCCTCAGTTTAGCCTTCCCCCCTCTATACAGTCTGATAACAGACCAGCCTTTATTAGTCAAATCAGCCAAGCAGTTTTTCAGGCTCTTAGTATTCAGTGAAACCTGTCAGGCCTCTGAGCCCAAGCCAAGCCATCACATCCCCTGTGACTTGCACGTATATACGCCCAGATGGCCTGAAGTAACTGAAGAATCACAAAAGAAGTGAATATGCCCTGCCCCCCCTTAACTGATGACATTCCACCACAAAAGAAGTGTAAATGGCCGGTCCTTGCCTTAACTGATGACATTACCTTGTGAAAGTCCTTCTCCTGGCTCATCCTGGCTCAAAAACACCCCCACTGAGCACCTTGCGACCCCCACTCCTGCCCGCCAGAGAACAAACCCTCTTTGACTGTAATTTTCCTTTACCTACCCAAATCCTATAAAACGGCCCCACCCTTATCTCCCTTCACTGACTCTCTTTTCGGACTCAGCCTGCCTGCACCCAGGTGAAATAAACAGCCATGTTGCTCACACAAAGCCTGTTTGATGGTCTCTTCACACGGACGCGCATGAAATTTGGTGCCATGACTCGGATCGGGGGACCTCCCTTGGGAGATCAATCCCCTGTCCTCCTGTTCTTTGCTCCATGAGAAAGATCCACCTACGACCTCAGGTCCTCAGACCGACCAGCCCAAGGAATATCACCAATTTTAAATCAGGTAAGCGGCCCCTTCTTACTCTTCTCCAACCTCTCTCACTGTCCCTCAACCACTTTCTTCTTTCCACTCTTCAATCTCTCCCTTCTCTTAATTTCAATTCCTTTCATTTTCTGGGAGAGACGAAGGAGACATGTTTTATCCGTGGACCCAAAACTCCGGTGCCAGTCACGGACTGGGAAGGCAGCCTTCCCTTGGTGTTTAATCATTGCAGGGACGCCTCTCTGATTATACAGGCACGCTTCAAGGGTGTCAGACCATGCAGGGACGCCTGCCTTGGTCCTTCAACCTTAGCGGCAAGTCCTGCTTTCCTGGGGCAGGGGCAAGTACCCCTCAACCCCTTCTCCTTCACCCTTAGCGACAAGTCCCGCTTTCCTAGGGGGCAAGAACCCCCTAATTGCTTATTTCCACACCCAAACTCTTATCTCTGTGTCTCAATCCCTTATTTCCGTGCCCCAACCCCTTCTCTGCTTTTCTGGAGGGCAAGAACCCTCCACCCCTTCTCCGTGTCTCTACTCTTTTCTCTGGGCTTGCCTCCTTCACTATACGTAAGATTCCACATTCCATTCCTCCTTCTTCTCCCTTAGCCTGTGTTCTCAAAAACTTAAAACCTCTTCAACTCACACCTGACCTAAAACCTAAGTGCCTTTTCTTCTGCAATGCCCCTTGATCCCAATACAAACTCGACAGTAGTTCCAAATAGCCAGAAAATAGCACTTTGAATTTTTCCATCCTGCAAATCTAAATAATTCTTGTTGTAAAATACGCAGAAGGTCTGAGGTGCCTGACGTCCAGGCATTCTTTTACACATCAGTCCCTTCCTAGTCTCTGTGCCCAATGCAACTCGTACCAAATCTTCCTTCTTTCCCTCCCGCCTGTCCCCTCAGTCCCAACCCCAAGTGTCGCTGAGTCTTTCTAATCTTCCTTTTCTACAGACCCATCTGACCTCTCCCCTCCTCGCCAGGCTGAGCTAGGTCCCAATTCTTCCTCAGCCTCCGCTCCTCCACCCTATCTTTTTATCACCTCCCCTCCTCACACCTGGTGGGGCTTACAGTTTCGTTGCGTGACTAGCCCTCCCCCACCTGCCCAGCAATTCACTCTTAAAAAGGTGGCTGGAGCCAAAGGCATAGTCAAGGTGAATGCTCCTTTTTCTTTATCCCAAATCAGATAGCGTTTAGGCTCTTTTTCATCAAGTATAAAAATCCAGCCCAGTTCATGTCTTGTTTGGCTGCAACCTTGAGACGCTTTACAGCCCTAGACCCTAAAAGGTCAAAAGGCCATCTTATTCTCAAAATACATTTTATTACCCAATGTGCTCCCGACATTAAATAAAACTCCAAAAATTAAATTCCAGCCCTGAAACCCCACAACAGGATTTAATTAACCTCGCCTTCAAGGTGTACAATAATAGAAAAAAGTTGCAATTCCTTGCCTCCACTGTGAGACAAACCCCAGCCACATCTCCAGCACACAAGAACTTCCAAACTCCTGAACCGCAGCGGCCAGGCGTTCCTCCAGAACCTCCTCCCACAGGAGCTTGCTACATGTGCTGGAAATCTGGCCACTGGGCCAAGGAATGCCGGCAGCCCGGGATTCCTCCTAAGCCGCGTCCCATCTGTGTGGGACCCCACTGAAAATCGGACTGTTCAACTCACCTGGCAGCCACTCCCAGAGCCCCTGGAACTCTGGCCCAAGGCTCTCTGACTGACTCCTTCCCAGATCTTCTCGGCTTAGCGGCTGAAGACTGACACTGCCCGATCGCCTCGAAAGCCCTGTAGACCATCACAGACGCTGAGCTTCGAGTAACTCTCACAGTGGAAGGTAAGCCCTTTCCCTTCTTAATCAATACGGAGGCTACCCACTCCACATTACCTTCTTTTCAAGGGCCTGTTTCCCTTGCCTCCATAACTGTTGTGGGTATTGACGGCCAGGCTTCTAAACCTCTTAAAACTCCCCAACTCTGGTGCCAACTTAGGCAATACTCTTTTAAGCACTCCTTTTTAGTTATCCCCACCTGCCCAGTTCCCTTATTAGGCCGAGATACTCTAACTAAATTATCTGCTTCCCTGACTATTCCTGGACTACAGCTATATCTCATTGCCACCCTTCTTCCCAATCCAAAGCCTCCTTTGCGTCTCCTCTTGTATTCCCCCACCTTAACCCACAAGATACCTCTACTCCCTCCTTGGCGACCGATCATGCACCCCTTACCATCTCATTAAAACCTAATCACCCTTACCCCACTCAACGCCAATATCCCATCCCGCAGCACGCTTTAAAAAGATTAAAGCCTGTTATCACTCGTCTGCTACAGCATGGCCTTTTAAAGCCTATAAACTCCTTACAATTCCCCCATTTTACCTGTCCTAAAACCAGACAAGCCTTACAAGTTAGTTCAGGATCTATGCCTTATCAACCAAATTGTTTTGCCTATCCACCCCGTGGTGCCAAACCCATATACTCTCCTATCCTCAATACCTGCCTCTATAACCCATTATTCTGTTCTACATCTCAAACATGCTTTCTTTACTATTCCTTTGCACCGTTAATCCCAGCCTCTCTTCACTTTCACTTGGACTGACCCTGACCCCCATCAAGCTCAGCAAATTACCTAGGCTGTACTGCTGCAAAGCTTCACAGACAGCCCCCATTACTTCAATCAAGCCCAAATTTCTTCCTCATCTGTTACCTATCTCTGCATAATTCTCATAAAAACACACGTGATCTCCCTGTCCGACTGATCTCTCAAACCCCAGCACCTTCTACAAAACAATTCCTTTCCTCCCTAGGCATGGTTAGCGTGGTCAGAATTCTTACACAAGAGCCAGGACCACACCCTGTAACCTTTCTGTCCAAACAACTTGACCTTACTGTTTTAGCCTAGCCCTCATGTCTGCGTGCAGCGGCTGCCGCTGCATTAATACTTTTAGAGGCCCTCAAAATCACAAACTATGCTCAACTCACTCTCTACATTTCTCATAACTTCCAAAATCTATTTTCTTCCTCATACCTGACGCATATAATTTCTGCTTCCCGGCTCCTTCAGCTATACTCACTCTTTGTTGAGTCTCCCACAATTACCGTTGTTCCTGGCCCAGACTTCAATCCGGCCTCCCACATTATTCCTGATACCACACCTGACCCCCATGACTGTATCTCTCAGATCCACCTGACATTAACCCCATTTCCCCAAATTTCCTTCTTTCCTGTTCCTCACCCTGATCACGCTTGATTTATTGATGGAGGTTCCACCAGGCCTAATCACCACACACCAGCAAAGGCAGGCTATGCTATAGTACAAGCCACTAGCCCGCCTCCTAGAACCTCTCATTTCCTTTCCATTGTGGAAATCTATCCTCAAGGAAATAACTTCTCAGTGTTCCATCTGCTATTCTACTACTCCTCAGGGATTATTCAGGCCCCCTCCCTTCTCTACACATCAAGCTGGAGGATTTGCCCCACCCAGGACTGGCAAATTAGCTTTACTCAACATGCCCTGAGTCAGATAACTAAAATACCTCTTAGTCTAGGTAGATACTTTCACTGGATAGGTAGAGGCCTTTCCTACAGGGTCTGAGAAGGCCACCGCAGTCATTTCTTCCCTTCTGTCAGACATAATTCCTCAGTTTAGCCTTCCCACCTCTATACAGTCTGATAACAGACGAGCCTTTATTAGTCAAATCAGCCAAGCAGTTTTTCAGGCTCTTAGTATTCAGTGAAACCTTTATATCCCTTACGGTCCTCCGTCTTCAAGAAAAGTAGAATGGACTAAAGGTCTTTTAAAAACACACCTCACCAAGCTCAGCCACCAACTTAAAAAGGACTGGACAATACTTTTACCACTTTCCCTTCTCAGAATTCAGGCCTGTCTTCGGAATGCTACAGGGGGTACAGCCCATTTAAGCTCCTGTATAGACGCTCCTTTTTATTAGGCCCCAGTCTCATTCCAGACACCAGACCAACTTAGACTGTGCCCCAAAAAAACTTGTCATCCCTACTATCTTCTGTCTAGTCATACTCCTATTCTCCGTTCTCAACTACTCATACATGCCCTGCTCTTGTTTACACTGCCGGTTTACACAGTTTCTCCAAGCCATCACAGCTGATATCTCCTCGTGCTATCCCCAAACTGCCACTCTTAACTCTTGAAGTAAATAAATAATCTTTGCTGGCAGGACTATACTGAATCTCCTTAGGCACTCTCTAATCAGATGTCCTAGGTCTTCCCAATTCTTAGACCTTTTATACCGGTTTTTCTCCTTCTCTTATTCCATTTAGTTTTTCAATTCATACAAAATCATATCCAGGCCATCACCAATAATTCTACACAACAAATGTTTCTTCTAACAACCCCACAATATCACCCCTTACCACAAAATCTTCCTTCAGCTTAATCTCTCCCACTCTAGGTTCCCACGCCACCCCTAATCCTGCTTGAAGCAACCCTGAGAAACATCGCCCACTCTCTCTCCATACCACCCCCCAAAAATTTTCGCCGCCCCAGGACTTCAACACTATTTTGATTTTTCTTATTAATATAAGGCGGCAGGAATGTCAGGCCTCTGAGCCCAAGCCAAGCCATCGCATCCCCTGTGACTTGCACGTATACATCCAGATGGCCTGAAGTAACTGAAGATCCACAAAAGAAGTAAAAATAGCCTTAACTGATGACATTCCACCATTGTGATTTGTTCCTGCCCCACCTAACTGATCAATGTACTTTGTAATCTCCCCCACCCTTAAGCAGGTTGTTTGTAATTCTCCCCACCCTTGAGAATGTACTGTGTGAGATCCACCCCTGCCCGCAAAACATTGCTCTTAACTTCACCGCCTATCCCAAAACCTATAAGAACTAATGATAATCCAGCACGCTTTGCTGACTCTCTTTTCGGACTCAGCCCGCCTGCACCCAGGTGAAATAAACAGACATGTTGCTCACAAAAAAATAAATAAATAAAATAAGCAAAACAATATGAGTAAGACGGTCATAGAAAAATACATAGGCCTTAAACACATTATAAATTAAAATTTTTTCATAACAAATTTAAATTAAGACTACATTGAGTCACTGTTTTTCACCTATCAGATTGGTAAAAATCCAATGATATAAATCCAATTTAATGTGTTGGCAATGATGCGGGCAAACTAATTTTTCATCCAAAGCTGATGGAAGTGCAAATTGGTATTAACCTTATGGAGTGGAAATTGGCAATATCTCTCAAATCACAAATGCAGATACTTAGCAATGCCGTTTCTGGGAATTTATCCTGCATATACAGTATGCACCTGCAACAGGCCACGTGTATGAGATTTTTCATCTCATCAGCGTCTGTGATAGCAGATGGTATAACCTGCATGTTCACCACACAGTAGTATAGCATGATAGATTCAGTAAAACAAGCAAGACACTGAATGGTGTGTTTTCTATGTTGGAAGCTGTGTTCAGCAGAGGTGGCAAAGCTTTTATCTATAAATATCTGTGGAAGGAGTTTGAGGGGGGACGGATTTTTTTATTGAGACAGGATCTCAATCTGTCACCCACGCTGGAGTGCAGTGGTGCCATCTCAGCTTGCCACAACCTCCACTGCCTGGGCTCAAGAGATCCTCCCACCTCAGTCTTCCGAGTAGCTGAGACCACGGGTGTGCACCACCACACTCAGCTAATTTTTTGTATTTTTGGTAGAGATGGGATTTCACTGTGTTGCCCAGGCTGGTTTCAAACTCCTAAGCTCAAGTGATTTGCCCCACCTCAGACTCCCAAAGTGCTGAGATTACAGGCACGTGCCACTGCGCCTGGCACTTTCATCTACCTATATCTATATCTATATATTTGTATATGCTTGCATTTGCATAAAGTGAACATATTAGAATAATTCACACTAAAGCGTGAAAGATTGGCAACTCAGACACCTTTCAGAGACAGTGTATCTTTATTTTATTTATTTATTTATTTATTTATTTTGAGACGGAGTCTTGCTCTGTTGCCAGGCTGGAGTGCAGTGGCGCAATCTCGGCTTACTGCAACCTCCACCTCCCAGGTTCAAGCAATTCTCCTGCCTCAACCTCCTGAGTAGCTGGGACTACAGGTGAGCACCACCACGCCCAGCTAATTTTTGTACTTTTAGTAGAGACGGGGTTTCACCATGTTAGCCAGAATGGTTTCGATCTCTTGACCTCTTGATCCACCCACCTCGGCCTCCCAAAGTGCTGGGATTACAGGCGTGAGCCACCACACCTGGCCAGTGTATCTTTAAAAGAAGATGTTTGTTAACCCAAATAAGTCTAGAATTCGATGGACTTTTTGTCAGGGTAGTAAAATAAGTTGCAAAAATGCATACACCGTAAGTCCAGAGATTTGGGGGGTAACAGGGGAGCCATAGATCAGGAGTTTCTGTTTTCCTGAGGATCAGCTCTAATTAGATTAGACCCAATAAAATATAAACAGTTACCCGGTGAGGCCGGTTATGGGACAGGAGCAGGAAGAAAACTCTTTGCTATAGTTCTATTTTACATGATGTTGAAACCGTATGAGTTTATTCTCTAATCAAAATACTAAGCAGTAAAACAGAGGAGTTGCAGTTCATCAGCTCCTGAGCCTTGGGCAAGACCTACAAGATCTACCCCAGCTCCTGTTCCAACAGAGCCTCTGTCATTTATAATCAAGGAACAAATATTTACAAGAAGTTTTATCACCTGTAACAGCTCACTGACACTTGCCAGAAATGCTTTATGTGAATATTGCTATTGCAAGACACTGTGAGACACAAAGAGTGTAGGCAATTCACATAACTTCCCTTAAAACCCAGTTATCTCTTAGGCAGAGCAAAGATAAGGACAAACAACATCATGAAATTGCTGTGAAAGGCAAGTGTGTGCACATTTCTGAAAGCAGCACAAAAACAAAACAGGTTCCGTGTTCAGCAGCTGCACCACAGCTAAACCTCGGCTCCCATCACTGTTGAATCTGAGCTTCCATGCTTCTCAAACCTCAGCGGGCTTAAGAACCACCTGGAGAGGCTGTTAAAAAACACAGGCTCCAGGCCCCTCCCTCAGACATACAATTCAGTAGGTCAGGGGCCCATGAACTTGCATTTCCAGCATGCTTTGTCTCTCGGATGACACTGATGGGGTGGTGCAAGGACCACATTTGAGGAGTCTGCTCCAAAGAAGGGTTCCTCAAACTGTGCCATACAGACACATTACCTGGAATCTTGTTAAAATATAGACTCACTCAGAAAGTCTGGGGTAGGGCCTGGGATACTGCACTTCTTTTTTTTTTTTTTTGAGACAGGGTTTTGCTCCATTGCCCAGGCTGGAGTGCAGGGGCATGATCACAGCTCACAACAGCCTCAGACTCCTGGGTTCAAGCAGTCCTCCCACCTCAGCCTCCTGAGTAGCTGGGGCTACAGGCGTGCACCACCACGCCTGGATAATTTTTTTTTTTAAGAGACAAAGCCTTGTTGTATTGCCCAGGCTGGTCTCAAACTCCTGGCCTCAAGCAATCCTCCTGCCTCAGCCTCCCAGAGCACTGGGATTACAGGGGTGAGCCACCGTGCCTGGCTGGACTCTGCATTTCTTTCTTTTTTTTTTTCCTGAGACAGAGTCTCACTCTGTCACCCAGGCTGGAGTACAGTGGCGCAACCTCAGCTCACTGCAACCTCCACCTCCCAGGATCAAGCAATCCTCCTGCCTCAGCTTCCCAAGTAGCTGGGACTACAGGTGCACGCCACCATGCCTGGCTAATTTTTGTATTTTTAGTAGAGATAGGGTTTCACTGTGCTGGCCAGGCTGGTTTTGAGCTCCTGACCTCTGGTGATCCACCCACCGCAGCCTCCCAAAGTGTTGGGATTACAGGTGTGAGCCACCACTCCTGGCTGGACTCTGCATTTCTGACAAGCTCCCAGGTGCTGCAGATACCACTGGTCTGCAGACCACACTTTGAGTACCAAGGTTCCGGAATAGCCAACTCCAGTTGTTTCACAGATGAGGAAACTGCGCCTTGGAAAAGGTAAGTGACTTGCCAAGGGCACTTGTACAGTAAGGGTGGAGACCAGGTGAGGCCCCATCCAGTGTGGCCGCCATGCCTCAGGAAACCGCCCCGCTCCAACCCCATGTCCCCAGTCTACGCTACAAGCCTGCCTGAGCCAAGAAGGGATGCCAGCCCTTCAGAACATGGCATGGAAATTTACTAAATCATGCACAGTCCTTCACTCTCCGGAGAAATAAACCACTTACCAGGGAGATTAGTTCAAACCACCAGCCTCTGCAAAAATACACTTCTCACAAAATTATTTTTTCAGTTGCGTCACCTTCACTTCCAGTGACACCCCTTCGACCGGCCCTGCTGTGGGAACCTGAAGAAGACGACATGCATTTCTCAACAGATGTGGTCTGAGGCCGGGCACAGTGGCTCAGGCCTGTAATCCCAGCACTTTGGGAGGCCAAGGCAGGCAGATCATTTGAGGTCAGGAGTTCGAGACCAGCCTGGCCAACACAGTGAAGCCCCGCCTCTACTAAACATATAAAAATTAGCTGGGCGTGGTGATCCCAGCTACTTGGGAGGCTGAGGCAGGAGAATCGCTTTAACCGGGGAGGCAGAGGTTGCAGTGAGTTGAGATTGTACCACTGGACTCCACCCTGGGCAATAGAGTGAGACTCTGTCTCAAAACAAACAAAAAACATGTGTTCTAATTGGGAGAAGCAGAAATGGGGGTGGGGAAGCTGATCTTGGGGAAGCTGAGGAATCCCTCCTGAGCCCCAAAGGCTCCAGATTTACACTGTGTGCGTTTTTCCAACTCACTTTATACCTGTCAAAAAGTCCCTTCAATTAGAGATTGATGTGGGTTAACAAGCACTTTCTTTTCAGGATGCATTGCTTCTGGGAGGGTTCTGAGCTGACAATCTTTCACACTTTAGTGTGAATCATTCTAATACAGAGGTAAAGGGAGCAGAATTCAGGAAACTAAAGTCTCTGGAGTAATTACGGCAGAGTGGGCCTTACCTGAGATCCAGAGCTTCATCTGGGAGCACAGCCTTGGATGAACCACAGCTTGGGCCTTGGCCTCTGCACCGTATTCCAGCTTGGGCCTTGGCCTCTGCACCATACTCACCATTCACCAGCAGATCCCCCTAGCCCCCAGCCCCCAGCCCCCAGTGCTTTCAGGCTGTGAGTAGTTTGTGGGCCTGGCTCTGCCAATAACTTGCTATGTGACTTGAGGAAATCACACAGCTTTAGAGACTCTTAAAGCTGGAAGGAAAAGCCCCCAGGGGTCAGCTGGTTCCATGATCCCAGAACCCCGATTTCTAGACTACAGAACACACAGCCCCTATCGGCCTGTTGGAGGCTGGCTCTCCTGGAAGCAGAGCCTGAGACAGGCTTTGGGCTTCACATGATTAATGAAGGGAGGGAACCTCAAGACAGAAGGCTATCTTTTATTTTTACACAGGGTCTCACTGTATTGCCCAGGCTGGAGTGCAGAGGTGCAATCATGGCTCACTGCATCCTTGACCTCCTGGGCTCAGGCAATCCTCCAATCTCAAGCAATCCTCCTGCTCCTCCCGAAGAGCTGGGACCACAGGTGTTTGTCACCACATCCAGCTATTTATTTATTTATTTATTTATTTAAGACAGAGTCTTGCTCTGTCACCCAGGCTGCAGTGCAGTGGTGTGATCTCGGCTCACTGCAACCTCTGCCTCTTGGGTTCCAGCGATTCTCCTGTCTCAGCCTCCGGAGTAGCTGGGATTACAGGTGCCTGCCACCATGCCCAGCTAATTTTTGTATTTTTAGTAGAAACGGGGTTTCACCATGTTGGTCAGGCTGGTAACTTTTTTAAATTTTGTGTAGATATGGGGTCTTACCATGTTGCCCCAGGCTAGTCTCAAACCCCTGAGCTCAAGCGATCCACCTGCCTCAGCCTCCCAAAGAGCTGGGATTACAGGTGTGAGCCACTGCACCCAGCCCGAAGGCTGTTTTTAAATAGCACCACAGTGTTGTTCTATTTGAGGCAAAGAGGTCAGGCTTTTGCACCCCTAATTCAGTCAGTGGCCCCCCTGCAGGTGTAGAATGGTATAAACTCCCAGGTATCTCCAGCAAGGTGGCGGGGAGAAGGACACAAATCTGCCGTACCTGGCAGCCCCTCCCCCTTCACAGCAACTAGGAAGTGGATACAAGAGCGAGTTCAGGCAATCTGGGGGCACCAACCCTTCCTTCCAGTTCCAAGAGCCTCTCACATGTGTTTCAAAATACAAAGCCCCTGAGCACAGGAGTTCGAGACCAGCCTGGGCAACATGGAGAAACCCATCTCTACTAAAAACAGAAAAATTAGACAGGCGTGGTGGTGCGCACCTGTAGTCTCGGCTACTCAGGAGGCTGAGGCGGGAGGACTGCCTGAACCAGGGACATGGAGGTTGCAGTGAGCTGAGATTGTGCCAGGCCACTGTGCTCCGGCCTGGGCCACAGAGCAAGACCCTGTCTCAAACAACAACAAAAAGAAGAAAGAAAGAAGAAGCCCCCAAAATCACAAAGGATGGAAGGGGGGGAAAGAACGCAAGCAGTTTTTTCATTTCCAGAAGAATCTTGGAATCTGCCCTCAGAATCAACCCTAACTGCTCTCCGTGGCTTCCCGGCAGGCTTGAGGGGGCCCCTCCTTCCTCCTCACCCTAGCTTCACCCACTGTCCCGCACCGACGGCTACTCCCTGAGGACTTTGCCTTATCTCTTCCTGGAATATTCCACAAGAGATTTCTCCCCAGCTGGTTTCTTCTTGTCAGCTCAAACATCACCTCCGTAGAGATGCCTTCTCTGGCCACCAGGCCACCCCTGTCACTCCCTCTGCGGCACTTTCCACACAGCACTGGCCACTCGACATTATCCTAACTGCATTCAGTTGTGTGTTGTGTGTCGTTCTCCCCACAGGAATGACCACAGGGTCTGGGGACAGAGCCTGGTTCTGGTGTCATCATTGTGTCCTCAGGGCCTGGCACCTGCTTGACACATAGGAAACTCTATAACTTCTGGCAAATCATAGCTGAGTGAATGAACTGGACACATGGGCCAGATGCCAAAATTCCAGCAGAGAAGGAGAACTGGGTCAACTGAACACTCGGCACTCCCAGACGCTGGAGGAAAACAGGCACAAGACTAGGATGGGGATGAAGGAGAGAATCCACCAAGAGTTTTCTTGGCCCTTTGATTCCTCCCTCCTCTCCCAGATCCCTCTCTCAGCTCCTACCTTGGAAAAACGTTCACTTTTTTTTTTTTTTTTCTGAGATAGAGTCTCGCTCTTTCGCCCAGGCTGGAGTGGAGTGGCGCAATCTTGGCTCACTGCAACCTCCACCTCCCAGGTTCAAGTGATTCTCCTGCCTCAGCCTCCAGAGTGGCTGGGATTACAGGCGCCCGCCACCACACCTGGCTAATTTTTGTATTTTTAGTAGAGACGGTTTCGCCGTGTTGGCCAGGCTGGTCTCAAACTCCAGACCTCAGGTGATCCACCTGCCTTGGCCTCCCAAAGTGCTGGGATTACAGGCATGAGCCACCACGTCCAGCCTGACATTCACATTTTAAATGGTGCAAACCTCTCAAAACATCCAGAGGCATCTGGGTTCCAATTCTAGCTATAGATCTGAGTTTCTCTCTCCCCACTGGCACCTGCAAGAGGCACAGTGACCATGCCAGCCTCATGGGGTTGCTGAAAGCACTGGCCTCATGGGTAATATCACTCACTCAGGAACAGGCCTCTGCAAATTGAAACCAAGGCAGGATAAATCCCTACCCCTCAGAGCAGCCATACACCTCCAGGCTGTAGTCCCAGACAGTCTCTGCCTCAGTGCACCTGTCTCTGGGCACCTGTGAGATCCCCTAATATCCCCCAGCATTTCCCAGGTGCCAGGCGCTGTGCCATGCACTTGGTACGCACTTGCTTGTTGCTTGATCTGCACAGTGACATTAATTTATCCTGGAAGCCCCACACCTCCGGGTGTCATCATCTCCATTTTACAAACAGAAGACTAAGGCTGAGAGATTAAAAGCACTGGTCCCAGGACTTAACAGCTTGCGAGCTGTGGCATAAGATTCAAGAATCCCACTTTCAGGCCAAGCGTGGTGGCTCACACCTGTAATCCCAGCACTTTGGGAAGCAGAAGCGGGCAGATCACCTGAGGTCAGGAGTTCAAGACCATCCTGGCCAACATGGCGAAACCCCGTCTCTACTAAATATGCAAAAATTAGGTGGGCGTGGTGGCACACACCTGAAATCCCAGCTACATGGAAGGCTGAGGCAGGGAGAATTGCTTGAACCGGGGAGGCGGAGGTTGCAGTGAGCTGAGATCGCACCACTGCACTTCAGCCTGGGCGACGGAGCAAGATTCCATCTCAAAAAATAATAATAATAAATAAACATAATTTTTAAAAAATAAATAAAAATAAAAAATAAAAGAATTATGCTTTCCTCTCATGTATTTAAGTGGCTTGTCACCATCAGCTCATATCACATGGAAGGAAGGCATGATTACCCCCATTTTACAGAGAAGGGAAGCACAATTGGAACCAGGTCTGAGTGGCAACACCCGCCCCCACACCCCGCCTTCCTCGCTGCCTGAGCTTTCCCTGGGGCCAGCTCTGCTTCCCAGCTTCCCAGATGCAGAGACTGAGGCGTGAGGCTGAGGTGCAAGTCTGCACACTGAACCCATGATGAGCCCCAGGTGCCTCTCCAGGCAAGAGAGAGAGGCAGCAGAGCCTGCCCCACCTGAACCTGCTGTGGGAAGCAGTCGCCTGCACGGCCTTGGCCTAAGGCTCACCTGGGCTGACTCACCTGTGCTGCTCAGAGTTGGCGGCAGAGGCTATAGTGTCTGGAGGTCAGCCCTCTCCCCACCCTTGATCTGTGCCTCCTCCCTCCCTCTACCAGATGACCAGGCCCAAAACTGGGTTTTACTGGGGAACCAGACCCACCATGTGCTGGGGGCACCTAGATCCCTGTATCCTAATCTCCTAATCCCATATGCAATTTCAGGAACGAAAAATTAGTTTAATATTTGAAAATCAAGGCCGGTCGTGGTGGCTCAAGCCATAATCCCAGCACTTTGGGAGGCCAAGGCGGGTGGATCAGCTGAGGTCAGGAGTTCAAGACCAGCCTTGCCAACATGGTGAAACACTGACCCTACTAAAAATACAAAAATTAGCTGGGCATGGTGGTGCATGCCTGTAATCCCAGCTACAAATGAGGCTAAGGCAGGAGAATGGCTTAAACCCGGGAGTCAGAGGTTGCAGTGAGCCGAGAGCACACCACTGCCCTCCAGCCTGGGCAACAGAGCAAGACTCTATCTCAAAAAAAAAAAAAAAAAAAAGAAAAAAGAAAATCAATCATCATAATTCACCATGTTAACAAACTAAAAAAAGAAAAACCGGCCGGGCAAGGTGGCTCACGCCTGTAATCCCAGCACTTTGGGAAGCCGAGGCCGGCAGATCACCTAAGGTCAGGAGTTCGGGACCAGCCTGGCCAACATGGCAAAACCCCGTCTCTACTAAAAATACAAAAATTAGCCAGGCATGGTGACCCTCGCCTGTAATCCCAACAACTAGGGAGGCTGAGGCAGGAGGAAAATTGCTTGAACCCAGGAGGCAGAGGTTACAGTGAGCCGAGATCACGCCACTGCACTCCAGCCTAGGTAACAGAGCAAGACTCTGTCTCAAAAAATTAAAAATTAAAATTAAAAAAAAAAAGAAAAACCACATGGTCATCTCAGTGATGCAGAAAGCCTGTGACAAAATCCAACATTTATCCCCAATAAAAACACTCAGCCAATTATGCAGAGAAGGGAACTTCCTTAACCTGAAAAGGGGCATCTTCGAAAAATTATGGATACACAGTGAAAGACTTAGGCTTGCTCTCCAAGATCAAGATCAAGACAAGACAGTGATGTCCACTCTAATCCCTTCTATTCAGCTTTGTGCTGGAGATTCCAGCCAGTGCAATCAGGCCAGAAAAAGGGGGAGGGATGCATATTGGAAAGGAAGAAGTAAAACTATCTTTATTCCCAGATGATAGGATCATCTATATAGAAAATCCAGCCGGGTGCAGTGGCTCAATGCCTGTACTCCCAGCACTTTGGGAAGCCGAGGAGGGCGGATCACGAGGTCAGGACATCACGACCATCCTGGCTAACACAGTGAAACCCCGTCTCTACTAAAAAAATACAAAAAAATTAGCTGGGTGTGGTGGTGGGCACCTGTAGTCCCGGCTACTCGGGAGGCTGAGGCAGGAGAATAGCGTGAACCCAGGAGGTAGAGCTTGCAGTGAGCAGAGATCGAGCCACTGCACTCCAGCCTGGGCGACTGAGCGAGACTCTGTCTCAAAAAAAGAAAAGAAAAGAAAACAAAATCCTAAGGAATCCATAAAACTGTAAAGCTAGTAAATGAATTCAGCAAGGTTTCAGGACACCAGATCGACATAACAAAAATCAATTGTGTGTCTACAGACTAGCACCAAAAGCTGGAAACAACCTAAATGTCCATCAGCAGATGAATGGGTAAAAAAATTATAGTATGTCCATACAACAGAATACTACTCAGCAATAAAAAGAACTGTCTGGGCACGATGGCTTACACCTGTAACCCCACCACTTTAGGAGGCTGGGGCAGGAGGATCATCTGAGCCTAGGAGTTCAAAAACAGCCTGGGCAACATAGTGAGACCTTGCCTCTACAAAAAATACAAAAATTAGCCCGGCATGGTGGCACATACTTGTGGTTACAGCTACTCAGGAGGCTGAAGTGGAAGGATCAATTAAGCCCAGGAGGTTAAGGCTGCAGTGAGCCATGACTGAGCCACTGCAATCCAGCCTGGACAACAGAACGAGATCTTGTCTCAAAAAAAAAATCTAGAAAATCCAAACGAATCTAAAATGACAGAAGACAGATCAGTGGTTGTTTGGGGGTGGAGGGTGGTGGTTGGTTGAGGGTGGAGAGTCGGCAGGGAGGAACTGCATGAAGGTTTGAGGGAATTTGGGCAGTGATTAATAGGTTCACTATCTTGATTTATGATCTACATATTTATTTATTTTTATTTTTGTTTTTTGAGACAGAGTCTTGCTCTGTTGCCCAGGCTGGAGTGCAGTGGTGCGATCTCAGCTCACTGCAACCTCCACCTCCCAGGTTCAAGTGATTCTCGTGCCTCAGCCTCCCAAGTAGGTGGGACTACAGGCACCCACCACCACGCCTGGCTAATTTTTTGTATTTTTAGTAGAGACGGGGTTTCGCCATGTTGCCCAGGCTGGTCTCGAACTCCCAAGCTCAGGCAATCCATCTGTCTTGGCCTCCCAACGTGCTAGGATTACAGGCGTGAGCCACTGCGCCTGGCCAATATGCATATTTAAAAGTTATCAAGTATGCACTTTTGTGCAGTTTATTGCATGTAAATTTCTTCCTCTAAAACAGGACAAGATAGTGATGTCTGCCATCACTCCTTTTATTCAGCATTGTTAAAAAAAAAAAAAAAAAAAAAAACCAGGTGCGGTGGCTCACGCCTGTAATCCCAGCACTTTGGGATACCGAGGCAGGTGGATCACCTGAGGTCAGGAGGTTGAGACCAGCCTGGCCAACATGATGAAACCCCGTCTCTACTAAAAACACAAAAAATTAGGTGGGCGTGGTGACGGGCACCTGTAATCCCGGCTACTCAGGAGGCTGAGGCAGGAAAATCGCTTGAACCCGGGAGGCAGATGTTGCAGTGAGCCGAGATTGCGCTGCTGCACTCCGGTCTGGGCAACAAGAGTGAAACTCCATGAAAGAAAAAAAAGAAGAGAAGAGAAGAGAGAAGAGGTCTCATTGTAACAAATAATAATAATAAAAGAACTTCAATAAGCTGTTTTCTTAAATTGCTTATAAACTGAGGTATCTAGAAAAGGCTAATTCATAAAGGCAAAAAGCAGCATAGAGGTTACCAGGGCTGGGGAGAAGGGAAGAGGAGTTGTTTAATGGGTAGAGTTTCATTTGGGATGATGAAAAGTTCTGGAACTGGATAGCGATGATGATTACACAACACAGTGAATGCACTGATGTGACTGAATTGTACACTTAAAAATGGCTAAGCTAGTAAGTTTCATGTTTCATGTATGTATTTACCACAATAAAAAGTTATTTAAAAATTTGAATCACATAGAAGTGGACACTTGCATTTGATGAGAAGGAAGAGGGTCCTGGACTCTTCTCAACCTCCTGAGGGGCCTCTTGTCGTCAGAGACTCACAACAGCCTTTCTTCTCATAGGACAGACAGCCTTCCCCTCTCCCAGGTCAAGGCTCTCGGGATCCTTTGCTCCACAGACCCAGGATCTCCAGGGAGTCAGATCTCCACCTCTGCAGTCCCCACCTCTCTCCCTGATGACTGACTGGCCTCAGCCCCTTTGCACCTGCTGTTTCCAATAAGCAAAACACCCTTCTCCCTTCCCCCACCAGCCTAATCCTGGTTCTGAGAGGCCTTGCCTCCTCCCTCACCAGCAGCAGAACCACCCCTGACACACACAGACATGCACACACACAGACATGCACACACACACATGCACACACACATGCATGCACACAAACCCCCAGGCTCTCTGACTTTATCCCTTGAGCCACAGGAGGCTGCCAGCCTCTCCAAGGGGCTACCTTTCTGTGTCCCCAGGCCCTCGGTCCCCGCTCTTCCTTTAGCCTACTGGAAGTATCCTGCACGTCACTTTGTGCCTGGGCCCCAGGCCGGGAGCTCCTTATCGGACTTTGCCTAACTCCTTTCTGTCTCCTGACATTTTAAGTCCAATCTAGACCTGGCACGGCTGATCCACTGCCAGGGATTGGGCTGAACCAGTCCCTCTTTTGACTAACCCAGAAGTGTCCCTAGTGGAGAACAATGGGGAAAATGGAATTCTTGGTGAACAGAGCATCTTTGTTTCAAATGTGTTGGCAGACAGAGGATGGGCTGTGGGGACTTAGGCAGACACCCACAGGCTGCTGGATGCCTGGTTTTGGTTTCCCCTTCCTGACTTGGGACCTAGAGAGCAAATCATTTCCTTACTCCAGGCCTCACTTTACTCATCTGAAAAATGGAACTTGAGAAACTCCTCCTCAAATTCGATGGGGCCAGTGGTGTAGGGGAAATGGGTGTTTGCAGAGGTCCCCACTTGTGAGTACAGTCTTGGGCACACAAGCCCTGTTTGCAAAGGTTTGTTCCCAGGTTTGGCCTCACATTTTTTTATTTTGGGTTCAAGTCTTGCTCTTCAAAGGATGCTGGTGGAGGACATCCCTGCCCCTCCCAGGGCCTGGCTTACAGGCTTTGCTATTCTGGTTCATGGTTGGATTTGCTGTTATATCTTCCAAAGCGATGGGCAACTGTAATTAAATAATCAATCATTCATTCATAGTTTCACATATTTCTCCTTCACTGGAACAGCAGCCCCACTGAATTCCAGGCACCTCAGAGCTTCACTGCACTAATTAAAGCAATTAATGCAGGCAGGCACAGTCAAGGGCTGGCAAATCTTCTCTGCTAACATGTATCAACCAGGGAAAAAATTGTGGTATGTCCATACGATGGAATCTCCTCAGCAATAGAAAGAATCAGGCAGGTGCAGTGGTGCACACCTGCAATCACAGCCCTTTGGGAGGCTGAAGCAGGAGGACTGCTTGAGCCCAGGAGTTCAAGACCAGCCTGGGCAACATGATGAGAACCCGTCTCTACAGAAAAAATTTAAAAATTATCTGGGCACAGTGGTGCACACCTGTGTGTACTCCCAGTTGTTCAGGAGGCTGAGGTGGGAGAATCATCATCTGAGCCCAGGACATTGAGGCTACAGTGAGCCAAGATCATGCCACTGTATTCCAGCCTGGGTGACAGAGTGAGACCCTGACACTAAAAAATAAATAGGCCGGGCACGGTGACTCACACCTGTAACCCTAGCACTCTGGGAGGCTGAGGCGGGTGGATCACCTGAGGTCAGGAGTTCGAGACCAGCCTGACCAACGTGAGAAACCCCATCTCTACTAAAAATACAAAATTTACTGGGCGTGGTGGCCCATGGCTGTAGTCCCAGCTACTCAGGAGGCTGAGGCAGGAGAATCGCTTGAATCCGAGAGGTGGAGGTTGCGGTGAGCCGAGATCGCACCACTGCACTCTAGCCTGGGCAACAAGAGCGAAACTCCATTTCAAAAAAATAATAACAAATAAAAAATAAATAAATGGTATATTTATTATGTTGTATCTAAATTTGAACATGTTTTATAGTGTTTCTCTCCAAACTATCTAATCTTCCATCTGGCTGAGAAGAACTGTCTCTTACATTTCCTTGTTTTTGCATTGATTTTTTTGTCTTTTTTTTCTCCAGTGGAACTACAGCGCAGATGTCAGTCACGGGGCCCAGCTCCCTGGTGGCCACATAGGAGATGCTCACGGAAAAACTAATAGAATGAGAGAAAAACAGCCGGGGCTCCCACTCAGGGCTGGGGTTGGCGGGCCACAGAGATGGTGCTACCTCATTTCAGGGATGTTTGGGGGCCGTGAAACATGGACTCATGCTGGCGGTGGCCCCCAGGACAAAGCTAAGGCTACCTCCGCTGGAATAGAATAACTACAGGGAAAAAGATAAGAATAATAACAATAATAAAATCTGCTGGGCATGGTGCACACCTAGTGTCCTAGCCACATGGGAGACTGAAGCAGGAGGATCCCTTGAGCTCAGGAGTTCAAGATCAGCCTGGGCAACATAAGGAAATCTCATCTCTAAAAATTAAATAATTAGTTAATTAATAGTTAATGTTAGTCACTTTATGTCATTTAATCCTCCCTCCCTACTATGGCTACCACCCCTCGCCCAACACAAACACACACACACACACACACACACACACACACACACACACATCAATTCCAAAGCTAGGAATTCTCACTCTCATTTTAATTTATTTTATTTTTGAGGCAGGGTCTGGCTCTGTTGCCCAGGCCTGAGTGCAGTGGCATGATCGTGGCTCACTGCAGCCTCAACCTCCAGGGCTCAAGTGATCTTTCCACCTCAGCCTCCTGAGTAGCTGGGACCACAGGCATGAGCCACTGTTCCCGGCTCACCCTCATTTTAAAGATAAGGAAACCAAAGCTCAGAAAGTTTGGCAACTTTTCTTAAAGCCACGCAGCTGGCAAGTTGGGGAGCAAGTATGAAATCTAGATTGCTCTTGCTGTCACTCTACATCCCAGCAATGGTTTGAAAGCAAAGGAAGAGACCACATTCCCCCAGCCCAGCAATTCTGTGCAGCTCAAAAGCCTGATTGTGAGGCCAAAGGAGCCTGGCCTCCACGGCTCACTGCAACCATGAGGATCTGGCACTGGAGCAGGGAGACCTGAGTCCTGCAACTTCAGAGTCTCAACACAGGAGCTGCATGCCCTACCTTGAGCTTGTCAGGGCAGTCCACTCCAGCTGTAGCCCAGAGCTGCTGGGCCTGGAGAGGAGCAATTCAACTTCACCATGGATGGGTTTGCCATCTTTACCTCCTCAAAAGCTGGAAAGTGTGTGGCCCTTGCCCTTCGGTCTCCCTGAAGCCCTCTCTGTCTGGGCTCGGGCTGGGACTGGCAGCTCAGTGTCCTTGTCTCCGGCCAGGCAGCCAACTGGACAAAGGCATCCTTGGCTCTGCCAGGGCCATGAGAAGGCCCCTCCCAGGTAAGGGAAGATAGCCTTTCATTCCCTCTGTCCCCATCCCACCTGGGGCTGCTGGGAAACCCAGCAGGAGCTGGCTTCTGATTAAAAAGGGATTGGGGCCAGATGGCAGTGGCTCATGCCTATAATCTCAGTACTTGGGGAGGCCAAGACAGGCAAATCACTTGAGGTCAGGAGTTCAAGACCAGCCTGGGCAACATGGCAAAACCCCGTCTCTACTAAACATACAAAAAAATAGCCGGGCAGGGTGGTACCAGCTATTCATGAGGCTGAGGTGGGAGAATTGTTTGAGCCCAGGAGGCAGAGGTTGTACTGAGCTGAGATTGTGCCACTGAACTCCAGCCTGGGCAACAGAGCAAGACTTTGTCTCAAAAAAAGAAAAAGAAGGAATCAGGCTAGGCTTGGTGGGGCACACCTGTAATCCCAGCACTTTGGAAGGCCGAGGTGGGAGGATCCCTTGAGGCCAGGAGTTCAAGAACAGCCTGTGAAACATAGCAAGACCCTGTCTCTACAATTTTTTTTTATTATTTTTAAATAAATAAATAAAGAGTCAGTCTCTGAGGCAGCACATGCACAGAGGACAGGAGAATGGAGAGGAGGAATGCTGAATCCATGCAGAGTGATTCAGAAACTCTGGGCCCAGTAGGGCACCCTCACCTCCTTTCCCAGCACTCCCCCACTTCTCTCAGCATTCCTTATCTCTCCCAGTATTCTCCATCTCTGTCAGTATCCCTCACTTCTCCCAGCATCCCCTACTTCTCCCCTCATCCCCTACTTCTCCCAGCATCTCCCACGTCTCTTAGCATCCCCTACTTCTCCCAGCATCCCCTACTTCTCCCAGCATCCCCTACTCCTCCCAGCAGCCCTGCTTCTGCCAGCATCTTCTCATTTCTCCCAGCATCTCCTACTTCTCCCAGCATCCCCTACTTCTCCTAGCATCCCCTCATTTCTCCCGCATCCCCTGCTTCTCCTAGCATCTCCTCATTTCTCCCAGCATCCCCATCTCTCCCAGCATTCCCTGTTTCTCCCAAATACTTTTTTCCACGTCCAAGCCAGAAACAGCTACCAACATATTGTCATATCAACCAGTTACACCTCATTTCGTCAAGCCTAATGCACGACTGATTGTAAAATGCACATTATTTTATGCACCATTGAGAAAGATGTGGGGAAACTGCCAATTAAATTATGATACACCATTGATCCTAATTTCAGAGGGGATGCTAAGATAGGGGGAAGTTAGAATTAGTAGAATGTGGTAAGACTAAGAGCCCCACTGTGCATTTCATGTCTTGCTTGGGGCTTACAGAATAGTTCCATGTGCAGCGCTGTGTTCTGTCAATGTTTGGTAAGCAGGTGCCATGTGCCTAGCACCATCCTAGACATGGGATTCAGTTCTCTGCCTTTATGGAAATCATAGGGTAGTTGATGATCTTCAAGGCCAATCCAGAGAACATCTACAAAACAGTTCAAGGCTAATCTCTGTGGTGTGGACAATAAATGAAAGAGGTGATTGGAGAAGGGATGGATTAGAGTTGACCAAGGTGGTCAAGCAGGCTTTGTGGCAGGGGGTAGAGAGGGGTAGAGACTTACACTAGAGGCTGAAGGGTGGAAAATAGGAACGAGAGAAGACATGTGAAGAGAGAAGTGGGGATAAAGTGAACAAAGAATGGAGATGAAGCTCACATAGCAGACACTCAGGACATCAAGGAGAAAGTTGGGTTTGTCTGGGACAGAGAAGCCGTGTCAGGGTGTCAGGGGACTCTACATTGGACAGCCAGGACAAGGCCAGACTACAGAGGGACTTGGAAGCCAAGCAGGGTCAGGTGCCATGACTCATACCTGTAATCCCAGCACTTTGAGAAGCCGAGGTGGGAGCATCACTTGAGCCCAGGAACTTGAGACCAGCCTGGGCAACATAGGGAGACCCCATCTCTACAAAATTAAAAATTAAAAACCTGGCCAGGTGTAGTAGTGTGTGCTTATGGTTCTAGCTTCTTGGGAGGCTAAAGTAGGAGGATTGCTTGGGGCCAGGAGGTCGAAGCTTCAGTAAGCTGTGATCACACCACTATACTCTATCCTGGGCGACAAAGCAAGACCCTGTCTCCAAAAAAAAAAAAAAAGACCGGGTGCAGTGGTTCATTCCTGTAATCCCAGCACACTTTGGACTGCCGAGGCGGGCGATCACCTGAAGGTCAGGAGTTCGAGACCTGAGACCAACCTGGCCAACATGGCGAAACCCCGTCTCTACTAAAAAAAAAAAAAAAATACAAAAATTAACTGGGCGTGTTGGCACACGCCTGTAGTCACAGCTACTTTGGAGGATGAGGCAGGAGAATCGCTTGAACCCGGGAGGCAAAGGTTGCAGTGAGCCTAGATCTCACCATGAGAATTTGTTAAAGAAAGAAAGAGAGAGAGAAAGAAGAAAGAAAGAAAGAGAAAGAGAGAAAGAAAGAGAGAAAGAAAGAGAGAAAGAAAGAAAAGAAAGAAAGAAGGAAAGAAAGAAGAAAGAAAGAAAGAAAGAAAGAAAGAAACAGTTCTTGACATAACAGGTATAAGACAAAGTAATAAACCTAAGAAGGCCTATTTGCTCATTTCTGCTTGCCAGCAGAATTTCACAAAGCCCCTTGGCTCTCTGACAACGTGCGGCTCTCCAGAAAGATGCTTGAAGACAAAACAGGATAGAGCACTTGACCCCCACCATCTCTTGCCTGAGTCAGTATATTCCTTAAAACATGCATGACCCTAGCCTTGCCTTTTGCTGAACATGAGATAACATCTTACAAGGTTAGTGATAATGCCTCTAATCTATAACCGGATGGACTCTTACACTCAACCTTGATGTGATTCTACTTTAATGTAACTTCTGAGCAGGCCTGATGTGATTTTGCACCTTCTGAACCCCCACTGCCTATGCTTGAGCTATGAGCTGAAACACTGCCTTAGAGCAGTCTGACAGAACTGCTCCTGGACTGCAGGCATCCGTCTATCGTCCTCAGTAAAACTTCTGAATAAAACTAATTTTCATTCTTTAAAAGAATGATTTCTTTTTTTAATTTTATGGACAGAGTTTCACTCTGTCGCCCAGGCTGGAGTGCAGTGGTGCAATCTCGGCTCACTGGAGCCTCCGTGTCCTGGGTTCAAGCGATTCTCCTACATCAGCCTCCCAAGTAGCTGGGATTATAGGTATGCGCCACCATGCCTGGCTAATTTTTGTATTTTTAATAGAGTCGGGGTTTCACCATGTTGGCCAGGCTGGTCTCAAACTCTTGACCTCAGGTGATCCGCCAGCCTTGGCCTCCCAAAGTGCTGGGATTACAGGTGTGAGCCACTGCGCCCAGCCAAAAGATTGATTTTTTTTTTCTTTAGTTGACAGAAGCACCAGGAGCAGTGCAGGTTCTTGAGCAGGGGCGCGGCCTGAGGAAAACATTACTTTATGAAATACTAATATGCAAGGTGAACTGGAGGCAAAAGCTAGAGGCCAGGACACCAACCATTCCCTCAAGTCCTGTGATATAGGAAGGTGACCTCTAAGAGGTCGCTAATGGAGGATGGTGTGCCTGGAAGGGCCTGGCAGGAAGTTCTGGGGGGCAGACGGTTTGAGCCATGCCAAGATGGAGAAGCATCTCAGACCCTTTAAGGAACTGTCCCTTCAACCAGGCGCGGTGCCTTATGCCTGTAATACCAGCACTTTGGGAGGCTGAAGAGGGCAGATCACCTGAGGTCAGGAGTTTGAGATCAGCCTGGCCAACATGGCGAAACCCCGTCTCTACTAAAAATATAAAAAATTAGCTAGACATGGTGGCGGGCACCTGTAGTCCCAGCTACCAGCTACTTGGAGGGCTGAGGCAGGAGAATAGCTTGAACTCAGGAGGCAGAGGTTACAGTGAGCCAAGATCGCGCCATTGCACTCCAGCCTGGACGACAAGAGCAAAACTCCATCTCAAAAAAAAAGAACTGCATCTCCAGGGCCTGGGCCACCCAGGCATTTCCTGGCCTATTCTGGAGAGGGACAGCTATATAAAGAATCAGCTCCTTGACAACAAAATGGATACCATTTAATAGATGCAGGGGCTAAAAAACACACTGCTTACATTTGTATAGAGTGTACATCATCATGTAAGAAAACACATTCTGCCTTTAGGAATTAAACAGCTGCATTTTGTAAGAGATACATATGTTTGAAACATGTTCATTGACAAAATACTCCAGTCTTTCTGGATTAGTCCTTACTTGGCAATTTGTAACAAGAACTAAAAAACTGGGCTAGAGGCAGTGGCTCACACTTATAACCCCAGCACTTTTAACCCTAGCACTTTGGGAGACCAAGGCAGAAGGATCACTTGAGCCCAGGAGTTCGATAACAGCCTGGGCAACATGGAGAGACCCCATCTCTACGAAAAAATTAATACTTGGCCAGGCATGGTGGCATGTGCCAGTGGTCCCAGCTACATGGGAGGCTGAGGCAGGAGTATCGCTTAAGCCCAGGAGCTCAAGGCTACAGGGAGCCATGATCGTGCCACTGGACTACAGCCTGGACAACAGAGCAAGACACTGTCTCCAAAAAAAAAAAAAGCTAAAAAACTGGCTGAACTCTGTGAGGGGGTAACTTCACTTTAGGAGATGGGCCCCTAGGAAATAAGGAAGTCAGTAATGGCCCAAAGCAGTGTCACTTGGGAACTACCCCAGAGCACAACGGAGGAGAAGGGGCTCAGTTCACTAGGAGGGTTAAGCAGCAGGCACCCACCTGAGCTGCTCAAGTGATCCACATACAAACAGGTTGAGCTGGGGACGGCCTCTACTGAGCGTGCCTATACCCTGGGTGCTGGGACCCTGTGGAGGCAATGGAGTATTATGGGTACAAGTACAGGTCTGGCTTCAGAGTCCCATCCTCCTCTGTAAAATGGAAATGAGGCTGGTCGCGGTGGCTCATGCCTGTAATCCCAGCACTTTGGGAGGCCAAGGGAAATCACTTGAGACCAGAAGTTTGAGACCAGCATGGGCAACATAGCCAGACCTTGTCTCTACAAAAAACCAATTTTTTTAATAAAGAGGGAATGAAATTTGCAGTCAGTGGTAAGCTACCATTACTATAAGCATGACACACACAGGCAATAGTCGCTCTACCCCCACTGCAACTGGGCACAAATATTTTTGGCAGGGTGTGGGGGACGGGTACAGAGAGGCATATGCGTGGCTTCAGGGGCTCCAGTTTCTGAGGCAGTGGTGGGAAATGGGATGCCAGTGTGCCCAACGCCATGTGGAAGACAGTCACCTCCAGCCTGGGAGGAAGACGTGGGGAGAAGTTGATTTGGCCCAGATCTGCCACTCAGATGCCTGCTTTGCAGCAACTCACGCTCCCTGGCTCCATATCACAGCCTGTCATGACCACGGTCCTCTTTGTGCCTCTGGAGATGCCCTAGCCACCTTTCCGGGCAGTCTTAGTCTTGGCATAAATAAATGCTGCTATGGTCTGAATATCTGTGTCTCCCCCAAAATTCATCACCTCAAGGTGAAGGTATTAGAAGGTGAAGTCTTTGGAAGATGATGAGGTCGTGATGGTGGGCCTTTTGAATGGATTTAGTGCCCTTATAAAAGAGACCCCAGAGAGATCCCTCACCCCTCCTGCCTCTGAGGCTACAGGGAAAAGACAGCCGCCTAGGACAAGGGCCCACACCAGACACCAAATCTGTCAGCGCCTTGATCTTGGTCTTCCCAGGCTCTAGAACAATACACTTCTGTTGTTTACAAGCCTCCCAGTCTATACAACTTTCTTTTTTTTTTTTTTTGAGACGGGGTCTCGCTGTGTCGCCCATGCTGGAGTGCAGTGGCACAATCTCAGCTCACTACAACCTCTGCCTCCCAAGTTCCAGCAATTCTCCTGTCTCAGCCTCCTGAGTAGCTGAGACTACAGGTGCACACCACCACGCCCAGCTAATTTTTTATTTTTAGTAGAAATGGGGTTTCACCATGTTGGCCCAGCTGGTCTCGAACTCTTGACCTCAAGTAATCCATCTGTCTCGGCCTCCCAAAGTGCTGGGATTACAGGCATGAGCCACCACGCCCAGCCGGATTTTCTTATGGCAGCCCAAACAGACTAAGACAAATCCCATTTCTCCTGAGGTCAGCCAAACAAGGTTAGACTACTCCCCAGAAGAATGTTCCTACAAAATGAGAGAGGAGCCCTGGCGCAGTGGCTCATGTCTGTAATCCCAGCACTGTGGGAGGTTGAAGTGGGAGGATCACATGAGTCCAGGAGTTCAAGACCAGCCTGGGAAACAAAGTGAGAACCCATCACTATTAAAAATAAAAATTAGCAGGGCACAGTGGTGCACACCTGTGGTCCAGCTACACGAGAGGCTGAGGCAGGAGGATTAATTGAACCTAGGAGGTCAAGGCTGCAGTGAGTCATGTACTCCAGCCAGGGTGACAGAGTGAGATCCTGTCTCAGAAGAAGAAAAAGAAGGAGAAGGAATTAGAGGAGAAAGAAGAAGGAGAAGAAAACTAGAGAGGAAACAGAACTAAGAAATTGAAATGCAGGCCAGGCACGGTGGCTCACACCTGTAATCCCAGCACTTTGGGAGGCCGAGGTGGGCGGATCACCTGAGGTCAGGAGTTCCAGACCAGCCTGGCCAACATGGCAAAACCCCATCTCTACTAAAAATACCAGAAAAAAAATTAGTTGGGTGTGGTGGCGGGCGCCTGTTACCCCAGCTACTTGGGAGCCTGAGGCAGGAGAATTGCTTGAACCCTGGAGGCAGAGGTTGCAGTGAGCCGAGATCGCACCACTGCACTCCAGCCTGGGCGACAGAGGGAGACTCTGTCTCAGAAAAAAAAAAAAAAAGAGAGAGAGAGAGAGAGAGATAAATTGAAATGCAGCCACCTGGAAATATGAGGGTTTCCCAAGGCCTAGAATATTTGATATGAATCTGCCCAGAGTAGACTGGCAGCCTCCCAAAGCCTCCTCCTCACCTCCTCCTCATCTGTACCCACTGGCTTGGCAAGAAGCCCTCCCTTCCAAAACCTGTTTCCTCTGGCCTTGAGCAGTAGCAGCCCTGCCCCTAGATCTTGGCAGGACCAGTGTGTTCTGCTTGAGCTCTTGAAGAGGAAGAGAGTCCTCCCCAGAAAGTCCTCTTTGGGCCCTTGACCCTCCCTCAGAGATAATAAGACCTGCCAGGCAGAATTCTTGTGAGGATTAGATATTGAGCTTGAATTAGATTAGAGCTTGAATATACACATACAATCTTTGGAAGGACCCATAAGAACCAGGCATCAGTAACTGTCTTTGGATAGATGAATGGAGGCCTAGGGAATGAGAAGTAGAGGAAGCCACTTTTCACTATAAACCAATCTCTCTCTATTGAATGTTTTTACTGTATGCACATATTACCTATTTGAAATTGAAAGCACAATGCCATTTATATTAGCACCCTAAAAATAAAATTCTTCACTATAAATCTAACAAAATATGTACAAGATCTGTATGAGGAGTACTATACAACCCTGATGAAAGAAAGCAAAGATCTAAATAAATGGAGAGATATTCCATGTTCATGGATAGGATGATTCAATATTGTTAAGATGGTTGTTCTCCCCAACTTTGTAGATTCAATGCAACACAATAAAAATCCCAGAAAGTTATTTTGTAATATCTACAAGTTGATTCTAAAGTTTACACAGAGTAGCAAAAGACCTAGAAGGACAACACAAAAAAGAAGAATGGAATTAGAGAACTGACACTCCCTGACTTCAAGACTTACTTAAAGCTATAGCAATCAAGATAGTGTGGTATTGGTGAAAGAACAGACAAATAGATCAGTGGAACAATAGGGAACCAAGAATAGACTCACACAAATATAGTCAACTGATCTTTGACAAAGGAGCAAAGGCAATTCAATGGAAAAAGGATAGTCTTTCCAACAAATGGTGCTGGAATGATTGATCATCCACCTGCAAGAAAAAAATCTAGATATTGCCAGGTACACTAGCTCACACCTCTGATCCTAGTGCTCCAAGAAGCTAAAGCAGGAGGATTGCTTGAGGGCAGGAGTCTGAGATCAGGCTGGGCAACACAGCAAGACCCCATCACCACAAAAAAAGAAAAAATACAAAAAAAATAGCCCAGCATGGTGGCATGCACCTGTAGTCCCAGCTACTCGGGAGGCTGAGGTGGGAGGATCACTTGAGCCCAGAGTTCAAGACTGCTATGAGCCACAATCATGCCACTGCACTCCAGCCTTGACAACAGAGTGAGATCCTGTCTCAAAAAATAACAACAACAACAACAAACTAGGTACTAAGAAATCTTGATTCTAAGGTCTGACCTTAGACCTTAGACCTTTCACAAAAATTTATTCAAAATGAAACTTGAACCTAAACATAAAATGCAAAACTATAAAACTTCTAGAAGATAACATAGGAAGAAAATCTAGCTGATCTTGGGTTTGGTGATGTTTTTCTATATATCAAAAGCACGATCCTTGAAATAAAAAATTGACATTAGACTTTATTAAAATTAAAAGCTTCTGCTCTGCAAAAGACACTATTGCTAGGAAAAATGATAAAATATTTGCAAAAGACATATTGATAAAGACCTTGTATCTAAAATATACAAAGAACTCTTAAAACTCAACAATAAGAAAACAAACAACCCAGTTAAAAAATGGACAATAGGGCCAGGCGCAGTAGCTCATGCCTGTAATCCCAGCACTTTAGGGGGCTGACACAGGAGGATCGCCTGAGGCCAGCAGTTCGAGACCAGCCTGGCCAATATGGTGAAACCCCGTCTCTATTTATTAAAAAAAGAAAAAGAATAAAACTGTGTTTTTAAGAAAAATTTAAAAAATAGGGCCGGCACGGTGGCTCACGCCTGTAATCCCAGTACTTTGGGAGGCCGAGGCGGGCAGATCATTAAGTCAGGAGTTCAAGACCAGCCTGACCAACATGCTGAAACCCCGTCTCTACTAAAAATACAAAAATTAGCTGGGCATGGTGGCATGTGCCTGTAATCCCAGCTACTCAGGAGGCTGAGGCAGGAGAATCGCTTGCACCCAGGAGGCAGAGGCTGCAGTGAGCCCAGATCGCGCCACTGTACTCCAGCCTGGACGACAGAGTGAGACTCCATCTCAAAAAAAGAAAAAGAAAAAATAAACCAATAAATAAATAAATAAAACTGCTTTGTAAAAGTCTACTGATTTTTTTTAAGGAAGTTTAAAAGCTATTTTTAAAATAATTATTCAGCAACTGGTATAGGCTTTGCAGGCAGACAGCCCAGGATTCAAGTCTCAGAACCCTGAGCCTGCCAAGCTTCCTCCTCTGGGGATTACAGCCACACCTTCCAGGGTTGGGTTAAGGGTCCCAGAACCCACAGCAGCATGAGAGTCAAAAGTTATGTTGCTACCTGATTCTCATGGGCAGAGAGAGGAGGGGCCTTCTATTACACCTCAGGAGGCGGTCAGGGTGGGGTGCACTGGGGAGAAGAACGAGGGCGAGTAGAACAGGAGGCACCCGCTCCAGTGACATCATCCAACAAAGGTTTCCTGCCTGTGACAAGACACTGGAAAGTGCCTGGCCCCAGCCCAGCCTCAGCCGGGCCAGCAGGTCTGCTGGCCTTTATGCATTGTATGGCTTTAGTGGGGCCTGGGAAGCCAGGAGGAGGGCTATGGAGTGACCCAGTATGGTAGAGACAAGAATGAACCTGGAGCAGGTGGTGGGGGGAGTAGAAGGACCACCACCTCCCCGCCGCCCCCATGCCCCTTCCCACTGTGGAACCCTGGAGGAGACCCTAAGCAGCTTCTTCATCACTACCTAGTACTACCAGGGCCCCCACCCAGGACAGTGGTGAGAAGAGAAAGATCAAATGCACTTTGCTCCTCCAAGCAGCAAGGAGCACAAACACCACTGCCGTTGGCCCCAGCCTGGCCCCAGCCCAGCCCCAGCACCGAGCCTCAGGGCAACAGCAGGGGGAAGGGAGAAGCCAGGCTCCTAGGCATGACTTAACCTCTCTGATCCTCAGTTTCCTCATCTGCAGTATGGGAATATCAGCTGCACGTCACCAGCTGGGCCCTGTAAGAATCCGGGGAGATGGTGCCTGTATAGGGCTGAGCACCCTGCCTGGCACAGAGGTAAATGACAGCTCCCTGTGCCTCCATACAAGGTGACTGCCAGGCAAGCTAACAGGGGCAGGGTGGGAGGACGGTGAGGGCCATTCTTTTTTTTTTTTTTTTTTTAAGAGACAGGATCTCACTCCACTACTCAGGCTGGAGTACAATGGTGTGATCATGGCTAACTGAAGCCTCGACCTCCTGGGTTCATGCGATCCTCCCACCTCAGCCTCCTGAGTAGCTGGGACTACAGGTACGTGCCACCACGCCCGGCTAACTGGGTCATTCTGGATAAACTGCTGTCCCTGCCAGAGTCACCCTCTGTCCTAGCTATAAGCGTGGTGGTCATCCTGCCTCAGCTCTGGGGACAAAGGAGGGCACTGGATCACTGCCATCAGGAATGGTATTTATGGCCTATCAGGGGCCAGGTTGGAGTTGGACAGATTGAATCATGTGGACAAGGTCTTGGCACCCAGAGAGCTGAGTTGGAAAACACAGTTGCACAAAAGGCAAAATCAGCTCAACAGCTATGGGACAGACTTAGAGGCCTGCAAGAGAGTTATTAGGAGTGTCTCGTTGAATGGCAGGAGAAGGAAGGCACTGAGTGACACGGAGCCTGGCTCTCCCAGTCTCGCTTGGCATGGTCCCCACAGTGCTGTCCTGAGACCCCGGAGACCCGAGCAGGCTGGGGCCGGGGCCGGGTCTGACTGCACAGAGCAGCCAGCGCTGACAGTGTGAAGGCAGCCAGAGGGAGGGGCAGCGCACTGACGACGGGGAGGGCACAGCAGCTACATCTGTACTGTGGGGGTGGCAGGGCACCCCTGACCCCAGGAACTGACTGCCAGGGGCGGGGGCAGGGAGAGGCCAGCTTGCGGGGGGACGGGTTTGGGAGACTTCCACCCAGGATGGAGGGCTCAAGCCGGACTGCCTGGGTTCGAATCCCAGCAACGCCAGCTGCTGGCTAACCTTGGGCAGGTGACTTAACCTCTGAGCCTTGGTTCCCAGGTGTTGACAGCCCCTACCGCACAGGGCTATGGTGAGGATTTGAGATCAAGCCTGTTCAGCTTAACACAGCACCTGGCCCAGTGAAAACAGCACCAGCTACTTCCGCACTATTGGGCTAGACCTGGGACAAGCCTTCCCACCCGGCTGCCCCCTCCCTCTGACCCGAGCACCACCTTTACAAGGGTTTGTTATATACAATTTTTGTCTGGACTGGGTCCCATCAGAGAGGTGCACAGCGTCGGAGGTACACAGCCTTGGCTCCACCCCCACCTCGCACAGGCACCTCCTTACCTGCCTCCGCTAATGGGGAGCTCCCCAATCCACAAAGCAGCCTCTGTTCCTCATGCAGACATCTCTGATCATGAGTTCTCTAGCGTGAGCCCAAATCTCTTCCCTACAACTGCCCCTTAGTGGGAGTGATTTTTCTGCCAGGGACTTTCCAATGTCTGGAATCTGCCCATCCCACACATGCTAGGAATCCCCCAAGCAGGGCCCCATCACGGCTCCAGGAAGGATTCCCTGAACCCCAGCCCTCTCCCGCCGTGAGCAGCTTCTGCTGAATGGAGTAATGACTTCCACAGGGACACAGACGCCCCTCCCCTGGGTGGGTCTGTCCATCTCTCCAGCAACACCTCCCCGAAGGCAGAAAGCCTTGTATTCCCACAGACCTGAGGCTAATAACACAGTTCACATGCGTTGCCTCATCCTGTCCTCACGAACCCTGTAAAGGATCTACTATTTTTTCGTTTGTTTTTAAAAATCATGGTAAGGCCGGGTGCAGTGGCTCACGCCTGTAATCCCAACACTCTGGGAGGCCGAGGCAGGCGGATCATTTGAGGTCAGGAGTTCAAGACCAGCCTGGCCAACATGGTGAAACCCCATCTCTACTAAAAATACAAAAAATAGCTGGGCGTGGTGGCGGGCACCTGTAATCCCAGCTACTTGGGAGGCTGAGGCAAGAGAATCACTTGAACCCAGGAGGCTGAAGTTGCGGTGAACTGAGGTCATACCACTGGACTCCACCCTGGGTAACAAGAGCAAAACTCTGTCTCAAAAAAAAAAAAAAAAATCATGGTAAAAAAACACATAAGGTGAAATGTACCACATCTATAAAAAAGAATGAGATCATGTCTTTTATGGGAACATGGATGGAGCTGGAGGCCATTATCCTCAGCAAAGTAGCACAGAGCAGAAAACCAAATACTGCACTTTCTCACTTATAAGTGGGAGCTAAATGATGAGAACTCAGGGACACATAGAGGGGACAACAGACACTGGGGTCTATCTGAAGGTGGAGGGTGGGAGGAGGGAGAGGAACAGAAAAGATAACTATTGGGTACTGGGCTTAATTCCTGGGTGATGAAATACAACAAACCCCCATGAGTTTGCCTGTGTAACAAACCTGCACATGTACCCCCGAATCTAAAACAAAAGTTAAAAAAAAATTAACCATTTTAACCATTTTTTTCTTTTCTTATTATTATTTTTTGTGTGTGTGACAGAGTCTCACTATGTTCCCCAGACTGGAGTGCAATGGCGTGACCTTGGCTCACTGCAACCTCCACCTCCCGGGTTCAAGCGATTCTCCTGCCTCAGCCTCCTGAGTAGCTGGGATTACTGGTGCCCGCCACCACGCTCAGCTAGCATTTTTGCCACCGCTCTCAGCTAGCATTTTTTTCCCAGTGGCATTAAATACATTTATATTATTGTGTTACCATCACCACCATCCATTTCCAGAACTTTTCATCTTATAAAACCAAAACTTTATATCCATTCCTCCTTCCCCACCCCCAGCCCCTGGCAACCACCATAGAAACATTGTACTTTCTGTTTCTATGAACCTGGCTACTCTGGCTCCGTTACATAAGTAGAATCATACAGTATTTATCTTTTGTGCCTGGCTAATTTCACTTGATTTCCTCAAAGTTCATTCACGTTGTAGCATGTGTCAGAATTCCCTTCCTTTGTAAGGCTGAATCATACCACATTGTGTATATTTACGGCACATTTTGTTTTTCCATTCATCTGTTGATGAACACTTGAATTGCTTTTACCTTTTAGCTACGATTGATGCTGCTATGAACATGGGTGGGCAAATATCTCTTTGAGACTCTGCTTTTAGTTCTTTTTGGTATATATCCAGAAGTGGGATTGCTGGATTGTATGGTGATTCTATTTTTAATGTTTTTTTTTTTTGAAATGAAGTTTCACTCTTGTTGCCCAGGCTTGGAGTGAAATGGCGTGATCTCAGCTCAATGCAACCTCCACCTCCCAGGTTCAAGTGATTCTCCTGCCTCAGCCTCCCGAGTAACTGGGATTACAGACATGTGCCACCACGCCTGGCTAATTTTTGTATTTTTAGTAGATATGGGGTTTTGCCATGTTGGCCAGGCTGGTCTTGGGTCTTGAACTCCTGACCTTCAGGTGATCCACCCACCTCAGCCTCCCAAAGTGCTGGGATTACACGCATGAGCCACCGCACCCGGCCTCTACTTGTTAATTTTTTCAGGAACCACTAAACTAGTTTCCACAGCAGCTGCACCAGTTAAACTAGTTTCCACAGCAGCTGCACCAGTTAACATCCCCACCAACTGTGCTCAAGGTGCCAGTTCCTCCACATCCCACCAACACATATTGTTTTCTGTTTGTTTCTGAGACAGGGTCTCACTCTGTCACCCAGGCTAGAGTGCAGTGGCGCGACCTCTGCTCACTGAGACCTCCGCCTCCTGGGTTCAAGTGATTCTCATTCCTCAGCCTCCTGAGTAACTGGGACTACAGGCGTGTGCCACCACAGCCCGCTAATTTTTGTATTTTTAGTGGAGCCAGGATCTCACCCTGTTTGCCAGGCTGGTCTCAAACTCTTGGCCTCAAGTGATCTGCTCGCCTCGGCCTCCCAAAGTGCTGAGATTACAGGCATGAGCCGCTGCGCCCGGCTATTTTCTTTCTTTCTTTTTTTTTTTGATAGCAGCCATCCTGAAGGGTGTGGGGTAGTGTATTGTAGGCAGATTGTGTATTTTTCCCCATTTTAAGCTTAGGAAAGTAGGACTGGAGAGGCATGGTGACTCTGCCAAGGTCCTATAGGCGGCAGGTGGCAGAGCTGGGATTCAAACTCAGCACTGTCAGCGGGGCGCGGTGGCTCACACCTGTAATCCCAGCCCTTTGGGACGCCGAGGCGGGCGGATCATGAGGTCAGAAGATCAAGATCATCCTGGCTAAAACGGTGAAACCCCGTCTCTACTAAAAAAATATAAAAAATTAGCTGGGCGTGGTGGCGGGCGTCTGTAGTCCCAGCTACTCGGGAGGCTGAGGCAGGAGAATGGCGTGAACCCGGGAGGCGGAGCTTGCAGTGAGCTCAGATTGTGCCACTGCACTCCAGCCTGGGCAACAGAGTGAGACTCTGTCTCAAAAAAAAAAGCAAAACTCAGCGCTGTCTGCGGCTGTGTGGTGCTCTCAGCAGCCCCCATCCCCACAAATCCTCGCTGTGTCACTAGGGTGGCTCAGTGGCCACCCTAGGGCCTCCAGCATTGATCTCCACCCAGGGCCTGGCTAGGGAGGAGGCAGTGACTCCAAAGGAGACCACCCCTGAGAGTTGCAAGACTAACCCCAGCCCCTGGATCCCCCTGACCTACTTGACCCTGACACTAGCTAGCATTCTGGGAGGGGCCTCCATCTCACGCAGGCAGGAGCAGGGCCCCAGGGCTAGCTCGGCAGCCCCCAAATGAGCCCGCAACATCTTGGATTATCTTGCAGGAAAGCAGGGGGCCCTCCAGCAAGGTGACCAAACCAGGTGGCCGCCACAGGTGAATCAGGGCACAGCCCATCTGGGGTCACATCTCATCACTGCCACCTCCCGCCTGCGTGACCGTGGGCAAGCTGGGAGACTTCCCTGTACCTCGATTTCTTCATCTGTAAAATGGGGGAGACTCAGTTGCACCTTGCAAGGAGCTGTGAGCGTTCAGTGAGCAGCAGATGTGCAATGCCAGGCTGGAGGACAGGTCCAGGACGGTGCCTGCCATTTCTCTCTACCCCACATCTACCCCACGCCACTCTGCCCCTCACCACGGGAGGGGTTGGCAGAGCCTTAGGACTAAGGCTCCTCTGAGTGGTAACACATTTGTTTTTGTTTGGTTTGGTTTGAGGCTGGGTCTTGCTCTGTCACCCAGGCTGGAGTGCAGTGGCGCGAACACAGCTCACTGCAGCCTCAACCTCCAGGGCTCAAGCAATCCTCCCACCTCAGCCTCCCAAGTAGCTGGAACTACAGGCACACACACCACCAGTTATCTTTTGTATAGACGAAGTCTTTCCATGTTGCCCAGGCTGATCTCCAACTCCTGGACTCAAGTGATCCGTCTTGGCTTCCCAAAGTGCTGGATTACAGATGTGAGCCACCAGGCCAGGCCTTGAAGGGATTTTTGTACACCCATGTTTGTAGAAGCGTTATTCGCAATAGCTAAGAGATGGAAGCAACCCAAGTATCTGTTGACAGGTAAATAGATAAACAAAATATGGTGTATATACATACAATAGGGTTTCATTCAGTCTTAAAAACAAGGAGGCCAGGGCTGGGGGCGGTGGCTCATGCCTGTAATCCCAGCACTTTGGGAGGCCAAAGCAGGCAGATCACGAAGTCAGGAGATCGAGACCATCCTGGCTAACATGGTAAAACACTGTCTCTACTAAAAATACAAAAATTAGCCGGGCATGGTGGTGGGCGCCTGTAGTCCCAGCTACTTGGGAGGCTGAGGCAGGAGAATGGCGTGAACCTGGGAGGCGGAGCTTGCAGTGAGCCGAGATTGCGCCACTGCACTCCAGCCTGGGTGACAGAGTGAGACTCGGTCTCAAAAAAAAAAAAAACAAGGAGGCTGGATGCAGTGGCTCACGCCTGTAATCCCAGCACTTTGGGAGGCTGAAGTGGGAGGACTGCTTAAGCCCAGGAGTTCAAGACGAGCCTGTGCAACATAGGGAGACCCTGTCTCTAAAAAAAAAAAAATTTTTTTTTTTTTAAGACAGAGTCTCCCTCTGTCACCTAGGCTGGAGTACAGTGAGTGGCACAATCTCAGCTCACTGCAACATCTGCCTCCCGGATTCAAGCAATTTTCCTGCCTCAGCCTCCTGAGTAGCTGGGACTACAGGTGCGCACCACCAGGCCTGGCTAATTTTGTATTTTTAGTAGAGACAAGGTTTCATCATGTTGGCCAGGATGGTCTCAATCTCCTCGTAATCCATCTGCCTCGGCCTCCCAAAGTGCTGGGATTACAGGCGTGAGCCACCGCGCCCAGCCTCAAAAAAATTATTTTTTAATTGGCCAGGTATGGTAGCACTTGCCTGTGGTCTCAGCAACCTGAGAGGCTGAGGCGGGAGGATCGCTTGAGCCTGCAGTGAACCATGTTTGTGCCACTGCACTCAAGCCTGGATGACAGAGCAAGACTCCTTGAGGACATTATGCTAAGTGAAATGAGCCAGTCATAAAAAGACAAATATTGTATGATTATGATTCCACTTACATGAGGCACTTACAGCAGTGAAACTCATAGAGACAGACATCTGAAAGGTGGTGCCCAGAGGTTGGGGGTAGGGAAATGGGGAGTTTGGGGAGTCATTTAATAGAGAGTTTCTGTTTGGCAAGATGAAAAAAGTTCTGGAGATCTGTGGTACAACGTGGATTTTCTTAACCTTAAAAATAATTAAGATGGCCGGGCACAGTGGCTCACACCTGTAATCCCAGCACTTTGAGACACCAAAGCGGGCAGATTGCCTGAGGTCAGGAGTTCAAGACCAGCCTGGCCAACATGGTGAAACCCTGTCTCTACTAAAAATACAAAAATTAGCCGGGCGTGGTGGCAGGAGCCTGTAATCCCAGCCACTCCAGAGGCTGAGGCAGGAGAATCGCTTGAACCAAAGAGGCAGAGGTTGCAGTGAGCCAGGATCATGCCACTGGACTCTAGCTTCGCTGACAGACCAAGGCTCCATCTCAAAAAAAAAAAGAGAGAGAGAGAGAAAGCAGGAAGACAAGGAAACAGCAAAGTGCTGGCTCTTGGGAAAGAGGCAAGGGAATAATTGAGAAGATGCCTGGGTGACAAAGCCAAAGGGCAGCTGGGACTTGGTGGTGGAGTCCTGGCCAGAGTGTGGACTTTCTCATGCTGGGAAAGGCATGAGCACCCCAGAAAGCTCTGCAGCAGAGCGCTGACTTTTCCCAGTGGCTGCTGGGAAGTCCACATTGGAAGTCTTTGGCCTTTCCAATTCATCATTTTGACCTGAACCTTTCTAGCTATAGGCAAGTCTCGACCCATCCACATCCCCCAGTATGGAAAGGATGCCAAGGGGAAAGCCTGGCTGTTTTCCAGGCGTGCTGGGATGCACAGACGGAGCTGTCCAGGCAGCCCCTGGGAAGCTCAGGAAGCAGGTTCCCAGGCCAGTTGCAGCCCAGTTCCCAGGGGACACTGCCCCTTACTTATGAGACGTGGCCCTCACACGCAAGCATGCATGACAGCTGGAGCCCAGAACCACCCTAGGATCGTCCCACACCTGGAGGCCATAGTTCTCAGACTTCCATGGAGTCTCTCTCAAGGTCAAAGTGCCACACTGCCCATCTGGGACGAGATGTCTCTCCCTCCTACGGCTGGGTCAGGGAAGGCCACAGGACAGTATTGCCTTGGGGGCAGGGGAAGGGGAGCTGTGGCTTCCAGAAACATTGTACAGAACCCTGGAAGGAAAGAGCTGTAAGAAGCCTAATTGCCCTGGGCCAGGCACGGTGGTTCACGCTCGTAATCCCAGCACTTTGGGAGGTCGAGGTGGGTGGATCGCTTGAGATCAGGAGTTTGAGATCAGCCTGGCCAACATGGTGAAACCCCATCTCTACTAAAGATACAAAAATTAGCCAGGCGTGGTGGCGCACACCTGTAATTCCAGCTACTGGGGAGGCTGAGGCATGAAAATCATTGACCCCAAGAGGCAGAGGTTGCAGTGAGCCGAGATCACACCACTGCACTCCAGCCTGGGTGACAGAGTCCTCCTCTGAGGCAGGAGGAAAGATCTACATGCTCTGGTGGTGGGGCTGGGACCAGAACCCAGCACCCAGGGCCCCAACTCCCAGGCCAGGCTTCCCTGACCCAGGCCTGTCCTGAGAACCCCTCTCTTTGCAGTTATTTATTTTGAGCACAATTAGAGCCCCTGAGATGCAGGGGAAGGCTGGAGGCATACCAGGCCACCAACAACATCAGCTGCTAACACTCGCTTCGTCCCTCGAAGCCGCAAGAACAGGCATCTCAAAACCTGCTTAAATCTCATCATTGCCAGGTGCGGTGGCTCATGCCTGTAATCCCAGCACTTTGGAAGGCTGAGGCAGGTGAATCTGTTGAGGTCAGCAGCCTGGGCAACATGGAGAAGCCCCATCTCTACTAAAAATACAAAAGTTAGCCAGGCATGGTGGCGCGTGCCTGTAATCCCAGCTACTCAGGAGGCTGAGGCAGGAGAATCACTTGAACCCAGGAGGCAGAGTTTGCAGTGAGCTGAAATCGGGACACTGCACTTCAGCCTGGGTGACAGAGCAAGACTCCGTCTCAAAAAAGACAAACAACAACAACAAAAAACTCCTTGTCATTGAAATCAAATCCAAATTCTCACTTGATCTTCGAAGTTCTTCAAAATCGTATCCCTACCACCTCCCCTCATCTCATCTCCCACTCCGCCGCTCCCTACATCCAGCCCTGCAGGTCTCCCAAACATCTCTCCCTTCTCCAAACTCAACTCGGCTTCCAGGCCTGCTATGCCAGCTTCCTTCCAATCTCTGCCTAATCAATTGTTCCTCATCCTTAAGCATGGAGCCATTTCCCAAGCACCCAGGCTGACTGGGCCATTGTCTCTCCTGCTTCTGCAGCAGGGGGCAGTGTGCCTGTGTCAACAGCAGAGAGGCATCTTGTGCATGTCTCTCCCTGCTTCCCAGCACCAGGGCTGGCCAACCCAATCAGTGTTTGTTGTCTGAGAAAATGAACACATGGATTTTCTGCCTGTCCTTTATGGCTAATTCCAGTACCTTCCTGAAGGCTCTGGAGTGCAGCCTTGACTTCCACGGTAAGGGCTCCTTGGGGCCAACTGCTTTATCTGTGTGATCTCACGTAATTCTAGGCCACAGGTATTAACACATCCATTCTGCAAATGAGGAAACTGGGGGTCGGAGAGGTCCAGTCACTGCCCACATGTGGAAAGTGGTGTGGCCAGGACCGGAATCCAGCCCGACCAGCTCCAGAGCCTACGCTCCTTCTGCTGAGCCATGTGCGTAACCTACCCCGGTGACAGCGGGCTGGGGCTGGGCAGGTGAACCCACAGATGTTCCAGAAACTCTCCAGTCTGTCCAAGGATCCCTTAAACCTGCATGTCGAGGAGGGTGGCTGACAGATAAGAATGGTGGCATCCAGATGTGACAACAGAGGGGGATGAAAGCTTGGGGGTCCCCCAGAGGGAGGCCTGAGCCTGATGCTCCACCTGCCATCCTTGGGACAGACAGAGGCCTAGTCAAAATATCCTCAAACAGGCAATGAAGCCTTTCACTCTAGTTACGATGAAGCTGGGTAAGAATAGGCTCTGGGCCAAGAAGATGTACTTGACCTTATCAATTTTGCCTGGCTAGTTAAAGCCCCAGGCTTGGGGAAGAGGGGGCCTCCAGGGGTGCTTGTTAAGCACCAGACCTTATGCTAGATGCTTCACAAACAGGATCTCTGACTTCCAACATCCCTAAAAAGTTTTTGTTTGTTTTTGTTTTTGTTTTTTGTTTTTGTAGAGACAGGGTTTCACCATGTTTCCCAGGCTGGTCTCGAAATCCCAGGCTCAAGCAATCCACCCATCTCAGCCTCCCAAAGTGCTAGGCTTACAGACATGAGCCACCATGTCCGGCCCCTAACAAGTTTTATAACCTCTATTTTACACATGAACTAACTGAGGCACAATGAAGTTACGTGGTGGAAGTTCATGGTCAGGCAGCTACTGCATACAAACCCAGACTAGTCAGCCTTCTAAAGCCAAGCTCCTAACCACTGCGTTAGACTGTCTCTGTCCCCTTCCTGAGAAATCCCAGAGATCTCAAATCCCCTGCCCAGCCCATTCTGCCACCATGGCCCTGGAAATTAGTAAATTAGTCCCGTAATTCTCATGAGTGAGCTGACCCCACACATACCGTGAGCTGAGCTTCAAAAATGTTCTTGCCCTTGGCCCAGAGTATTCATTCTGGATGCAGAATACACTCCAAGGAAAAGGGGGGAAAAAACAATAACTTCAAATACCAAAAAAAAAAAAAAAGTTATTTCCACAGAGTTGTCCAGAAAAGTCGAATTATTCATTGCAAAACACCTAGAAGCAACTCAACTTCATCAGCGGACAGAGGCTGCCCGTCCAGGGATGGGTCTGTTAACTTGGTGAATACCACGTGGACCTTAAAACAACATCTAGTTAGTTGGTTTATGTGCATTTAAAAGTAAGTGCAAAGTTGGCCGGGCGTGGTGGCTCACGCCTGTAATCCCAGCACTTTGGGAGGCCGAGGTGGGTGGATCACTTGAGGTCAGGAGCTCGAGACCAGCCTGGCCAACATGGTGAAAGCCCGTCTCTACTAAAAATACAAAAATTAGCCAGGTGTGGTAGCGGGTGCCTGTAATCCCAGCTACTCAGGAGGCTGAGGCAGGAGAATCGCTTGAACCCAGGAGGCAGAGGATGCAGTGACCTGAGATGACGCCACTGCACTCCAGCCTGGTCGACACAGCAAGACTCCATCTCAAAAAAAAAAAAATGCAAAGTTTAAAAGCAGAACACTTCATTTTAATTTCAGAAATCCCACCTGCATGAGAAAGACTTACCTATGCTGTTGACTTTTTTGCCTCTTTCCTTTAAAGAACTTAAAATCAATTAATTTTTTTTTTTTTTTTGAGACATAGTCTCACTCTGTTACCCAGGCTGGAGTGCAGTGGTGTGATCTCGGCTCACTGCAACCTCCACCTCCTGGTTTCAAGTGTGTCTCCTGCCTCAGCCTCCCAAGTAGCTGGGATTACAGGCATGTACCACCACACCCGGCTAACTTTTGTATTTTTAGTAGAGACAGGGTTTCATCTTGTTGGCCAGGCTGGTCTCAAACTCCTGACCTCAAGTGATCCGCTCGCCTCCCAGAGTGCTGGGATTACAGATTACAGGCGTGAGCCACTGCGCCTGGCCAAGTCAATTAATTTTTGATAAAGTAATACATGCAAGTGATAATCCACACACACAGTACATTAAGGTCCAAAGACCTACGGCAATATATAGTGGAGCAGCGCCCCACGGCCCATGCCAACCATTTGAGAATGTAGGTTTGTCAATTGACTAAACTCTGAAGGGCACACACAGAGAAGTGACTTGCTTTATGGTTATGTGGATCGGCTTTTTCCTGCAAGGCTGATGAAGGCAAAGGTTAAAAATTGAAACCCAGAGCAGACAGTTCTGCTGAGATATACTTCTCTGAGGCATACTTCAGAGCATCTTGGCTGGGACTGTCTTTGTCAAGTCTAGCTCAGGTCCCTCTTCCTGGGATCAGTGAAGCAGCAGCAGAATCGGGGTGGGGAAGCCAGGCCGTCAGAGGCAGAGGAAAGCCAGGCATAGGAGAGAAAGCCTGCTGCCTTCTTACCTGTTCACGTGCCAAGACTCGGTCTCCTAGGATTTGCTGGTGGCCTTAAGGGGCTCCAGGACCCCAAGCAGGTGCCTAAGGGCCACGGGCAGTGGGTGCCAGGTTGGAGAGGCTGAGGCTGCCCCCAACCCACAGTCCAGGCTTCCCGTCTGATGAGAAGGGCGGGGAAAGCAGGCCACTGCAGCTCTGCTCAGGAACCGAAGCCAGCAGGGGCGGGGCAGGGCCACGTGGCCCCCGCCTGCCTTGGACTGTGAAGTAGGAGGGAGTCTTCAACCCAGAGGACCCGCCAGGGGACTGCTCTGACTGAGGGCGCCAGCCAGTTGACTACAAGAAGTCCCCCAAACCCAGGCCCTGGCTCCCAGGCAGCTTGGACTGTTCTAAGGGACTACCCCAGCTCCTCTCCAGAACACTCGGCCTAGACAAAAGCTTCGTCTCATAAAACTAAAAGCCAGGTGATGGGGAGTTGGGTGTAGTGTGTAGTGACATGAGCCTCAGGGGGCTGAGGCAGGAGACTCTCTTGAGGCCAAGAGTTCGAGGCTGCAGTGAGCTGCAACTGCACCTGTGAATAACCACTGTGCTCCAGCCTGGGCAATATAGCGAGATCCTGTCTCTAAAAAAACGAAACAAAACACAAAACTGAGTGATGTGGTGGTGACTGGAGTGTGTGTGTGTGTTTGTGTGTGTGTGTGGGACTGGGGGTCCATTAGGTGGAAGAAAAGGCCTTTCTCTGATACATCATCCCTGTTGAGCACCAATGAGTTACCCAGTCTACAGATGAAGAGACATGAGCTCCAAAAGGTGAATAATCTTTTTTTTAATTTTAATTATTTTTTGAGACGGAGTTTCACAGCAGGGACTACAGGCACGCTCCACCATGCCCAGCTAATTTTGCATTTTTAGTAGAGATGGGGTTTCACCATGTTGGCCAGGCTGGTCTTGAACTCCTGACCTCAGGTGATCCGCCCATGTCAGCCTCCCAAGTGCTGGGATTACAGGCATGACCCGGCATGCCTTGCCTTTTTTCTAGACAATGTCTCACTCTATTGCCCAGGCTAGAGAGCAGTGGCACAATCACAACCCACTGTGGTCTTGACCTCCTGGGCTCAATCGATCCTCCCACCTCAGCCTCCCAAGTAGCTGGGACCACTACACCCAGCTAATTATTTATTTATTTATTTATTTATTTTTTTGTAGATACAGACGTCTCCCTATGTTGCCCAGGCCGGTCTCAAACTGCTGGCCTCAAGGAATCCTCCTGCCTTAGCCTCCCAAAGTGCTGGGATTTCAGGCTTGAGCCACTGTGCCTGGCCTTGGGTAAGATTCCTCACCCCTTTTCTGGGGCTTGAGCCCAGGAGTTAGAGACCAGCCTGCGCAACATAGAAAGACCCCCATCTCTGCAAATAAATAAATAATTAAAAATTAGCCAGGCATCATGGTAGCTCATGCCTGTAGTTATAACTACTCGGGAGGCTGAGGCAGGAGGATCACTTGAGCCCTGGAGGTCGAGGCTGCACTAAGCTATGACCAAGCCACTGCACTCCAGCCTGGATGACAGAGCAAGACCCTGTCTCTTTTCTTAGAAAAAAAAAAAAAAAAAGAGAGATTGAGAGAGAGAGAGAGAGAATCTTACCTAAGATTCCCCAGCTGGTTACTGAGGTCTGACCCCAAAGCCAGGTTTTCCTGAGGGACACAGGACCTGTCCTGGTGTAACACGTGGCCTCAGACCCAGCACTTACGGGAGTTGAGGTCCTTTCCCTCAGCACCATCACCAAAGGTACAGCCATTCTCCCTTCACCTGGGTCAGAGTGGGCAACTGCAGGGGCATCTTCAATATCTCTGTCAAGTTTTCATAGCAGGCTTCCTGATTTTACTAGACTGCATTTGGATTCATTAGGGATGGGCCAGTGGGGGAGGATAGGAGAACGGCTGTGTTCAAAGCCTCAAACTATCCAAGAGGGGAGTCTGTAGTGTTTCACTGAATGTGAGCACAGAATCCTGGATTTAGGAACCCCTTATTAACACCCAGTCTTCCACAGCCAACCTAGTCTGGAGTGCTGACCTTGCTGGATGCGGTGGCTCACGCCTGTAATCCCAGCACTTTGGGAGGCCAAGGCAGGCGGATCACCTGAGATCAGGAGTTCGAGACCAGCCTGGCCAACATGGTGAAACCCCATCTCTACTAAAAATACAAAAATTAGCCGGGCGTGGTGGCAGGCGCCTGTAATCCCAGCTACTCGGGAGGCTGAGGCAGGAGAATTGCTTGAACCCAGCAGGCAGAGGTTGCAGTGAACCAAGATCACTGCACTCCACCCTGAGCGACAGAGTGAGACTCGGTCTCAAAAATAAAAAAACAAAAAAAAGAAGAAAAAGAAATGCCAACCTAGTGACAATAGTGCGCTTTATTCCGAGTGCCAATGCATGCCACAAGTAGTTGTTCATGAAATGTTTTCTCAATTGGATCGACAAAACTGGATTCCTGGTTTTGCCCTGAACTTGCAACAGGACAATAATGCCCACGCTGGAATGTTCCAGGCTAACTCCTCACCCGTCCCCAAGGCAGTGGCCACACAGGTCACACACACTCTCTGCAAGGCCCTGCTGGAAAACTCTGCCAAGGCGTTGATTCATCCGTTGGGCAGCTAGTGGGAGGGCAGAGTGGGTGGAGGTGATGGGGGCACAGCCACAGGATCTCACTGGGGCCTCACAGAAGCCTGAACACCGCACGGTGCCCTCTCTGGGGCCTCTTGGCTTGGAATGATGCCCCTTTCTTTCAAAGCATCACATATAGGACAGCAGGTCCCCCAGATCTCCCAGGGCCAGAGCCCCAGGTCAGCGGACAAGCCTCAGAACCCCTGAGCACTCAGTCATGTGCGTTTGTGCTACCATGACCCCAGGAGACCGGTTTTTGTTTTTTGGTGTTTTTGAGACAGGTTTCGTCCTGTCATCCAGGCTGGAGTGTAGTGGCGCAATCACAGCTCACTGCAGCCTCAAACTCATAGGCTGAAGTGATCCTCCTGTCTCAGCCCCCTAATTACTGGGACTACAAGTGTGCACCACCATGCCTGGCTAATTTTTGTATTTTTGGAGAGATGGGGTTTTGTCATGTTGCCCAGGCTGGTCTCAAACTCCTGGGCTCAAGGGATCCTCCTGCCTCAGCCTCTCAAAGTGCTGGGATTACAGGTGTGAGCCACCATGCCAGGCCCAGTAAATCAGTCTTATTCTACCAATTTACAGGCAGGAAACCAAGACTATGCTTAGAGGCTAGTGAGCCCAGGTCATCTGACTGTATACAGTGCTCTCTTCATGGACTTTGCTGCCTCTTGGCATTTGGCAGGTGGAATCTCGTTTCTGATTGCTTTATGAGGGCAGCATTGCCTTTCTCCAGTTACATCATCGACTCCCTAAAGCTGAGATTCCCCAGTGTGTCCTCATAACAGCTGGAGGCCCTAATAACCCACAGGAAATGGTAGTACTTCCCTTGACCATCACGTGTTACTAGCTTATACACATATACTCACGGCTCCAAATTAGTAACTTCTAAGCCTAAACGCTACCAAATGACCCAACTGAAAGCACCTCTCCTTTCATTATGAGACTGCAGTCAGAGAAGGGAGCAAGTTCTGCTGAGTGGACCTGGGAATTTAAAACTTGACTAGGCTCTGGAAGGCAGAGTGAGAGGTGGGAAACTGAAGGGGGCTTGCCTCTGGGCACCGCCAGAGATGCTGCATACGGGGGTGGGGTGGGGTAGGGTGGGGCTAACAGGGCCCCTCAGCTATTCCAGATGGGCTGGCCCAGCTCCTTTTCCAAATCTGAAACTTCCAAACCTGGTTTTCTTTGATATTTTTTTTCTTCATTTTGAACAAGCAGCAATGTTCATTGTCCATCACAGCTACTGATCATAACACTGGACTGTGAAGCAGACACATGCCCAGACATCACCAGCAGACTCTTTTTTTAAAAAAAAAAAAACAGGGCTTCACGCCCGGCTTTTTGAATTTTTTGTAGAGATGGGGTCTGTTTCCTAGGCTGGTCTTAAACTTCTGGGCTCAAGCAATCTGCCTGCCTCTGGCCGCCCAAAGTGCTGGGATTACCAGGCATGAACCACCGTGTGAATAATTGGGAGCAGACCCCAGGAATCTGTTCTGACAAATGAAGAGGGTTCTAATATCCCACTAGGATTATGAGCCACAACTACAGGTTTCCTACCATTTCCTGACCTAAAACCCCTGCTGCCCACTCCCCACCTCTTCATTTTTCAGACTTGGGACCTTCTGATTTTTCCTGAAGTCCCAAGGTTGTGGCTGAGGAAATCAGATGCAGGCTGCAGGCTCTTCTGAAACTGGTGGCAGGCCCTCTGGCAGACTCACCTCACCACCAACCTCACAGCGACAGAGACTGCCTGGTTATAAACTCTCCTCCAACCTCTGGGTGCAGAACAGAGCTGGGAGGTGGTGGTTCATGGTAGGTGCCCAGTAAACGTTTGTGGAAGAAATGAGCGTAGCAGCCTCTTCTAGTGGGTCAGCATGTCTCCTGATGGCTTAAACAGCTCCTGGCCAAGTGCAGTGGCTCACGCCTGTAATCCCAGCGCTTTGGGAGACCAAGGTGGGTGGATCACCTGAGGTCACGAGTTCGAAACCAGCCTGGCCAACATGGTGAAACCCCATCTCTACTAAAAATACAAAAATTAGCCAGGCATGGTGGTGCATGCCTGTAGTCCCAGCTACTTGGGAGGCTGAGGCAGGAGAATTGCTTGAACCCAGGAGGCGGAGGCTGTGGTGAGCCGAGATTGTGCCTCTGTACTCTAGCCTGGGCAACAGAGTAAGACTTCATCTCAAAAAAAAAAAAAAAAAAAAGAAAAAAAAGAAAAAGAAAAAGAAAAAAAAGAGAAACAACTCTTGGTTGTGCTGGTTCAGACTGGTGTGTAGCCTACACCTGCCCATTTCAGTTCACCTGAACTTCACAGGGTGTGTTGGGCTACCAGATCACTCAAATGTCAATCAACCATGGCCAAGCAGGTGTTTTAAGAGTCCCTATCTTGTCCTCGAGAGCCATCTATTCCTTTCCTCCGTTGTGACGTTTTTTGGACCAGGTTTGATTTCAGCAGCAGAGATGTTTCTTCTGAGCTCTACATATAGCCCTTGAAAATTAATTTTAAGGGTGTAATAAAATATTCACATACAATATTCCATATGCAAATGAGCAAGTGGATGACTCAAACACATGTCATTTTTACTTTGAATAGAAAACAGAATTTAGAGGCTGGGCATGGTGGCTCACGCCTGTAATCACAGCACTTTGGTAGGCTGAGCTAGGTGGACCACTTTAGGCCAGGAGTTCGAGACCACCCTGTCCAACATGGTAAAACCTTCTCTACTAAAAATACAAAAATTAGCTGGACGTGATGGCACATGCCTGTAGTTCCAGCTATTTGGGAAGCTAAGGAGGATCGCTTGAGCTCAGGAGATAGAGGTTGCAGTGGGCTGAGATCGCACCACAGCCCTCTAGCCTGGTCAAGAGAGAGAGATTCCATCTCTAATAAACAAACAAACAAAAAAACAAGAATTTATGACCAGGCGCAATGGCTCACACCTATAATCCCAGTGCTTTGGGAGGCCAAGGCAGGAAGATTTTTTGAGGTCAGGAGTTCGAGGCCAGCCTGGGCAACACAGGGAGACCCTGTCTCTACAAAAGTTTAAAAATTAGCTGAGTATGGTGGCACACATCTGTAGTCTCCCCTACTCTGGAGGCTGAGGTGGATTGCTCGAGCCCAGGAGTTCAAGCCTCAGTGAGCTATGATCACTCCACTGCACTCCCAGCTAGGCAAGAGAGAGAGACTGTCTCTAATAAAATTTTTTTTAAAAAATTAAAAAATAAAACAGAACTTAGGAATTAAAAAAAATTTGAAAGCCAGACTGATCCCATCTGAATGCCTTTCTGGCTTTCCTCTAACAAGCTCAAGAAAGGCAGCAGCGTGGGAACAGCACACATTCTGGGGACCAGCACTCTCCCTGTGAGACGAGCCTTTTCCAGCGCCGGCAGCTGTCTCACTAGCAATACATTTACACTAACCAAGAAAAGCAACATTCCAACTAGAACCCCCCTCCTCCAAAGGAATGCTATTCTTGGCAAGAGATCTTCCAAAGGAAACATCTGCAGAACCTCTGCCAGTAAGGTCAGGGGAAAGCTGAGGCAGCTAAAAACTTTTCAGTCCTAGGATCCAAGTCACAAGGGCTTAGCAATGGAACAGGATGGAAGCAAACCCAAGGGCAGATCCCTCTGTCTGAGTTCTGCAGCAGCCTCTGATGGGTTTTGCCAAAGCTGGAGAGAGGTCTCTATTTACCTGGTTGCTCAATCAAACCACAGGAGTCAATCAGGTCCCCTTAACAATTACACAGATGGGACTTGTCATTGAGTCACATCCAATCTAATTTTAAACTTTTGTAGGTCCTGCAGCAACAACTATGAAAATTCCTTTCCACATATTCAAGCCCAAATCCTTGTCCTAGCCCTTCCTCTTAACAGAGAACAAGCAAGCTGATGGGCAGACTTCCAGAGGAAGCTCGGTGGTGACAACTCCTGATTCCATAGATTAGGTTTTCCTTTCTTACATAACCCCCTACCTTCTGTACGGAGTGTATGTATTTTAGTCAAACTTGAGTTAGAAAAGAGGCGAGGAGCTGCTCAAGTATCTACGCTGAGTTCCTCAGATGACTGCATGTCAGTATCACACAATTTGATAGAATGGATTTAGGGCCACAGGAAAAAATGAGCCCTGAAATTAGGTTTTCAAAATCTAATTCAGAACTACTGTCTACTATGCAAATTCATGAGCTAAGTGAGAAAAAAACATGTTATTTAGGGATTCGATTCCTGGCAAAACCTGGGTCTCTCTTGACTGATCTAAAACCAAGTCATGATTCAAGAGATACTTAGTTCCAGGAGACAGTGTCACAGTGTCAGGAACCCTCTGTTCTGGGCTCTGAGAGGTTCAGATTGTATTCCACCATTCCTGATTCTAACCCAGTGCTCACCAGATCATTTGCTCAATTTAGATGGCTGAGCACATGCAGACGAAAGAAAGTTTTACATTTGTGAAGTATTGAGAACAGTGAGCTCACTTCTCCAGGTTCAAGGCGCAAGGACAGCCTGGAAGACGAGGGCTTCCCACACAACTAAACAGGAGGAATTCTCAGGGGTGGGCTGGAACATTTCTGGAACTGGGCCTCTTCCACCTAACAGGCTCTCATTATACCCTAAAGGCCCTCTGGAACCCACCTGAGATGGGTGCTGCAGACAGGCCCCACATATACACAGTTCTCAGGGGCAGGGCAGTATCTAGGTTCTTCTGTACTGACCCTTCCTATGGTCCTATGGAGCCAAAGATCGCTTTAGGTGCTGTATCAGTAAAAGGGGCATCTGTTAAGACTCCCCAGCTAGAATTCATGCTAAAATCCCCATACTAACATCCTCAGAGTAGAAGAGGAGGAAGAATCAGCCACCCTTCCTCAATACCCAGTGGGAAGAGGGGTGGGTATACACATGGTTATTGAGGTCATGTTTCATCAGCACAGCAAAAAGAACCAGGAAAAAACAAAGAAACCACCACAGACCTGGGGGTGGGGAGCCACAGAGTGCCGCAAGTCCAAGTCGGTATCTGGAAGGAAGGAGTCTACTCAGTTCTTCCTGCTCTAACTTGGGTTCAAACCTCCCACCTACATCCTCATCTCCAGAACAAGACACATGGATGCCAGTCACCTTAAAAACTAGGTTTCTATTTCTGGTTAGATTCTAGAGCAGTGGAACTCAGGAGTGATACTATACCCTACCCAGTCCCACCACAGCCTGCCTCCTTCCTCCCACAGAGATAACATTGTACAAAACTGTATTTACAAGAAAACCAATTAAAAATTAAGGGTGTGTGCAAAAGTAGACAGGAGAGTCAAGACATATCAATGCAGGGATGGCTTTGGGGAATGGGGGACTCAGGTTCTACACTGGAACCTGGGGTCATGTATCATGTACCAGGTGGGGAGAAGTGTAGCAAATCTCAGTGCCAATTTGAGGGGAAGCCAGTCATTCCAGGAGAAGAGCTGAGGGGAAAGAGCTGTTGACTTTCATAATGCAGTCTTAATTATCCAGTCACCCTCCTGCCACATGGCAGAAGCCAGGTGGCAGTGATGGTGGTGGGGGAAACAAAACACACAGTCTCTGGCAAGCCCCACCGGGAAAGGAGGGCTCAGAAGGCGTAGCGGGTCCGGATATCCTCGAGTTTCTTGGACACTTCGGGTGGGGTTCGGTCCAGTTCTTCAGAGACGTTCTTTTGTTTGTTGGGTTCCATGGAATTGAACTGCTCACAGAGGTCTCCATCAATCACATTCTAAGATATGGAGAAAGCAGAAAGAAAAAAAATGGTGAGATGCCCAAAGAAAATGGCACATGCTAAAGCAGCACTTGTAGGGAAAGCTGTTTTTATTTTTTAGTTTTTGAGACAGGGTCTCACCCTATCATCCGGGTTGCAGTGCAGTGGGATAATCTTAGCTCACTGCACTCTCAAAATCTGGGGCTCAGCCTCCCGATTGGCTGGGACCACAAATGTGTGCCACCACGCCCAGACCGGGAAAACTTTTTATTCTCCACTCGATACTTGAACCCCACTTGTAGATCCAGGAACACTATCTTAAGTTGACTCTTGGTACTCAGAGTTCAGATTGGCAGAAGCAGGTGAAGCCTTTGCTCTGGCTGTGGTCTGCCCTGAGGGGAGCACCCTCCCTGGTACTATTCCCATCAATCCACTCCCTGTGCTGCTCCTTTCTCAGATCTCCCTTTTCAGCTCAGATTCCCCCAACCTACCTTCACAGGGAAGTAGTAGGAGCGAAAGCTGAGGTGGTCCCGCCCACAGAGAGGGGGATGTTCAGACCGCAGGTGCATTTCCACATGCTGGAAGAAGTCATGGTCCTGGCAGAAGAAACAAAAAATCTGTCACTGAGAAGTGATTTCAACTAGTCTAGAGTTTCCACAAGCACAACGAACAGACAAGCCATTCATTTTTACTACACAAACACACGGGAAATATCTAATCACTTTCTGATAATCACAGGTTTTTCTGCTACAACACGATAGTTAAACCCCAAAAGGAGACCACATGTTGTCTGCAGTGCAAGAGAGAATGCCACACATAAAGAATGGTTTGTGAGGTCAGATTCCTGATCCCAGCTTCCTTGGCTGGAATAAAACATGCCAAACTCTGGCAAACCTAGAGTTGATTCCATATGGCAGTGTGTGCCCCAGGAGGGATCATCCCATCAATCCTGGCAATCCTAGTCTGTGGAGTCCAGTTCTAAAGCTCTGGGCTCAGGCTAACCTTGTAAACTCGCATCAGACTGAAGCAAACCCTGGGACACTATAAAAACAAACGGCCTGGCCGGGCGCGGGTGGCTCACGCCTGTAATCCCAGCACTTTGGGAGGCTGAGGCAGGCGGATCACAAGGTCAAGAGATCGAGACCACCCTGGCTAACACGGTGAAACCCCATCTCTATTAAAAATACAAAAAATTAGCCGGGCATGGTGGCGGGCGCCTGTATTCCCAGCTACTTGGGAGGCTGAGGCAGGAGAATGGCGTGAACCTGGGAGGTGGAGTTTGCAATGAGCTGAGATTGCGCCACTGCACTCCAGCCCGGGTAACAGTGAGACTCCGTCGCAAAAAAAAAAAAAAAAACCAAATGGCCTTCCCTGGGTGCGGGAGAATCAAGATTCCTATCTCCCCAAGTACTTCTGTCACTTTATAATTCCCAGAACATTATTAATTATATGTGGGGACAAATGAATTTGACCTCTTAGGTAGATCCAGCACCAAGAAACAACCTTAAAAGTCAAGGCCAGAGTAATGTGGGCGCTCTCACCTCATGGGACGTGAATGGCACAAGGATGCCAATTCCTCCAGACAAGGTGGTATAGACAAGTGATTCTGAGCCTCCAGGGATCAGCGTGGTCTTCTGCAAGGACAGCACCGTCTCCCCGACATGGTAGTTCATGATCACCTCTGCCTGTGAGTCACAAACAGACTAGTGACTGTGTGCACCCTCAGGAGCCTCCCTGGACTCCCAAGGGCAAGCAGTGCTCCCTAAGGCACATTTCATCATCTATTAACATCCAAAAATTATTATAGAGGCCAACGTGGGAGGATTGCTTGAGCCCAGGATTTCAAGACCAGCCTGGGCAACACAGTGAGGTCTCGTATACCCATACCCACAAAATCTGCCAGGTTTGGTGGCATGTACTATAGTCTCAGCTACTCAGGAGGCTGAGTGGGAAGGATCACTTGAGCCCAGGAGGTGGAAGCTGCAGTGATCTGTGATTGTACCACCACACTCCAGCCCGGGCGACTGAGTGAGACCTTGTCTCAAAAACAAACAATAAATCCAAAAATTATTAAACCCTACAAATATTTTAAAATTCTCACATTTACTTAAAGCTTAATGCCTCATAAAACATGCTAAAGTTACTGTTCATCATTTCTTACGATAAGAATCATTTTGTTAAATTTATCAAGCTTGCCATAAAAAAGGAAAACACAAAGAAAATTATAGAAAACAGCAATCACTAGGCTTGTCTTCTAAAATAGATTTGCCCGAAAGTCCAGAGATGCTCTATTAAAGCAGCACATGCCTACAGGAGAAAGTAAAGCCCAGGACACACCTCAGAGCAGAGGACTGGGAATGGACTCTCTCTAAGAAACTCGCTACTCTCCAAGGAGATTTTTTGCAGATTGGTAAGAAAGGACTGTGGACGGACAGCACTCAGCACAGTCGTGTGCACTATGAATAATTCACCAAAGGCAATTTCTTCAGTGAGGGCAACAGGAAAAGTGCTAAGCAGTGTTCTCCCTGGGGCCCATTCTGCAATCTTACCTTCTGGGAGGCCCCATTGAGCAAGCCACGGTCCCACAGGGCTTTGTTTCCTGTAGGATCCTCATCTACTTCATCATTGGTGTTAGGTGGGAGCCTCACCTACAAGGAAGTGACACAAGTCACACTGCTGGGGCCCGGACCTGCTCACCTGAGTCACCAAGCAACAGGTCTGGCCAGGTCTTTGCAAGTCAGCCACAGGGGCACTGCCTAGACAGAGGCCTGAGCCCACGTGTCCTGCACCTGCTCTGGTGGGCAGGAGCTGTGTCTGAGGAGCAAGAAACTCAAAAGAATCGACCCATGAGCAAGAGTTTAACACAGCTAAGGGTAAAACCAAAACCACACAACATAGATAACAGACATTCCAAAGTTCTTATAAAATGTAAAAAGAAATATTAGCCATTAGCTCAAACTAAACCTATCATTAAATCACGTTCAATAGGGAGGAGGGAGATAAACCACAGAGAAAAATCCAAAAGACTAGTAAGAAGGCTTAAAGAACAGATTGCTTGTAGAGTTAGCTTTAGTAGGATGGAATTTTATATCCATTTTTACTTCTCAGATTTGATTCCTCCTTGGCTTTACCCACAAGAAACTGAGCCAGCTTTCCTACACATCACTGTAACCCAAGTTAACAACATCAACTCACCACACATATGTTGCCAAACTTGTCTGCCCCAGCCACAGTGTCATAGTCCAGGAGGCTGGCTGTAGTGACCCATCGGGGGTAGGTATCATCAGCAAAGATGATAAGCTGGTTTTCATTACGCTTGTAGCGAACCCAGATGAAACTTTCTTGGACATCAGATACAATTACCCTATGTCCGATAGTCTGGATCCCAGAGATATAATTGGCAATATGCTGGGAAAAACAAAGACAATAGTGATGGTGGGTGTAATCTTGGGGTTCAGAACCCAAAGAAAGCCCAGCTTTCCGTATGACATACGTAGGGTCAGCAGAACAGCAAATACCAAAAACCAGCAGTTAGCAATGAATTCTAGGTGGGAAAAAAGAGCCAAATAGCTTTTAATATAGTGCAAATATATGCCTAACTCTCACATTTACTTTCCTTATAGAAGCTAGCAAGATAGAAAGCTGGTTCTTGTTTGGTAAGTCAAGAAATGAGATCCCTCTACTCCTGCTCCTCTCAAAACTCAAGGGCCGGTGCGGTGGCTCACGCCTGTAAACCCAGGACTTTGGGAGGCTAAGGCGGGTAGATCATGAGATCAGGAGTTAAGAGACTAGCCTGGCCAACATGGTAAAACCCTGTCTCTACTAAAGATACAAAAAATTTGCCAGGCGTGGTGGCGCGCATCTGTAATCCCAGCTACTTGGGAGGCTGAGGCAGGAGAATCGCTTGAACCCAGGAGGCGGAGGTTGCAGTGAGCCGAGATTGCGCCACTGCACTCCAGCCTGGGCAACAGGGCGAGACTCCGTCTCAAAAACCAAAAAACAAAAAAACAAGGGCATAATTCTGAAGCTGGAATTGGGGTAACACAACAAGTCCTAATAAAGATAAGATTTTAAAACTCAATGCCCACCACCCCACCAATGCCCCCACCCTTGACACATGAGCTAGATCTCAGCACCAATGCCAGCACACTTACCTTATTCTCACATTTTCGGAGTAACTTCTTCTTTCCCAGGTCATAGACACGCAACAGCTTCCCCACACCAATCAACACCCTCCCCTGGAATGGGGCAATAGCAGCAGGGACCTCTTCCACAGGAGTCTATAGAGGAAAAGCAGGTAATACAGCTATTATAAATGCCAGCCAGACACAGGCCTCACCTCTCTGCCCAGAAATGCCTACTTCCACAGGAGCCTATCATTAAGAAACACACCAGTGAGCTTATTTTGCTAATGAATCTGGGTGTTGGGGTGAACAAGTTCCGCATGCTGCATTCACTCAGTAGAGGGATCAATGCTGTAACTGACAAGAAGTTCTGGTACCAGACGACTGCTGTCCAGAGCTTGTGCTCTGTTTAACTGGTGTTATTTCAACAGTGAAGCCTTAGTAGCCAAGTGACTGTAATTTGTGGAGGGACAGGAAAGAAATGCTAGTGAAAAGTGACTTTTTTTTTTTTTTTTGAGACAGGGTCTCACTACTGCTCAGGCTGAAGGGCTGTGGCAGGCGCAATCATGGCTCACTATAGCCTGGACTTCCTGGGCTCAGGTGATCCTCCCACCTCAGACTCCCGAGTAGCTGGGACTACAGGCATGTGCCATCAAGCCTGACTAATTATCTGTATTTTTCGTAGAAACTGAGTTTCACCACATTGCCCAGGCTGGTCTCAAACTCTTGGGCTCAAGTGACCTGCTCGACTCAGACTCCCAAAATGCTGGGATTACAAGCGTGAGCCACTGCACCCAGCCTAGTGACATCTCAGTTGTAAAGGAGAGACAAATTTAATATGCAAAAGGGTCTATGAAGTATTTCTTAGAGGATACTCCCCTTATGGTAGGGTTGAAGGAATCCACATGCTGTCATTGTGGAGAAGAGAATATTCTTTTTATTTTAAAAATTATGGTAAAATAGTCATAACATAAAGTTTACCATCTTAATCCTTTTCTTTTTTTTGAGACAGAGTCTCGCTCTGTCACCCACGCTGGAGTGCAGTGGCGCAATCTCGGCTCACTGCAACCTCTGCCTCCTGGGTTCAAGTGATTCTCCTGCCTTAGCCTCTGGAATAGCTAGGGTTACAGGCGCCCACCACCATGCTTGGCTGATTTTTTATTTTTAATAGAGATGGGATTTCACCACGTTGACCAGACTGGTTTTGAACTCCTGAGCTCAGGTGACCCGCCCACCTCGGCCTTCCAAAGTGCTGGGATTACAGGCGTGAGACACCATGCCCAGCCAGTCATTTTTAAGTATACACTTCAGTGGCATTAAGCACATTTACTGTTGTGTAACTATCACCTCCAGAATTTTTTTCATCTTCCCAAACTGAAACTCTGTACCCATTAAACAGTAACTTCCCAGAGAATGCAGGTGGAAAAGAATATTAAATCTTTTTTTTTTTTTTGACAGTCTCACTCTTGTCACCCAGGCTAGAGTGCAATGGCGCAATCTCGGCTCACTGCAACCTCCGCCTCCCGGGTTCAAGCGATTCTCCTGTCTTAGCCTCCCGAGCAGCTGGGATTACAGGTGCGTGCCGCCATGCCTGGCTGATTTTTGTATTTTTAGTAGAGACAGGCTTTCACCATGTTGGCCGGGCTGGTCTCGAACTCCTGACCTCAGGTGATCTGCCTGCCTCGGCCTCCCAAAGTGCTGGGATTACAGGCATGAGCCACTGCGCCCAGCCAGAATATTAATTATTTAAACTGCTGAATTTTGGTCACAAATTGTTGCCTGCTTATTAAAACAGTAAGAAAGAGACCAATTGAATGTGCATCTATCTCCCCATTATGGATGGTTAGCACAAAGCCTTCCTGTGGAATGCACAGGCACAAGAACATCACTGCAGCTAGAAGGCCCCAGCATTTTCCATGTGCTGGTAAGAGAGAGATTGGAATCAAGGAGCTGGTCCCCAAAAGACCTGATCCATAACATAAGCAAAAGTGAGAGAATTCAATGGGACTTAAAATCTAGGAGAACCACTGGCAGATTCCTACCTTGTGCAAAAACTCCAGTTTTTCCCCATTGTTCACAAGCTTGTAAGTATAGACGAAGCCCCCTGCCACAGATCGGGGGTTTAGTATCAGGTCCTTGGCCACACCCACCAGCACATACCAGTCTTCACCAGTGTTGGAAAACCTGCACACAGCCACACTACACACAGAATAAGAAGCAAGAGTAAGGCCTTAGTCAAAACTCAGAGAGCTCCTGTTCCAGCCTGCCAAACCCTGGACTGTCCTGGGCTGCTTACCTAAAAGCTGCCTCATTCTGTTCCAGCTGGACAAGGTCCAGTGTGTTCCCTTGAATGGGATTCATCACTCGGATCACAGAGGCCCACTGCCCATTGCCAGCCTTGGGAGCTCCAAAGATGGATTCAGGGAGGTTTTCATTGAGGAATGCTGCTGCCATCTCTGCGGCCAGCTCCCGCTCATCCTCCCCTGCTGCTTCCACCATTTCCTAAACCCAAAAAAACGAGTAACTGAGTTGGCGTGCTCAGAGGTAGGGGCTGGCTGAGAAGAGGATAGGTAGCAAGAACACTCCAGGGGGTTCTCAATACATAAAGCAGCAAAGTCAGCCATCCCAGCCAGGATTTCCCGACATGACTATTAAAGGGAGAGGTGTACAGACTAGGGAAGACAGAAGATCAGAAAGGGAAATCCAGACATTGCTGGTTACATATTAGTAGAAAACACCAAAAATAACAATAGCTGTGACAAATATTGGACTAGTGGCTTGAGAAAAATGACAACGGAAACTCCACTTTTCTATCCAACCCATCTGATTTCCCTTACTAAAACTACTCTGTCTCCACTCTTTAAGGATGGATACAGTTCTACGTGGTTGTAGCTATTTGGTTTCTGCTAGGCAATGAGTTCTAGAAAGAGCTGGTGTTGTGGAGAACATGAAAGCTGTCTCTTTTGGGCCCAAATAAAGGAAATACAGTCTATTTTGGAAGCTCAAGGACGGGAGAATTCTGTTTCAGAGAGGGAACTTAATTGTGAATAAATGGAGGTCAGAGTATAGTCCTGGGTTACAAGAAAGGCTCTAAAATGAAGTACTTTGGGGCAAAGGCCTCTGCTTAAAAAAGCTGAAAAAAGCCTAGATCTTTAAAAACAAAGAATATACTAACAATTACAGGAGTTTAAACTTTTGATAGAGTCTCGTGTCCAGAGTGCCACTGGTATGCAGTGGCATGATCATGGCTCACTGCAGTCTTGAACTCCTGGGCTCAAGTGATCCTCCTGCCTCAGCCTCCCAAGTAGCTGGGACTACAGGAGTGCACCAACACACCAGGCTATCTTTTAAAATTTTTAATAGAGGTGCAGTTTTGCTATGTTGCCCAGGCTGGTCTCGAACTAGTGGCCTCAAGCAATCCTCCCACCTCAGCCTCCCAAAGTGCCGGGCAGTTTAAACTTTTCAACATAATTTCACACATCTTTTAATAGAACCCCTGAACGTTAGTCTCATTACCTCTGCCATCTGCTGCTTTCTCTGAGCTTTCGTGGCCTCAGTGTAGGCATTGTGGTCCGTTTCAATGATAATAAGGTTGTTACTCTCAGGGTGGATGACAAATTTCCTGGGTGTGTACTGCAGTGGGAAGGCTACTTGATTGAAGACAGCACCGAGCTTCTCTAATGCCAAAATCCTATGACAAAAAAGCAAGGCAGTTATTTAATACTCACTCGGACCCAGAAACTGGTGTTGAAATAGACTTTGAGCAGTCAGCAAACACGTCAATCCCTGGAGCTCTAACGTTGGCATTAGGCAACATTAAACAACAGCCTCCTACTCTAGAAAACTCTGCGATGCAGACACAGAGATCCAGGAAGGGCCTTCCCATTTGGCAACACCCTACCACAATTCACAGCAGTTCTAGTTCCTACCAATGAAACACAAACGATTGTCAAAAGTTTTTTTTTAATCACTCCAATGATAATAAAGAGCCCAATCCCAAATTTGTTGTGAAACACTGCAATTACCTAAACATATATGGTATTTGTAGTGACTGTGCTTCATAAAATAAAGTGGATACCTTTGTGAACAAAAATCACCTCAGTTCAGGAAAACTATGACAATGCAAGAGACAGCAAATAAGGGACCTACAAATTTCTGTCAAATGGGACAGAGATGTACACATAAGCCAAACTATGTGCAAAATGAGCAGAACCCAGGTACTCTGAAAAGTATAGTTACCCGATCTCTAATGATGGAGTTTTATTTGTAGTTTATTCTCTACATTAAAAAAGATAGGGGCTGCGTGTGGTGGCTCACGCCTGTAATCTCAGCACTTTGGGAGGCCAAAGCAGGCAGATCACCTAAGGCTAGGAGTTCAAGACAAGCCTGGGTAACATGGTGAAACACCAACTCTGTTGAAAATACCAAAAAAAAAGCCATGTATGGTGGCGCACGCCTGTAGTCCCAGCTACTTGGGAGGCTGAGGTGGGAGAATCTCTTGAGCCCAGGAGCTCAAGACCAGCCTGGGCACCAAGGTGAAATCCTGTCTCTATAAAATAGAACACAAAAATTAGCCAGGCATGATGGCATGCGCCTACAGTCCCACCAGGTACTTGGGAGGTTGAGGCAGAAATAGCTTGAGCCCAGGAAGTTGGGGCTGCAGTGAGCCATGATCACACCACTGCACTCCAACCTGTACAACAGAGTAAGACCTTGTCTCAAAAAAAAAACTTAAAAATAAAAATAATTAAATAAAAAAATAAACTGCCTGCCAAGAACTCTGCTTTTATGTCTCATAAGTCACCTTCCCTGATTTAGTTTTGGGGGGAAGTAAGTTCTGCTGCTAGGAAAGCCTAAAAATCTGTAGCGATTGTCTAAATCTATAGCAATTCAGGAGGTAGGGGCCACAGATGAGGCTACAACAAGGCTGGCTTAAAAGACAAGGGGAACACTGACAGGCAGGTATGTATGTGGGTGAAGCATTCTAGCACAGGTAGAGATTAAAAAAATATTAAGTGATGTAGAGCAGTGCAGGGAGATCAATTCTGCTGGAGCAGAAGATAAATACAAAGATGACGGAAAGAAAAAGGACAATGACCATGAAAAGACCCTGAAAGTTGTTGCAAAGAAATTTTGGGAGCTCATTTGATAAGCAATAGTGATTAATCTATCAAGAGGCCATAGTTTCATTATGAACAGCCAATAGTTATAACCAGGATGTGAACAACTTTGGTGGCTTAATTTTAAAAGCCCCCCAAAACCTGAGGAAGCCAAACTGACTGAATTATTTTAGGTTCTTTTCCATCTTGCAAAGAATATTACATACAGTGCTCAAACTTCACATCAATATTACCAGGAAGAACAGTTTTGTCAACTTGAAAAAGGTCTAAATAACTTATAGATAGGTTAACATTTAAGATTTAATACCGCAAATGACAAGACAGAGTAAGAAAGGTTATCAATGCAGTGATCCAATACTTGCTCTAAAACTAATCCAATGGCAATACCCTTTTGCTAGAAAACAAAAATCTGAAATCTCAGGAAGATTGGACTGTATTAAAGCTTGGCCTTGAAAATCTTAACAGAAGCTAAAACACCGAAACTTGGCTCTCAGGTACTAAAATGCTGAGCCAAATGAAGGTTTCAATTGCAACACACAAGCTTCATGGTGAAGTCGGCTCTCTGCCACCTCTTCACAGCCTCCTCCAACACTCTGGCAGAACCAGTCTGAGCCCTTGGCAGAAAGGCTTCCTGCTGAGCTTCAAACATGAGACTCACTCACCGTAGGGTGTTGGTGGAGATGGCCACAATGCCCTCGGGACACTGTTCCGAGGCAAAACCCGATGCAAATTCCAGTGTCTCGTAAGACAGTGGGGTGAGATGGAAGCGAGATTGGTAAGAATAGCTCAACCATGAGCGGCTTGACATGGCCAATACCTGAGGGGAAAAAAAAAACCCAGCTCCAATAAGGTTTGGGAAAAAATACAAATATGGTATAAGCTGACCAAAAGCCCTATCCCCAAATTTCAGTCTGCAGAGTATCCTAAGATATTCTAGAAATATAACAGGCTATCTTAAGAAAAAGAGGGCTAGAGAGAGGCACTATGGCTTAGCATATGTGAAAAGCATGGGCTACGAGCCATATGATCTAGACTCACCATTTCATCTCTCTAAGCCTGCTTCCACGTGTGTAAAATGAAAACAGTACCACAAGGCTGGACAGCTGCAAGAATTAAATGGAATGAAGGCCAGGTGCGGTGGCTCATGCCTGTAATCCCAGCACTTTGGGAGGCCACGGCAGGCGGATCACCTGAAGTCAGGAGTTCGAGGCCAACCTGGCCAACATAGTGAAACCTCATCTCTACTAAAAATACAAAAATTAGCTGGGCGTGGTGGCATGCGCCTGTAATCCCAGCTAATCGGGAGGCTGAGGAAAGACAATTGGTTGAACCCAGGAGGCGGAGGTTGCAGTGAGCCAAGCTTGCACCACTACATTCCAGCCTGGGCGACAGAGTGAGACTCCATCTCAAAAAAAAAAACAACAAAAAACAGAATTAAATGGAATCAATTAGCACAGTGCCCAGAAACACTAACATTCTTAACTACAAAGGACACAATGTTTCCCAGTCTCTTTCACATTAGGTAGTAAACGTGACACTGATCTAAGACTGGGATAAAACCTGAGAATTCTCATGGCTAGTGGTGTCCTAGAGGGGAGGTTTCCAGCCCTATTTGACCAGCCAGAGGGCTAAAGGGATCGATATCTCTACCCAGCTATAACCAAATCATGACATGGTGCGATGGAGCCCCAGTGAGGAAGCTCTAGGTTAGGAAAACTCAGGACTTCTCACATGAAGGAAACCAATCAAGATGGAGTGGCAAATTAGTGACAGTGAAGCTTACAGCAAAGATTGTTCTCAGATGGTGCCACTAAAATCCCAAAGATGTTGCCTGTCCCCAACCTTCATTACTTACTGCCTCCTGGCCTTGCATTCGGACTCGGAAGAGCTTCACAGGACGGGACCCCAGGTACCGAGTGCGAGTATCAGACAAATCCCCAGTGACAGGGTCCAAGACAGTCCTCAGCAGCACACCGTTCTAATCAAAAGGAGAGGAGCAGGTGAAGCCTGATGGAAGCTTATCAGCTATGATGGGAAAACCTCTCCCTTGGGTACTTCACATAAGAAATTAGAGCAGATAGAAAGAAATGACTTGGGTGTTTAAAAAAGATCCTAATAATCCGATAGCCATTCATTTCATTCTCTCAGTAAATCACTTAATCATCCAAAGTTATGGAGCATCTACTAAGTAAATACACACTTATTTTTCACTATATCTTCTTAATATTTCTTTTTACCAAGTATATTAAATCCTTCTTCACTACTGTATATTTCAAATAAATAATTAAATAACCACAAAGACCATGGTCCCTAAACAGCATTTCCTCTTAAAGGAACAAGGTTCCTAAAAGGAATGACTAGTTTGGGGCAGGGGCAAGAATGTTCCAGACACATGTGGGGATACTTTATTGTGCAACAAGGCAAGGAAACCCCTACAAATAGTGGGGTCATGTTAAAAGGACAAAAGAACTAACTTCAAATAGAAATTCCCACTTTTCTAGAATGAGTCAATTTACCACCCCCCCGCACCCCTCAAAAAAAAAGAAGCCAGGTGAGGTGGCTCACATCTGTAATCACAGCACTGTGGAAGCCAAGGAAGGACGACTGCTTGAGGCCAAGAGCTAAAGACCAACCTGGCCAACATAGCGAGACTCTGTCTCTGTTTAAAAAAAAAAAAAGGAGTTTTCAGCACAAATGTATAAAAATCCACAAGTTTATGATGTTACTCTATTTTTTTAAATTTTTATTTATTTATTTATTGAGACAGGTTCTCACTCTGTCACCCAGGCTGGAGTACAGTGCCACAATCTTGGCTCACTGCAGCCTCCACCTCCCAGGCTCAAGCAATCCTCCCACTTCAGCTTCCCAAGTAGCTGGGACTACAGGCATGAGCCACCATTCCCAACTATTTTTTGTATTTTTGGTGGAAATGAGGTTTCGCCATGTTGCCCAGGCTAGTCTCGAACTCCTGAGCTCAAGCAATCCACCCACCTCAGCCTCGCAAAGCGCTGGGATTACAGGTGTGAGCCACAGCACCTGACCAATGTTACTCTAAAAAACAGCAAAAAACCCACTTTACTGGGCCCCACTGAAAGGAGTGCTGTGGCCCTCACTCCTTACTCTGAAAACAGGTGAACAATGGGAAAAAAATTATTTATCCTTTTCCTGTATGAACCGTACTTATAGTAAGCAAAGAAATGATGCGAATTTTGTCTTTAGAATTCCAACTAATTAAATCCAAAAAGAAATAAATCATTTTCCAACCACTAATGAAAGAATGAACCTAGGCAATGTGTGTAATAGCTGTAAGTAAAGGGTTGACGGGAACTTTAACACAGATACAGACAAACATCCCAACATCACTGTGAGTGGGACAACCAGACACTACACTCCTCCTGACGTGATGCAACAGGAGTAAACAGCACCACCTATTAAGTATTCCTGTCCCCCTCCCCCAATAATTAAATCTGAATCTAACCAACTTCTTCTTCTGCAATATCCGATACTATAGCTACCCCAAGCCACATGTGGCTAGTCAGAACTGAGACAGGACCAGGCATGGTGTCTCACACCTGTAATCCCAGCCCTTTGGGAGGCCAAGGCGGGTGGATCGCTTGAGCTCAGGAGTTCAAGACCAGCCTGAGCAACATGGCAAAACCCCATCTCTACTAGAAACAAGAAAAATTAGCCGGGCGTAGTGGTGCACACCATAAACCCAGCTACTCAGGAGGCTGAGGCATGAGAATCGCTTGAACCCAGGAGGCAGAGGCTGCAGTGAGCTGAGATCACACCACTGCACTCCAGCCTGGGCAACAGAGCAAGACTCTGTGTCAAGGAAGAAATTTTTTTTAAATAAAGACAAATAAAATTTTAAAGAGAACTAAGACTGCTAAGTGTAAAGTGCCAATACCAGATTTCAGACTTGGTTTAAAAAAGAGAGAAAAAAAGGTGAAATAGCTCAGCAATTTTTATATTAACTACATGTTAGAATGATTTCAGATATACAGAGTTAATAAAACATTAAAACTGGCCAGGCACGGTGGTTCATGCCTGCATTCCCACCAGCACTTTTGGAGGCCAATGTAGGAGGACCACTTGAGGCCAGGAGTTCAAGACCAGTCTGAGCAACACAGCGAGACCCTATCTCTATTTTTTTTTAAAGAAAAAAAAAAAACATTAAAATTACTTTTTTCCTGTTCGTGGCTACTAGAAAATTTAAATTACACCTGTAGTTCACCTTACATTTCTAATGGATGGCATGGTCTAATTCTACCCACCAGCTTGATACAGAGGATACAGGAACTTGAACACATAAGGAATGACTTTATTAAGTCCAGAAGGTGGGAAATTCTACAAGACAAATGATCTGATCTTGTAATACTTCAAAATGGGGTAGAACAGTTTAAGAGACATAAAAAGAAAGATGAAGGAAATGGAAAAAGCGTAGACTGCTATGCTGAGGTCCTGAGCACAACCAACTATAAAGCCACATTGGGGGAAAGAAGAACAGGGAAAACTGGAACATGGTAATAAGGAACTATTGTTATATTTTGCTGAGCATGATAATACTAGTATCTTACAAAAACAGACATCTGTTGGAACTACATTATCAAGTATTTATAGATGAAATGATAGATCTTGGATTTGCTTTAAAATAGTCCAGGGAAAAGATAAAATAAGAACAGCAGAATGTTGCTGATAGCTGTTAAAACTAAAAAAGAAAAAAATAGACCGAAAACCCATGTGGCAGCCCATAAAAATCCAACAAAAGAAAAAAAACTAAAAAAATAACAACAACCCTCTCCCAAAAAAACTGGGTACATGGAAGTTCACTGTATTAGTCTCTCTAACTTCTGGCTATGTTTGAGATTTCTAAATTAGGAAGTAAAATTAAAAAGCAAAAAGTACCTGGGCTAGATTACTTAGATGTCTGAGTCAATAATCATTAAGGAAAATGAAAAGCATATGATCAAGAATCCTGACACTATCTTAGCGTTAAAGCACACCTTTTCTTCACGGCACAAAGAGCTCAGCAACTTTGACAACAGGGAACATTTAGGGGTCCTTTATTGCTAATGAAGCCAATTATGAACTGAGAGGTATTCATTGCTGCTTTTGAAACTAGTGAATAGTGGGAACTACAGTTGATCCTTCAGGAACCCATCCAGTTCTGACTTAGAGTAGCTATCAAACAGCATTTATCAGATGTGAAGACTCTTTATCAAAATATTTCTTTCTCAGCCTGATTTGTTCGAATTAAAGAGCTGAGAAAAGTGGAACCCAGAGTGACACTGTTCACTTTTCATAAGGTGAGGATCTGAAACCATGGGCAGAGAAAATCCCTGTTATCAAACAAAGGAGTGTGTGAAACGTACAGAAGGCCTAATGTCCACAATGTGGGCCTCTGGATCTCTTACCTGTAGCCCAATATTCAGGTATAGGAAGCCAATCGAGCCCCTCTCACCCAGCTCATCCTGCTTCTCAGTCCCACCCATTTCCACGATACACAAGGACTCAGGCTGGGCTGGGAGAGCCTGCATGCTTAGAGGTTGCAAACAGTCCTGAGAGGGAGAGAAAAATCATAAAAACACAGAAAATGACAATTTTAGGAAAAAAACATACCCAGAGAAATCTAATTCTAGGATTGAAAAAGTACTTCCTTATGCACAGAAAAAACCCGGGGAGTGAGTTCTAAGAGAGTACTGAGTTATTAGTTACACCCAATTTCAGAATAAGCTTCGGGAAGATCATGCTTTCCTCCTTTTGTCAAAGAAGATAATGGCAAAGGTAATTAAGCAAAGCACACCTCCTGAAAAGTCACCTAGGGTCCTGCAGCAAGTCAAATTTATGCAGTCTTGGTTGTTAACTTAAAAAAAGGAGTTGAGGCTTAAGCCAAAGAAACATTTCTGTAGTCTCAGATCATATCCTTAAACCACAGCAGGAAACTCCTGAAACACACTGCAATGACAAGAGAAGCAGCAGGTATGGATTCTGGGTTCTAACCCAGCTGATCTCAGAGATAGACATCAGGAGTGGATCTCAGAGATAGACATCAGGAGCCAGATGCTCAGGTTCCAACCAGATGATCCTTGAAGCTCAGAGTGTCACTCACTGAGGGATCCAGGGAGATGATTCTGACAGTGTTGTCCACAAGCCCCACAGCCAGGAAGCGAGACCGCTGCTCTCCAGGGGGTACATTGGCCAGACTCATGCACACCACATCTGCTGACATCTCCTTCCGTTCTGTGTACTCATTCAGCTGTCCTGACTACAGGAGGAAAGACACAGCAAGGTCAAAACTACAGAGGGATGGGTCTAGATGCTCCAATTCACCCCAAAACCCTGGATCCAGAGAATGAAGGAGGGCTGTTGTATTTTGTTCTGCTTCCTCTCACTCCTCTTACTATAGTAAATGACAAGAATTTATCTACCTGAGTTCTCAAGACTGAAGTTAACAGGCTCACAGCAAGCAAAATGAGTATCTTCCATCAATAAGAGAATGAACAGACCTTTGACAAGGTCAATGTGCCACAAATTTTCTGAGCCAACTTTGTTCTCAGGAAATGGAGACATATAAAACTGTCTGTGTTTTACAAGAATATTCTGGGTGAAGGGAATTCAAATATGGTTAAAGACAGAGAAATCTCAACCAAAGGTACAGGCAGGCTACAAATTTGGCCACACTAGAGACCTCCTGAGAGCAAGAGAATTAAGTGTACTGAACATCCTTCCATATAGAAGTTTTCTGAAATGGATTCAGACTGCAGAAATTAAATCTATGCCAAATATTTGTTGGAAAAGTAGAGAGTGAAATGCAGGAGGAGCAAGTGTTTCACTGCTAAGAGGGGATTTCATAACTCTACCTAGAATTAGACATCAAATTACCCCTTTTCCCCATCTCTGTAAGGGACCAAACTGGTTTGTGAACACTGTCACTCCAGCTCGCTTTTTTTTTTTTTTTTTTTTTTTGAGACGGAGTCTTGCTCTGTCGCCAGGCTGGAGTGCAGTGGTGCAATCTCAGCTCACCGCAACCTCTGCCTCCCGGGTTCAAGCAATTCTCCTGCCTCAGCCTCCTGAGTAGCTAGGACTACAAGGTGCATGCCAACACGCCCAGCTAATTTTTGTATTTTTAGTAGAGACAGGATTTCACCATACTATCATCTAAATGACTAGACTACAATGCCCATCTTTCCCTCTGGTCCCTACAATAAGTCCCACAGTGAATGATAAAATAACATACAGGATCCATCTCGAAATAGACCAGCTCTCCTCCTGTCAGGGCAATCACCACTTGTCGCTGGTTCACTGCACACTTCACAATTGTTTTCTTTCCAGGGGTCTTCCACTCATTGACTCTCTTGTCTGCTCGTATGTGCCGAATGCCATCTGGATAGACCTAGAGTCAGTAACAGAAAGAAACCTGACTTTAACAATTTGATTCATCACTCAGAATGACCCTCACATCTATCAGATCTGTCACTAAAATCAGACCTGGGGCCACTGCATTTGAGGCACCAGTTGAATCAAAGACAAAAGAGTTAGTAGGCCTCAGGCAAGGTCAACTTTTAAATAGTTCATGTTTTGCAGTGTCCACTTCAAAGAAGTTCAAAGCTTATTAACAAAACACTTATAAAGATCTTTATTAGAGATGAAAGCTGCAGTGATGTGGCTCTGTAACAGAAAAATGGCAAATACAGAGAGGGATATTATGTGCCCAAATCATATGTTCCCTACCCCTAAGGCTTGCTGGAAGGTGAGGGTGAAGAGACATGAACACAGCAGCCTGCATCACAATGAAGGCCAAGAAAGAACAAAGCAGGCCAAGTAGGTAAGCTCTGAGAACCCTCACCTGCACCAAGGCATCATCTCCTAATAAGGAGCAGGACAAGGTCGGGGTGGTCCCCAGGAACCCAGAGTCAGTCACTTCTTCTACAGTTTCTCCAATGGACAACACTAGGGTGGCATTCACGAAAGACACAATGATGTAGGCATCAAACTCATCTGAAAAAGAAAAGAAGGGAGTTGGTTAGATAAGAACTCATTAGAATTACAAAGCCAAATGAAACACTAAGAGTTCTCTTCAGAAACCTTCCAAGGCAGTTCTTCTATGTGTAGTTATTACACACATACACACATACACATGCACACAGAGCAAAATGATCCAGAAGAAAACTAGGGGTCAGAAGAGCCTACAGATATACTCTGCTTCCTCAATATTTTCTTGAGACATCTGCTAAAGAAGTGAGAGGACAAAGCAAGAGAATCGGAGACATGAGGACATTTTAAATACTACAATATTGATACATGAACATACTGAGCTAGAGCTTCATTTATTTGTGCCAGTTGTCAATCACACAACCCCTTCCTAAGAAGAGATACTCCTTCTAACTAGGAAAGACCCCTAACTTCTTCCAAAAGCAGCTTATGTAGAAATGAACACAAGCTCTAATGAATAAAATAGAGATTACTTAAGCCTCTGTGAGACTAACTCATTCTAGGGTTGGAAGCTGAGAATCCTAGTCCCAATGGGAATGATGTAAGAAAACTAGATAACCAGGAAATGGAGGGTGGGGGTTGTTTATATTGTTATTCTGTGACCTCTCTGGTTTTTCACTATTTAGAAACAGAACAATCCTGTGGTCATGAGCAATCCTATTAGAATTTGCTTTTTCTAATTAAATGTAGTTGAATAAACACTAATGAGTTTCTCAAGGAAGTCAGAGGACTTGAGGTATACCAGAAACCCTCAGTTTCTTCTACAGATCCCATAAAGGCCATCTATTTTCCATGTATCTCACCCTACAACATACAACAGCTTCTGCAAGTGTCCCCATCCAGTACGTTTGGCGTAAAGCTTGATAAATGTTGACTAAAGGCATGCTAATTTTTTAAAAGAGTTGAGATTTTCCTAGTTTACATTTGAATTTTTGTTTTAACACCCCCTTAACCAGAAATCAGGTTAAAAAAAAAGGACAGAACAAGACAAGGCACCACACAATGTAGTGGCTGACTCACTCCTAGCAGTAGCAGCTATAGGACCCGTCTGCCTAAGCACTTGTCAAGAGCTCAATGCCACAGGGCTGGTCCACCCACCCACCCACATGAAGGGCATACTTTTGGTTCTGATGACTTCAAATGAGGTTCAGCTAGATTAAGGTTACTAGATCAGTTCTGCAGAATCAGCATTCTTTACAGAAGCAGGGGTCAAATGAAGATGTATCATTCGACCAGGCATGATGGCTCATGCCTGTAATCCCAGCACTTTGGGAGGCCAAGGTGGGTAGATCACCTGAGATCAGGAGTTAGAAACCAGCCTGACCAACAGGGTGAAACCCCATCTCTACTAAAAAATAAATAAAATAAAATACAAAAATTAGCTGGGTGTGGTGGTGGGCGCCTGTAATTCCAACTACTCGGGAGGCTGAGCAGAATTGCCTGAACCCGGGAGGCGGAGGCCGCAGTGAGCCGAGATCGCCCCACTGCACTCCAATCTGGGTGACAGAATGAGACTGTCTCAAAACAAACAAAAAAGATGTATCATTGGCATGGCCTACAGTAGTGTTCTGCCCTATTAGCAGGACGTAAAATCAATTTAATGTGTTGCACAATAGGCACTTCATAACAGAAATAAATGTAATTTATGAAGTTGCTTCATATATAGTAGGATAATTACTGTTTTGTGAAACTTTTGTTTCAGTTAATATTGCATATATATGTACCTACTGTGGTGGCTGAAAAACAAGGATTAAAGATCTTTCCCAATGGGCATGCTCTAATGGTTAGACCAGGAATCCACAGAGTAAAGGTTCAATTTCCAAATCATAAGGAATAATACAGGACAAGAAGCTAGATACTTGGTTTTTGGTTATTTTGCTAGAACTGTCAACATATATCAAATGCTTTGGGAACGTCTTATAAGATGGCTTTGTAAGACTAAGCACTACTCACTATCATAAAACAAGTAAGGACATGGTTATCTCTGAAATGGATGTCTCAGTAGCTTTCAACAAAACCAAAATCCATCTCTACATAACACCAAGTTTGGAACCTTTACTCCAGTTCTCAGTTTTTGTACTGGAAATTTTTGTTGTGTAAAAATAACAGTTGTTTAATTTTAATATTATATGAATACAGTATCATTTCCCATGTTCTCATTACTGAAACCTAATAACCCTAAAAGCTGTGTCAAAGCAAATTAAAGCCAAACAACAAAAGGCTGTAACTGGCCAGGATTTCTGGTCTCAGATCTTCACCAAGGGGAAAAGGTGACCTTCCAAAAGACAGACCACACAACTTTTGACTTTCATGGGAGAGAATGGGGCAAAGAAGGGAGGAGGGGTGCCTTTCCTTCGACCAAGACTTCAGACTACTCAAACATAAGAGAATAAATGCTCAGTGAACTTAAATAGGGTCATACTTTTGCTAGACAATTCAACAAGTGGGAGAGCCAACGACATCTCAAAGCTGCTTTACATCACAGACTTCCTCAAAATAAACACTGCCCTGTGAATACCAAGCACATTGTAACTTCTACCCCTTCCTTCTACAGTGAAGAGGACTTGCAGCAGGTTAATTCTTATGTACTAGAGTGACTGCAGATTAAAAGTTGGAGTCCAAGCTGGGCACGGTGGTTCAAGCACTTTGGGAGGCTGGGGAGGGAGGATCATTTGAGTTCAGGAGCTCAAGACCAGCCTGGGCAACATAACAAGACCCCAATTCTATAAAAAATTTATTAGTTTTTTTTTGGAGAGAGTTTCGCTCTGGTTGCCCAGGCTGGAGTACAATGGCGCAATCTCAGCTCACTGCAACCTCCGCCTCCCAGGTTCAAGCGATTCTCCTGCCTCAGCCTCTCTAGTAGCTAGGATTACAGGCATGTGCCACCACACCCAGCTAATTTTACATTTTTAGTAGAGACAGGGTTTCTCCATATTGGTCAGGCTGGTCTCAAATTCCCAACCTCAGGTGATCCATCCACCTCAGCCTCCCAAAGTGTTGGCGTGAGCCACCGCGCCCAGCCCAAAACACTATTTTAAAAAAAACGCTGGAGTTCAGAACAAAGCCAAGCTTTAGTCAAGGTAAATGACTAGGAACTGTACCATCCACACTGCATTCTAAGGAATTCAAGTCTCATGTTAAAAAACAATAGTTCATACCTCAATGAAGAATCCATAAGGGTATGAGACTGTATCTTTAGGTCACAGTTCAACAGGGCTCCCATCTGTCTGAACACTGCTAAGGACCCCAGAGGAGGGAATGCTTTTTTCTTCTACTTGCCTTGCCTTAGGATTTAAGGCTCAACCAGCAGCTCACTCCAAAAGGTAAAGTGAGCGACCATCCAGATACCTGAAGCTCAAGTAACTCCCTCTCACTTCATAGACAAGGGTATCTGATACTTATCTTGCTTCAGCAAGTCCTGAATATACTCAAAAGCTTTCTCTCGGTCCTGATCTTTCAGTCAGTACACCTGGAATGTACAACTCTATGAGAGTATGAAGCTAAAGTTCTCTAGCTAGAGACTCTTTTAGCTTAGTAAAAGGCAAATTAACCATATATGACAAATTCTGTGGGAGGAAGTAGAGAGGCAGACTCCTGCCTCAGACCATCTGATGCACAGGCAGATGGTGTGCAGCACTATTATGCCCAGTGACATCCAACTGCAAAGTTACCCTCTGAAAGACACCATCAGGGCAGCCTCAATATTTTGTGCAGGTCCCTCTCCTTGGATAAACTATAAGACCCCACATCGACCCTAGCAGTTAGGTACACACCTGTGGTGATCAGCACCTTCACCAGCCACCTGTGGAAGAGAAAAAAAGGCTTGGTATTGGTAGTGTGCATCACCAAGTACCAGCCAAGGTTAGTATTTGCCTGGAAGACTGCTGCATGTGCAGGCAGAAGGAATGTTCACTCAATAGTAACTTCGGGTATCTGGAAAGTGAGTGAACCAACAGAACCCGACCTGTATTTATAGGTGACTCCCAAATTACAGTACCTAAAGAGTAAAATTTAGCAGGATATAGTCCTTTCCAAGACTTCTAACATTTAATAAAGGAGAAAAATGTTCAACTACAAGTTCCATAATGCAACAAACGGCCTATCACTAAGTTAGCAAATGCTGTCCCTCTAAAGAGCCTGCCCTGACCTTCAAACACATGCCCTCTCCTTTAACCCCTCCCAGCAATGTACCTGTGCCTTTCACCACATCACAACACACAACACTTTTGTATACTTGTCTTCTTTTTTTAGATGGCAAGTGCTCTGAGGCAGAGTCTATCTTAATCACTGAGTACATGGTGGGCACTCAAAAACTAAACTTATCCTGAAAGAAACCACCAAGACCCACAGAATCTCACTGCAGTTAATCAAAATGGGCATTCAACTGAGATTCAGAAGCCAGGATATTCTGTCCCCATTACCTAGACTGTGTCTTGAGACACTCAACCCCTATAACTTCCTGTCTTCTTCATAAAAGTGAGAGTTAACTTTTCTGTAAACCTAAATCTCTTTTCTTTTTCTTTTTTTGACATGGAGTCTCGCTCTGTCACCCAGGCTGGAGGGCAGTGGTGCAATCTCGGCTCACTGCAACCTCCGCCTCCCAGGTTCAAGTGATTCTCCTGCCTCAGCCCCTTAAGTAGCTGGGATTACAGGCCTGCACCACCACGCCCAGCTAATTTTTGTATTTTTAGTAGAGATGGGGTTTCACCATGTTGGCCAGACTGGTCTCAAACTCTGACCTCAGATGATCCGCCCACCTCGGCCTCCCAATATGCTGGGATTACAGGCATGAGCCACCGCACCTGGCCCTAAATCTGTTTTAAAATAAAAAGTTTATTTAAAAAGTTAAAAGAAAAAAAGAAAGAACACAATAGGTTATCTTAAAACGTGTTTCTAATTCAAACAGTCTAGGCAATGCTTTCAAGGGCCATGAATATCAACAAGCCACCAAGCCAAAGTAAAACACCAACACGGACCAACTTCTATGTAGATACTACACATAAAACCAGGTGCCTAATAATTATCTCTTCAGCTTATAAGCCTACCCATTTCCTATTCACAATTTTCCCTTTCTACTCAACTTGGATATGATTCAAATGCCTACAATGAAAATTAAATCCACAAAAATGAGTATTCTACTAATAGTAAGTTGTTTTCCTCCTACATGTCTCCCAACTCCTTCAATCTGTTTCATACAGGCAGAATATCTAAATATCAGGCAGAATTACAGCTGTTTTCTTGAAAAACCTGTCTGCTAGCAAGGATGATGTTACTCACCCATCCCACATTCCTGAGAGAACAAGAGAAAAACGTAGCTCCAATGTGAATCAAGGGAAAATGAGACTGAGCTTTCTTTCTATGAGGCTGCAATTCAATTGTCACAAGACTTTCCTGCTATTGCAGTAACTACTAGGCATTCTCCTATTACTTTCAAAGTTTTAGGATCAGGTGACCATTTATATCCAGGAGCTCAAACTCCCTTCTCCTTCCCCATCCCCGCTTTTCTACTCACACTAAAATTCGAATTCCACTCAATTCCACTCTGCTTTCCTTAAGCACTAGCAAGATTGACTAACAAGCTTTCCCAAATCTCTTAATTCCTAGAACACCACCTTCAATTTCACTGTGGTTTCAAAACAATTTAAAAGAATATAGTTGAAGAAGAATGAAAAAGCACAACTTTCCCTCATATCATACCTCTTACAGATGAAACCAGTACCTTTATGAATATAAAGTCAATACCACATTTGACAGCTCTATGATTCTGAAACCTTTATGTACTAAAATATAACAGCCAACCTATGTTCCCCCTTTCCCACCTGCACAAAAAGAAATGGTAGGTGAAGGCATCCTGAACGGAAGAGCCTCAAAAACAGTGTTGGGCCAGAAAGTTTCTGGTATATGGTGCTAAATGAAATGATACAGAAGTATTATGAACGCAGCCTTTCAAGCCTTCTATGTCAATGGCACCTAGATCCTCATTTTGACTATTGGGAAAAAGCTGCTTACCTTCAATGTGTCGACGCACTGTCCAGACAGCGTTGGGGTTACCAGGTAGCTCAGAAACAGCCATTTCTGACACCTGACAGGAGAAGAGGGAAGCCACAGATCCAGTGAGCATGCAACTCAGCTACCTGCTTACAATCACATCAAAAAATAAGGTCTCAAAGGCAGGGTTCACAACGTATGCTGTATTTAAAGGATGAAACCACCTAGTGAAAGAAGAATCTAAGAACCAAACAGGCTGGTTCTTAGTGGCAATCCCCATGACAGTCTTAAGCAAAAGTTACAGGATGTCTGAGAGGGTACAGTTGCTGCAGGCAAAACCATACCCCTTTCCTTCAAGTACAATATGCCTTGATCATCCTCAGAACAGCAGTAACCACTGGGAATCAATCAGGCCATCTAAATTAGCATCCCCTTTCTTTCCCCAGCTCCCATAAGGCCAAATCCCATGTGGACCAATTCAAATGCCACCTCCTTTAACAAAATTATTCCCTTATCCCCTTGGCTGGCAGTCACCTCTCCCTTCTATAAGCACTCATAGAAATCAGTCACCACCGGCTGGGCCCAGTGGCTCACACCTGAAATCCCAGCACTTTGGGATGCCGAGGCGGGTGGATTGCCTTAGGTCAGGAGTTCAAGACCAGCTGGCCAACACGGTGAAACCCGTCTCTGCAAAAATATAAAAATTAGCCAGGCATGATGGCGGGTGCCGTAATCCCAGCTACTCGGGAGGCTGAGGCGGGAGAATCGCTTGAACCCGGGAGGCGGAGGTTGCGGTGAGCTGAGATTGCATCATTGCACTCCAGCCTGGGTGACTGAGCGAGACTCCGTCTCCAAAAAAAAGAAAGAAATCAGTCACCACCTCTTAGGGTACTAACTGTTTTGTCTTTCTGATTAGATTTTTATGCTCCTTAAAGTCAAGAGTGAATGATTCTCTACATGTCCTATAGGTTCTCAAACATAAGAGTAAACAAAACATCTAAGCCAAATTCAAAATGATCTAGAGGGGAAAACTGGGTGTAGGTTATACAGGAACTCTCTGTACTGTCTTTGCAATTTTTTTATAAATTTAAAATCATTATAAAATTAAAATTATTGAATGTTTTTAAATGATCTAGAGACAATAAACTAGCCACTTATATATAACGTGTAACCCACATCTTATAGGAAGAATTCATGTATATTCACAGAAAGACTAGCCCTTTTCCTAGTTTACTGGTATAATTAGAAGGAAGACCTAAGAACTTCATCATCAATAAAATTCAACTGTCAACTATGCTATAGTCTATACCAAATGTAAAACTGTCAGTCACCCTGGCTCAATTGAGACCACAATCTAGTTAGACAACAAGGTGTAACAAATAGACATAAAGGAATAAAGCAACGTTCAACAATTTAAAAAAAAATTTTTTTTTTTTGAGACGGAGTCTCGCTCTGTCGCCCAGGCTCGAGTGCAATGGCGCGATCTTGGCTCACTGCAAGCTCCACCTCCCGGGTTCACGCCATTCTCCTGCCTCAGCCTCCTGAGTAGCTGGGACTACAGGCGCCCGCCACCACGCCTGGCTAATCTTTTTGTATTTTTAGTAGAGACGGGGTTTCACCGTGTTAGCCAAGATGGTCTCGATCTCCTGACCTCGTGATCTGCCCACCTCAGAAAATATTTTTATATATAACAAAGGTTTGTCTATAGATTTGAAGTGGGGAGAGAAGTAGCAGGAAACTAAAAAATGATTCTTGAGTCATTTATCTCTTACACTATACAAAAATTTTCTGTTAATGCACATATGCATTTTTTTAGAGACAGTATCACTCTTTTGCCCAAGCTGGAGTACAGTGGCGTGATCTCGGCTCACTGCAACCTCTACCTCCCAGTTCAAGCTATTCTCCTGCCTTAGTCTCCTGAGTAGCTGGGATTACAGACACCCACCACCACTCTCGGCTCATTTTTGTAGTTTTAGTAGAGAAGGGGTTTCACCATGTTGGCCAGGCTGGTCTCGAACTCCTGACCTTGGGTGATCCAGCTGCTTCAGCCTCCTAAAGTGCTGGAATTACAGGCGTGCGCCACCGTGCCCAGCCGCACATATGCATTTTTTGTGTAAAGCACTAGCTTTCATCATATGCTCACTAGGATCCAATGAGAAATAAGTAACTAACGAATCAAGAGCAATGGCTCTTGGCCAGGCGCGGTGGCTCACGCTTGTAATCACAACACTTTGGGAGGGTGAAGTGGGAGGCTCACTTGAGCCCAGGAGTTCAAGACCAGCCCTGGCAAAATAGCAAGACCCTGTCTCTACCAAAAATAAATAAATAAATTAGCCAAGCGTGATGGCGCACACCTGTAGTCCCAGCTACTCCAGAAGCTAAGGTGGGAGAATTGCTTGCTTGAGACTGGGCGTTGGAGGCTACAGTGAAGCAAAGTCTCACCACTGCACTCAAAAAAACAAAAACAAAAACAACAACAACAAAAAACCAAAAACCAGACCTATGGCTCTAAATTGGGTCTGAGTCATTGAAATTTTGGTGAACTGATGAATATATTTTGGCAGAGACAAAACATTTTCAAATTCCCTGAAACACCAATGTTAACAGCTAACATTTATCGAACACTTCATGCCATACCTTAAGCTAAGTGCTTTGTTTGTTATCAACTCATTTAATTCACATAATTCTTTATGGCAGGTACCATTATTAAGTCCATTTAACAGAAGAAACAAAAACTTAGTAATAGCTATTAAGTGGTAGAGCCAGAATTCAAAACCCAGATTATCTTGGGCGTGTTCCAATAAAAATTTACAGAAACAGGTAGCAGGCCTCTTGAGAGCTCAGATTGCCATTCCCAAGCGCTCAAAACAAACTGTTATAGGAAGCTTTTTATTTTATTCCTAACAAGTTCAAGTTCAGGGCCCTCACTAGAAAGCATTAACATTAGGACTACGATACACAGAGAATATGGGATTCAAGAAGATAACTTTTAGTGTCCACATTACCTAAAAAGTCCAGCAATAAAAGATTCACTAAATAAATTATGATCTACCCACTTTGGTGAAACATTGCAGAAACACTAAAAATTATGCTACTTGGCCAGGTGCGGTGGCTCACGGCTGTGATCCCAGCACTTTGGGAAGCCAAGGCAGGCAGATTGCTTGACCCCAGGAGGTCAAGACCAGCCAGGGAAACATGATAAGACTCTGTCTCTACAAAAAGTACAAAAATTAGCTGGGTGTTGTGGCACGTGCCTGCAGTCCCCAGTTATTCAGGAGGCTGAGGTGGGAGGATCACCTGATCCCAGGAAGGTCAAGGCTGCAGTGAGCCATGATGGAGCCACTGCACTCCAGCATGGGAGACAGAGTGGGACCCCATCTCAAAAATAAATGAATAAATAAATAAAAAGTATGCTATTTAGGAGTATATAGTAATAAGGAATAAATTTAATAAGATACAAAAATATATATAGCATTGATATAGTTGATTTAACTAAGACTAGATGTATACAGAGAGTGAAATGTTCCATATAGATTTCCTAGCCTCCATGTCATGACTAGTGACCATGTGGGCTATCATGCTAACAAGTTGAGGAATAGAAAAAAGCACAGGCTGGGCACAGTGGCTTACACCTGTAAGCAACACTTTGGGAGGCTGAGGCAGAATAATCACTTGAGCTCAAGAGGTCAAGGCTGCAGTGAGCCAAGATCATGTCATTGCACACCAGCCTGGGCAACACAGTGAGACCCTGTTTTGGAGACAAAAAGAAAGAAAATCTGAAGTATAAACTTCGGGGAAGTCAGGGAGAAAGAACATACTTTTTCACAGACACCTTAACTATGTCTTTGACAACATCAGAGTAAACCCATAAACTACTTTGTCAGTGCTTCCCTCCAAACCCTGCAGATTATCTAGAAATTGCAACCTTACCTCAAGTCCATGTCTTAGGACTCTCAGAGATGATCGGGGTCCCCTACCACAGGCCACATACAACTGTGGAGTATCTTCATTGGCCAGATCAGCTATCTGCACAGAGAAAAAGTTAGAGGAAAAAATGTCTCCAGTGCTGTTTTCAAACACAACTCTGATTCTCTAGTATCCCAGACATCCAGCTGCTTTCCAATACAATTATCTGCTGATCAATATGTGAAAAGAGGTGAATGATCTGTATTGTAGTTTTGACAAACTGGACAGTTCAAATGAAAATTCTTTACTCTCTCTGCAGAGCAATGGAGTCTACTGTAACACAGACGCACATGTGAGTACTGAGGGTATACAGCCATCACACCAGTCTCCTAAAAAAAATTAACACACCCATTTTAAGTGTATCATCTTATTATTTATAAAACCTCAGTAAAGCACATCTGTTTTCCACAACTTTAAAAAATATTTTGCTATTCTGATTCTATGCATATTTTCATATGCATTTAAAAATATCATTCATTAGCTGGGTATGGTGGCTTGTGTCTATAGTCCCAGCTACTGAGGAGGCGGAGGTGGGAAAATCGCTTCAGCCCAGGAGGCTGAGGCTACAGTGAGTCGTAACTGTGCCACTGCACTCTAGCCTGGGTAACAGAGTGAGACTCTTGTCTCAAAAAAAAATTAAAAAAAAAAACACAAAAAAACAGTAAAACATTATTCAGATCGGATCCAGATGCTTTGGCTAGCAAAAAGATCCATGGCAGAAAGAAATGTTAAGAAGCCCTGCTATACACACTTTAACTTCCCATTCATTTTATTTATTTTATTTTTTTTTAAGACAGAGTCTCACTCTGTCACCGAGGTTAGAGTACAGTGGCACTGTGTAAGCTCACTGCAACCTCCATCTCCTGGGTTCAAGCGATTCTCCTGCCTCGACCTCCCAAGTAGCTGGGATTACAAGCACCCACCACCATGCCCTGCTAGTTTTTTTATTTTTAGTAGAGACGGGGTTTCACCGTGTTGGCCAGGACAGTCTCAAATTCCTGACCTCAGGTCATCTACCCGCCTCGGCCTCCCAAAGTGCTGGGATTACAGGTGTAAGCCATCGTGACCGGCCTTTTTTTTTTCTTTTTTGAGACGGGGTTTCGCTCGTTACCCAGGCTGGAGTACAATGGTGTGATCTCAGCTCACCGCAACCTCTGCCTCCCAAGTTCAAGCGATTCTCTTGCCTCGGCCTCCTAAGTAGCTGCGATTACAGGCATGCGCCACCATGCCTGGCTAATTTTGTATTTCTTTTAGTAGAGACAGGGTTTCTCCATGTTGGTCAGGCTGGTCTCAAACTCCCAACCTCAGGTGATCTGCCCACCTCGGCCTCCCAAAGTGCTGGGATTACAAGCATGAGCCACCATGCCTGGCTAATTTTATTCTTGATGAATAAACTATTTACACACATTATTTATTCAAATTCCAATGAAGGTGAAAAAAATCACTAAAAATCAAATTAGAAATTAGTCACACTTGGCCGGGCGTGGTGGCTCACACCTATAATCCCAGCACTTTGGGAGACCAAGGCAGGCGGATCACGAGGTCAGAATATCGAGACCATCCTGGCTAGTTAACAGTGAAACCCTGTCTCTACTAAAAATACAAAAAATTAGCTGGGCATGGTGGCGGGCGCTTGTAGTCCCAGCTACTAGGGAGGCTAAGGCAGGAGAATGGCGTGAACCTGGGAGGCGGAACTTGCAGTGAGCCGAGATCACGCCACTGCACTCCAGCCTGGGCAACAGAGCGAGACTCCATCTCAAAAAAAAAAGAAAAAAAAAAGAAAAAAAAAGAAATTAGTCACATTTATTTTCTGTTGCCCTCAAGACTAATCGTTTCTCAGAAAGGAAGAACAAAGCAATTAATTTCAGATGGGTTTAATTAAACCTGTCTGAATGCTGACTTGTTTCCCCAGTACCCAGTGAACAAACTCCTCTCCCATCAGAAGTGTGATCAACTACACAGGTGGTCCCTAATGGTCACTCAAACCCTGACAATTGAGGATGCAGCAACATGATCAAATTCCTGGCTGTCACAACTGAGCACCAGCAATGAGAGACACAAACTCCATTCTGAGCCACTTCAGGTTCCTCCTTGAGAATGTGATTCAAAACTACCTGTTACCAACTGATCCCAATGTCTCAGAACTATTTTAAAGAGGAACTGTGGTAAAATTAAATAAATACAGCTATATGTAGACTGTTACATGACAAGAGGTCAACCACAGAATACTGTGGAGTATATGAATCCACTTATTTTAAAAAGAAAAAGATATAACACATAAACATATACATGATTGTAAATGCAGAGAAAACACCTAGAAGCAGTCACAAGAAGTTGTTAATACAAGCAATATGGCTCAATGGAGCGGACAGGTGAGAAGATTACGGGGAGGACTTTTACTTCTCACTTCTTGTATGGTCTGATTTTTTCCTCCCCTGCAAGCTGTACAGGAATATGATCTGCATTTTTACATTAAACGTGAGTTTTGTCATTATGGGAAAAAAAGCCCGAGGACTTATTAATGGTTTTTTGTGCTCAAACTTCTACCTCTAACTGCTTTACACACTGGCGAGTTCATGGAAATACTAATAAAGCTATTTCTTAGACTAGACCTCAGTTTAACTTTAGATCTATTGTGGAAGGGGCTGGAAAGGCCCACCAACCTGGCAAAACAGAATGGGAGAGAGGCTGTCCAACTCATCAACCAGCACAAGGTTTTTAAGTGGTCTTGGCTGAAAAAAGAATGTGTCTCCTTCTTCCAGAGGCATGGCTGATGAAAACTCAGGTTCTTCATCATCATCTCCAAGATGTGCAATTTGATATAAGTAACTGGGAAGAAGCAGAGGAGAGAAACTTTCGGTAACGAGTTCTCTGCCTGACGATAATGTCTGGCATCAACATAAAGCACAAGCTATTTGATTATATTAAGATACTATTGTTATTATTTTTAGGTGTTATCACTAAGTACGACAGCTAGGATTTGTTTCAAAACAATTCAGGGAAAAGATCTGGGAAGTGCAGTGAGTATTTTATTTATAGCACAAGCAACAAAGAAAATACAGATAAACTGGACTTTATCAAAATTTAAAACTTTTGTGCATCAAAGGAAGAAAGATGACAACCCACAAAATGAGAGAAAATATTTGCAAATCGTATTTCTGACAAGGGTCTAGTACCCAGAACACATAGAGAACTCAAAAATAAAAAGACAACTCTTAAAAAATGGGCAATGGGATTTGAATAGACATTTCTCCAAAGATACACAAATGGCCAATAAACACAAAAAGATGCTCAACATCACTCATCACCGGGGAAAGGCAAACCACAATGAGCTACCACTTCATACCACCACTGCATACTTAGCAGGATGGCTATAATCACAAACGTGGAAAACAAGTTGGCAAGGATGTGGAGAAACTGGAACCCTCATATACTGCTGTTGGGAATGTAAAATGGTGTGGCTGCTATGAGAAAGTTTGGTGGTTTCTCAAAAAGTTAAACACAGAATTACCATGACCCAGTAATTCCACTCCTACATATATACCCAAAAAAATTAAAAATGGGGAATCAAATAGGTATTAGCACAGCAACATCTACCACAGCATTGTTCCCAATAGTGAAAGGTAGAAACAATCCAAGTGTACATCAGCAGAATGGGTAAACAAAATGCAGTATGTACATACAATGAGTTATTCCGCCACAAAAAGGAACGAAGCTCTGATACAGGCTACCAAAACATGAATCTTTTTCTTTCTTTTTTTTTTTAAACATGAATTTTCTAAATATTATGCCAAGTAAAATGAGCTAGACACAAAGGGACAAATATCAGCCAGGCGCTATGGCTCAAGCCTGTAATCTCAGCACATTGGGAGACTGAGGCAGGTGGATTGCTTGGATTGCTTAAGTCCAGAAGTTTGAGACTTTACAAGAAATACATATATTAGCCAGGCATGCACCTTGCTAATAGTCCCAGCTACTTGGGAGGCTGAGATGGAAGGATCACCTTGAGCCTGGGAGGTCGAGGATGCAGTGAGCCGAGATTGCACCCCTGCACTCCAGCATCCTGGGAAACAGAGTAAGACTCTGTCTTAAACAAACAAACAACCAAAAAAAACCCCAAAAAGCTAAGAAGGCTCGGCTGGGCACGGTGGCACACGCCTGTAGTCCCAACACTTCGGGAAGGCCAAGGTGGATGGATCACTTGAGGTCAGGAGTTTGAGACCAGCTTGGCCAGCTGGTTTGAGACCAGCTCATTTTGTACTTTTAGTAGAGACAGGGTTTCTCCATGTTGGTCAGGCTGGTCTCGAACTCCCGACCTCAGGTGATCCGCCCGCCTCAACCTCCCAAAGTGCTTGGATTACAGGCGTGAGCCACCGCGCCTGGCCATTTCATCAAATAAATACTTATTGAAATATTTAAGTACTGCTGGGCGCAGTGGCTCACGCCTGTAATCCAACCACTTTGGGAGGTCGAGGCAGGCGATCACCTGAGGTCGGAAGTTCGAGACCAGCCTGACTAACATGGAGAAACCCTGTCTCTACTAAAAGTACAAAATGAGCTGGGCATAGTGACGCATGCCTGCAATCCCAGCAACTCAGGAGTCTGAGGCAGGAGAATTGCTTGAACCTGGGAGGCAGAGGTTGCGGTGAGCCGAGATCACACCATTGCACTCCAGTCTGGGCAACAAGGGCAAAACTCCACTTCAAAAAAAAAAAAAAATTTATTTGATGAAATATTCAGCAAAAAGCTCAGAAGAGACATCAAATCTAAAGATAGTTCTGGAGATACCTACAGAGGTACTGCCCGAAGCCACTAAAATAAAGGAAGGTAAGAAAAAGAAAGACTCTACAAGGATAGAACAAACTTCTTTTGAAAGAACTAACACATTCTTGTGAAAAGCTCCCTAAGCCTCAAAGCCGCACCTTCCTACTGCCAACTATTTTTTTTTTGAGAGAGAGTTTCGCTCTTGTTACCCAGGCTGGAGTGCAGTGGCGTGATCTCAGCTCACTGCAATCTCCACCTTCCAGATTCAAGTGATTCTCCTGCCTCAGCCTCCCCGGTAGCTGGGATTACAGGTGCCCGCCACCATGTCCAGCTAATTTTTGTATTTTAGGTAGAGATGGGGTTTCACCATGTTGGCCAGGCTGGTCTCCAACTCCTTACCTCAGGTGATTCACCCACCTCAGCCTCCCAAAGTGCTAGGATTATGGCCGTGAGCCACTGCACCCAGCTTCTGCTGCCAACTTTTATCCCAACCAGGGTGAACTAGGGTAACAGAAGGATTACTCACTGGTTTCCAAATTCTGATGCTACAAAAAGGAACCCTGTTTTAAGCACACACATGGCAGCAGCAACGGGTACAGTATCAAAATATTTGAGCCGGATCTCAGTAACCTGGTGAGAAAAGAAACATTCTGGTGTACAAACAAAGTGAAGTGAGCCCCGTATTATAAGACAGCACAGGCTGAGTAGCAAATAAAATACTGTATTTCATATCTGACCAGGGGTCAACAAACTCCGGCTCATGGGCCAGTCATGCCAATCATTACTGGCTGTGGCTGTCTTGTACTATAATGGCAGAGTTGAGTAATTGAGACGGAGACTACGTAGCTCACAAAAGCTGCAAGTATTTACTATGTGGCCTTTACAAAAAAATGTTTGCCAATTCCTGATCCAAACAGCTATCTAAGAAATTGCCCAACAACTCACAGAGCTCGTCCATAGGATAAAACAAGTAACAGATCATGTTTATTACCAGTTTTCAGCAGAAACAGAGACCTTTATCTTCTTCACACCAAAAATAATCACTATCTTCTTCACCTAAAAATAATCACTACAAGTGGCATTGCCGCTCTTATATTGTATGTAAGATTACTAGACCAAAAATCTGATAACCAGAGAGAAAATCTATACTCATATACCGGTTCCAAGGGCAACTACTTTCTAAGTTCTCATTTTTTTAACTTGTAAAGTATTACCTGTCTTGCCTATCTCATCTCATAGAGTAGCTATACTGGTCCATCCATGGTCTACTTACCATATCTTCATCTGTCTCCAAAGTGATCTTAAAGATATCTCCCTGCTCAGTTTGAGCCAAAAAGAAGAACATCGATTTGGTTTTATGGGTTGCAGAGCAGACAAAAATCATTCCTCTTTCAGGGTCATCCAGGTCATTCTAGCAAAGTCAAAAACACAATCAATGTCTTAGAAATGGGTACTTCTTAGTTCTGGAATTCAGCACTTTACCAATAGGGATTACAAATGACATTAAAGGCCTAAAGGCACAAGCTTTGATCCACAGTGTCCTGCCAGCCAGAGCACTGGAACCCCACAGCTCAAAATTCTAATATAAATATCTAATAAAATCTGGGTAACCAAAAGAGTCCCAATTCCACTCTACAGCCTGATCAGATTCATAAGGCAAAAACTGTGTCCAGAGAAAAATGTCAGAGAAGAGACATGAAATTTTTTAAAGAGTCATCATTTCAGGCTGTGAAACACTGCTCCATCCAAATTACCCTGTTCTACATCAAATGCCTGATTCCTAAAAGGCACCTCCTTAGGTATGACTTTGAATTTTTTTTCTTTTAAAGACAAGGTCTCACTATGTTGCCCAGACTGGTCTCTAACTCCTGGGCTCAAGGGATCCTCCCGCCTCAGCCTCTCAAGTAGCTGGGGATCAGAGGCACATCACTGCACCTGCCTTGCGTTTTTTAACGTTTCCAACAGTTTCTATTTCTCCCACCGAGTAAGCTCTGCTCTGCAAGAAGTTTTAGACTTTGTTATTGCAAAGCCAAATACAGTGCCTGGCACAGTTAGGTGCTCAATGTCTAATCAACTTAGTGACTTCCTATCCCTTAACAAGAAGAATTTAACTTGCCAAATTTCTTCTAAGGTTTTCTAAAATTGCTGGAATCTTACGTACTACATATTACATTAAATTAAATCCTAAAGTTCAACCCCAGAACAGATAAATATTTAACAGCAAATAAATAATCCAGGGGATTGAGGGGAGAGATGGCAGTAAATGATTCAAAGAATCCACACCAAAACCACCAGGTGAAAAGACGCCGGGGAAGAGGGATATTCACTAGTCTCAGGAAGAGGGATATTCATTAGTCTCAAAGATCACCATCAAATTCCATTATCAGTTACCAAAAAAGAAACAATACCGTTACAATGAAGACAATGGGCAGGCACCACCTTAACAAAGTGACCAATTTAATGTCTCAATCAGATAAACCAACATTATGTACACACAATGTGTGACATAGTGGAGAATATGTATCACTTATACATCACTCCCTATGTAGTAATTATATCAGAAATATTAAACTCAATATAATCATGAGGAAACAAACTATGGGACAGACTATAAGAGAATTAGCTGGCCAGGCGCAGTGGCTCACGCCTGTAATCCCAACACTTTGGGAGGCTGAGGCAGGCAGATCACAAGGTCACGAGTTCGATACCAGCCTGGCCAATATGGTGAGACCCCATCTCTACTAAAAATATAAAAATTAGCTGGGCATGGTAACAGGTGCCTGTAGTCCCAGCTACTTGGGAGGCTGAGATGGAAGGATCACTTGAGACTGGGAGGTCAAGGATGCAGTGAGCCAAGATTGCGCCACTGCACTCCAGCCTGGGCAACAGAGCAAGACACCATCTTAAAAAAAAAAAAAAAAAAAAAGAAAGAAAATTAGCCCAGACTGGCAGGGCACTTCATGCCTGTAACCCCAGCACCTTGGGAGGCCAAGGCAGGCAGATGACTTGAGGTCAGGAGTTTGGGACGAGAATGGCCAACATGGCAAACCCCGTCTCTATTAAAAATACAAAAAAGGCCGGGTGCGGTGGCTCACGCCTGTAATCCCAGCACTTTGGGAGGCCGAGGCGGGCAGATCACGAGGTCAGGAAATTGAGATCACGGTGAAACCCAATCTTTACTAAAAATACAAAAAAAAAAAAATTAGCCGGGCGTGGTGGTGGGCGCCTGTAGTCCCAGCTACCCGAGAGGCTGAGGCAGGAGAAATGGCGTGAACCCGGGAGGCGGAGCTTGCAGTGAGCCCAGATCGCACCACTACACTCTAGCCTGGGTGACAGAGCGAGACTCCGTCTCAAATAAATAAATAAATAAAATACAAAAAATAAAAATACAAAAAAAATTTAGCCAGGTGTGGCAGTGCATGCCTGTAATCCTGGCTACATGGGAGGCTGAGGTGGGAAAATCACTTGAACCCGGGGGGCAGAGGTTTCAGTGAGCCAAGATCACAACACTGCACTCCAGCATGGGCAACAGAGCAAGACTCCATCTCAAAAAAAAAAGAAAAAAAGGTGAGAGGGAAATATCCTGAACTAAGGGAGACTAAAGGCCAATTAATTACAAAGGAACTTTTTGGGATAATGAGAGAAATATGAATATAAACTATACATAAGGTAACTATACTACACAAAATGTTACAATTTCTTGGGTATGATATTGGCAATCTGGTAATGTAGGAAAATGTCCTTGTTCTCGGGAGCCATTATCTTAGAAGATTACTGGAGTGAGGCATCATAATGCCTGTAACTTCTTTTCAAATTGCTTAGCCTAGAAAGTATATGGATATATCATGAGAAAGAAAAAACAAATGTAGCAAAATATTAATAACGGATTAATCTAAAAGGCATGTGGGAATTCATTGTTCATTGTTTTTAAACTTTCTGTATGTTGGAATTTTCAAAATAAAAATGTTGGAAAAAAAAAAAAACCAAATAGAATAAAAGGCAACCTATCTCTAACAAATATGCCTGGTTTCTCCAAACTAGAAACATTCAGGAATTTCAAATTAATAATTGTCCACAGGTTCCTCTGAAATAGAAATTAGATTAGTTTTAATTCCCTTTCTAAGAGAATTTGTTTGGCTTTTACTAAAATATTTCACCAGCTTTATTAAAAACAACATTTACGTCCCTGCCCCAGGGTCACTGAATTTTTTTTTTAATTTACAAAAAAACTAAATTGGTAACAAACTAAGAGACTACACTGTAATCACAAAAATTAAACACAAATCTCTCTCTTCTTATATCAAAGATCTTACCCGCCTCCTGGGAATTGGACAGCGGATATCTGGCTGGTCACCAAAGTTCTTGTAAGTAATATAGTTTTCAGAGCAGATCAGTACTCCACTTGGACCATCTGACCCTCCTGGAACTGTGAGAGAAAATAAAACTTAGCAGTGACTTTGACTCAGACATGAATTTCTTCAGCTTTCAACTCCTCCTCTCTTTCAGCACAACTTGATGATGGTAATGTGCCTGATGCTAAGAAACATTTCATGTGTTTCTCCTCCCTTATGTTCATGGTAGATAAGGATGAAGCACAGTTTGTGTTTACATGGAAGGTTTGGTCTCAGCCTGGATAACGTATCCAAATGTTTACCTCCAAGCCCAAATGCAGTTCTCATCTTCAGACCCCATCTTCAGACCTATAATACATCAAATCACCTACTGGACATGGACCTTCCACCGGTATTTTTAAAATACAGTGTGTTCAGGCTGGGCATGGTGGCTCATGCCTGTAATCCCAGCACTTTGGGAGACCAAAGGCAGATCACCTGAGGTCAGGAGTTCGAGACCAGCCTGGCCAACACGGTGAAATCCCGTCTCTACTAAAACTACAAAAATTAGCCAGGCATGGTGGTGGGCGCCTGTAATCCCAGCTACTCGGGAGGCTGAGGCAGGAGAACTGCTTAAACCCAGGAGGTGGAGGTTGTAGTGAGCCAAGATCGTGCCACTGTGCTCTAGCCTGGGCAACAGTGCGAGATTCTGTCTCAAGAACGTAAATAAATAAAATAAAAATAAAATAAAGTAACAGCATGTTCATAAACAAACTCAAGTTCCTTCCCAACCCTGCTCCACCTCCTAGATTCTCCACCTTAGAGAATACTACCATCAACAGACCAAACCAGACACCTGAGTATAATCCTTCAATTCTCTCTCCTCCCAAAGCCCTATTGATTCTACCTCCTTAGCAGCTACCAGTATCTCTTAATGTCCTCATCAGTCTCCCCTCTTACAGTCTTAATATCCTCCATTTCATTAGCCAAAATGTAAGCAATTAATCTTTCTAAGGTTGTCAACCTATCAGATTATTTCCCTACTTAGAATCCTTCAGTAGCTTTCACCCCACCCCTACTCCTACCCCAGTCCCTTAATAATTAAATCATAATGAGCTTTTAATTATTTGAATGGACCATGTTATTTCTTGTATTTAGGCTTTTGTAAATGCTGTTCCCTTTGCCTACAACTGAAACTTCCTCTCCCACTCCAACTGCACCTAGCTAACTTCTAACTAGCCCTCAGATCTCAGCTTAGAGACTCCAGCAAGCTTTCTGTAACACATTCGTTTCCTTTCCCTGTTTAGGGAACCTCTTCTCTGTGCTGTCATGGCATTTGGCACAGTTTCTGGTAATTGTTTTGGTTATTTATCTGTATTCACCACCAGACTCAATCTTGCACAAAGGCGGCACCACGTCTAATTTTTCACCACTGAAGTCCCAAGATCCAGCAGACTGACTTAGCACATACTGACTGCAAAGGCTCAATAAAAATGTGTTGAAAGAATGAAAAAGCCCTTGTAAATGAAAGGTATGGTAATATGTTACAAGTAATGAGATGTGTGATCAAAAATTCATCTGCTTAACGTATTAACAAAGGTAAGTGCTGTCCTTTATTTTTATTCTCCAGTATCTTCCCCAAACAACATCTTATTTTAGACATCAGTTGAAGTGCAAATGATTCAAAATAGAACTAGATCAGTTTTCCCCAAGCCTGCTGAAATGCAGATGACCACAAATGTAGCTGTACTCATTTAGTCTTTTAATATAATCAATTAGTAACGTGTATTTTCCAATGGTGAACTGATTTCCAACCATGAAAATATTTTCCATTTTTTAGCTCCTCCAAAAACGTTACTTAGCTATGTGCATTTAAAACACTGAATCTGATTTGCTGGAATGTTAGCTTTTCCTATCTACAACCGTATGAACTAGCCTGCAAATTTTTTTTGTTACTGTCCATCCCTAGTTTTGATACTGTAGTCATACTAGACTCAGAGAGCGGCACAGTAGCATTTACTCTTTTTCTACTCTAGAGAAATCTGTTTTACTTTTTTTTTTAATATTTACTTTTTCATTGAGACAAGATCTCACCTTGTTTCCCAGGATGGTCTCAAACTCCTGAGATCAAGTGATGCTCCTGCCTCAGCCTCCTAAAGTGCTAGGGTTATAGGCGTGAGCCACCATGCCCAGCCGAGAAACTTGTTTTAAAACGGAATACATATATGTCCCTCAACAAGAAGATAAAAGCTTTCCTGAAAATCCTGGACCTCAATCTTTTGGGAGAGTGACTTTGGACTACTGCTTCAATTTCTCTAACGCTGGTCTATTGAAGTTCTTAATTTATTTTTGGATCAATCTGGTAATCGTCTTCAAAAATATTTCTATTTTGTTTAAGTTTTCAAATTCACAAGTTCCATCTTGTGGGGTCTGTCCATTTTGTTTGGCTTTTGAAAGAGTTAGGTTTGAATGAGAGGCAAAGACTGACTACAGCCAAACTGTCACAGCAACTAACAGTAATCAATATTCCAAGCTGACTGCTCCCTTCAACTTCTCTTCCCTGCCCTCAGTAGAATATGAGTTATTAAGGAGCTAGGCAGTCTTTATCCCCAACACTTTTTAAAATCACTCCACCACATGAACTTCTAACCTGTCCAAAAGATAAGGTATTCAGGTTCACAACAAATGGATTAATTCCCAAACCCTTTAAGTAAAACCTATTAGGTTTGGGCATAAAATGAACCAAGTAAAAGGGTACAAAGCAGCTCTGAAAGAAAAGTACCTGTAATAAGGAAGTTGCCGTGTTCCTCCAAAGGTTCACTGTATTTTCGGACCACATGATTTAAACCAAGGTCTAGCTCATAGAAAGTAAGTGTCTGCTGGGTATTAGCTGCTGCTTCCCCTGTTGGATCATTGTCTGCTTCCTACAGAGAATAGTGGCATAAAAACTAATCATCAGCATAAAATCGAAGATCTGGAAAGGACATCAGGACTCCAATTTACAAATGAGGAAACAGAAGTCCACAAATGTCTTCTTTTTTTTTTGGAGAGACAGGTTCTCACTATGTCACCCAGGCTGCAGTGCACAGAGGTATGATCTTTTTTTTTTTTTGAGACGGAGTTTTGCTCGTTGCCCAGGCTGGAGTGCAATGGCACGATCTCAGCTCACCACAACCTCCACCTCCCAGGTTCAAGTGATTCTCCTGCCTCAGCCTCCCGAGTTGCTGGGATTACAAGCATGTGCCACCACGCCTGGCTAATTTTGTATTTTTAGTAGAGATGGGGTTTCTCCATGTTGGTCAGGCTGGTCTCGAACTCCTGACCTCAGGTGATCTGCCCGCCTCGGCCTCCCAAACTTGGATTACAGGCGTGAGCCACTGTACACGACTGCAGTGGTACAATCTTATCTCACTGCAGCCTAGAATTCCTGGGCCTCAGGCTCCCAAGCAGCTAGGACTATAGGCACATGCCACCACACCTGGCTGACGCCAAATAGTTTGACAAAGTTTATGCTATAAGATAATGGCAGAGCTAGAACGAGAACTGCAATCTCCAAATTCTGGATCCAGGGAGCTCTCTACTAGAGGATACTGCCTTCCGTTAAAGGAAAACAATAGTATGTTCTGTGAAAAAATACCTTAAACATAGCTTCAAGTTTTTCATGAAGCTTTTCCCAATAAATATCTTGTTTCCATAGGGAGATTACTTAAATCAGAGAAAGACTATTAAATAGTTGCTTAACCTCTGAAGCATCCCAAAGAATTTCAGTAAGGCATTTGGAATATGAAGATCTGCTAGCAGGACAGAATTAAGATATGCATAAGGGGCTGGGCCTGGGTGAGGTGGCTCAGGCCTTATAATCCCAGCACTCTGGAAGGCTGAGGTGGGCCAATCACCTGGGGTCAGAAGACCAGCCTGGCCAACATAGTGAAACCCCATCTCTACTAAAAATACAAAAATTAGCTGGGCGTTGTGGCAGCACCTGTAGTCCCAGCTACTCAGGAGGCTGAGGCAGAGGTTGCAGCGAGCTGAGATTGTGCCACTGCACCCCAGCCTGGGCAACAGAGCAAGACTGTCTCAAAAAAAAGAAAAAAAGGTATGCACAAGGAAGAAAACGATCTTTTCGTTTTTTTTTGAGATGGAGTCTCACTCTGTCGCCCAGGCTGGAGTGCAGTGGCGAGATCTCGGCTCACTGCAAGCTCCACCTCCCGGGTTCACGCCATTCTCCTGCCTCAGCTTCCCGAGTAGCTGGACCACAGGCGCCCGCCACGATGCCCGGCTATTTTCTTTTTGTATTTTTAGTAGAGATGGGGTTTCACTGTGTTAGCCAGAATGGTCTCGATCTCCTGACCTCATGATCCGCCAGCCTTGCCTCCCAAAGTGCTGGGATTACAGGCGTGAGCCACCACGCCCGGCCGGAAAACAATCTTAAAAAAAAACACTGAGGTGACTGAAAGAAACGCAAAGAGACAGGGTCCCCATTACCTCATAATCCATTTCCAGACAAGCAAACATTGGATTTTCAAATCCGACATCTACTCCAACTACATGATACACTAAAGTGTTTGCTTTGTGGGCTTCCAGGGGAGATGAAATGGTAAGTCGGGCTGCAGCATCTCTGTTCAAAATATACACCAATTTCTGTTTCTCAATGGCACCTGTAGTTGAAGGAGATAAAACATACAAGATTCCCAGATAATGAGAAGAGAGACTTATAGAACAGCTAGAGTCACATCATGCTTTTCTTTTAATCATTATTAACAGCAGTAACTCTACAAGTATAAAAACTCAGGATTCTGTTTTCTATCATCAGAATAGCACTTTGGGAGGCTGAGGTGGGTGGATCACCTGAGGTCAGGAGTTCAAGACCAGCCTGACTAACACAGTAAAACCTTGTCTCTACTAAATACAAAAAATTAGCTAGGTGTGGTGGTGCATGCCTCTAATCCCAGCTACTTGGGAGGCTGGGGCAGGAGAATTGCTTGAACCTGAGACGCAAAGGTTGCAGTGAGCTGAGATCGCACCACTGCACTCCAGCCTGGGCAACAAGTGCGAAACTCTGCCTCATTTGAAAAAAAAAAAAAAAAAGAATAGACAATAGTGGAGCTGGGCACAGTGGCTCAAGTCTGTAATCCCAGCACTTTGGGAGGCCAAGACAGAAGGAAGGATTGCTTGAGCCCAGGAATTCAAGACCATCCTGGGCAGCATTGTGAGATCCCCATCTCTCTCTTATTTATTTATTTATTTATTTATTTATTTATTTATTTATTTATTTTTGAGATGCAGTCTCACTCTGTCGTCCGGGCTGGAGTGCAGTAGCGCTATCTCGGCTCACTGCAACCTTTGCCTCCCGGGTTCAAGCGATTCTCCTGCCCCAAGTAGCTGGGATTACAGGCACCCACCACCACACCCAGCTAATTTTTTGTATTTTTGGTAGAGACTGGGTTTCACCATGTTGGCCAGGCTGGTCTCAAACTCCTGACCTCAAGTGATCCTCCCACCTTGGCCTCCCAAAGTGCTGGGATTACAGGTGTGAGCCACCGCACCTGGCTGAGACCCCATCTCTTTTAAAGATAAATAGCCACCGTGCCCGGCTGAGACCCCCATCTCTTAAAAATAAATAAATAAATTTTTTTAAAGACAATGGCATCATTGTGGCCCCCTTCTTCCTAATACAGGTCTTAAATATCCCACTAACTAGTCAAAATTTTTTAATGAGTCCTACATTTAAGGATACTGAAAAACAGTAATTCATAAAATTATCATTAGCCTTATTCTCTGAAATAGATCTAACGATTTATGACTGCCCTCTAGAGGCCTGATCAGACACACAAAAATTTTCTTCAAGAATTTATCAGAGAAGAGACATGAATGTGAATCATCACTTCAGGCTGATGAAAGCAACGATATTCACTGTCTAATAACATAAGATCATTTCATTGTAGTCTTTTTGCCAAAGAAAAAGAAATTGAAAAACACCCATTTCCAACTAGATGGGAAGTAGAAAGGTGTGTTAAGATTTTTCCCATTGTTTTAAAAGAAAATGCAACTCTTTTAAAAAGGAAATGCAACTTTAAACCTAGAGTAAATCCAAACATGATGCCAAACCCACATAAGTAATTAATTGGCACTGGCACACCACCAAGAGCACAGCATTGTTATCCTAAACTAGGCATATACAGCAAGTAGAGTAAATCACTTACTAATCATAACGGCTCGCCCTTTGGGATCCACAGCTAAGAACTGGCCAGGAACGATGCGACGGCATCCACTCTTGCCAAAGGTTTCTTGGTGAATCTTCTCAAACATATTCTTAGATGGCTGGTATTCCAAAATAACAATTCGACCAGAGTCACTGCCAACTACAATGTAGTCTTTGGTGCCACCTGTCAGCCTAAAGGCCATGAGTGACCGGATAACACCGAATACTTCCACAGTGAGTAGGGTATGTACTTTGCCAGTGTTGGGGTCTGGGCGAAGCAGCTCCAAGATCTTCCCACGGGAAACAACAATTTCTTGTTGTTTGGTTCCTAGATCACCAAAAAATAAAGATCATAAACAACCAGAACCCAGCCTGGCCACCATGGTGAAACCCCGTCTCTACTAAAAATACAAAAATTAGCCAGGCGTGGTGGCACATGCCTGTAATCCCAGCTACTCGGGAGGCTAAGGCAGGAGAATCGCTTGAACCCAGGAGGTAGAGGTTGCTGTGAGCCAAGACTGTGCCACTGCACTCCGGCCTGGGCAACAGAGCAAAACTCCGTCTCAAAAAAAAATTAGTCAGGTGTGATGGCCTGTGCCTCTAGTCCCAGCTACGTGGGAGGACAGTTTGAACCCAGGAGTTCAGAGAATGTAGTGGGTTATAATCCTGCCATTGCACTCCATCCTGGGAAACGCAGCAAGATATCGTCTCTAAAAAAAAAAAAAAAAAAAAAAAAGGCCACGCACAGTGGCTCACACCTGTTATCCCAGCACTTTGGGAGGCTGAGGCAGGCAGATCACTTGAGGTCAGGAGTTTGAAACCAGCCTGGCCAACATGGTGGGATCCCATCTCTACTAAAAATACAAAAATTAGCCAGGTGTGGTGGCACGTGCCTATAATCCCAGCTACTCCAGAGGCTGACACAGGAGAATCGCTTGAACCTGGGAGACGGAGTTTGCAGTGAGCCGAGGTCGCACTACTGTACTCCAGCCTGGGCAACACAGCAAGACTACGTCTCAAAAAAAAAAAAAAAAAAAAGAAAACTTCTCCATCATTTTAGATAAAAAGGAAGACTGAATTGGAAAAGGAATTTGAAAGATAAAATTAGTATTAAAAATGTGCTTTCAGCAGGGCACAGTAGCTCATGCCTGTAATCCCAGCACTTTGGGAGGCTAAGGTGGGTGGATCACGAGGTCAGGAATTCGAGATCAGCCTGGCCAATATGGTGAAACCTCATCTCTACTAAAAATATGAAAAATTAGCCGGGCATGGTGGTGCACGCATGTAATCCCAGCTACTCAGGAGGCTGAGGCAGGAGAATCGCTTGAACCCAGGAGGCGGAGGTGGCAGTGAGCCAAGATCACACCACTGCGCTCCAGCCTGGGTGACAGAGCAGGACTCTGTTTCAAGGAAAAAACAAAAACAAAAACAAAACAAACAAAAAACAAAAACAAAACAAACAAAAAACAAAAACGTGCTTTCAAAAATTCTATCCAAACTCCAGCTGAGATTCATTGCATTACATAGTGAAGTCAGTCACAAATCTCCAAATTCCCATATACGTATTTCCTTAATCAAATGCAGCAAAGAATAACTAAATTACCCAAATGAAGACTCAAACCCGCAGGAAGAGCCATAATGAGGATCAGAGAAAATAACAACATGAAATATGAATGCTGTGTGGTCAGTTAGGCTGCCTCTCAGTACCACATTAAGTATTCAGTACCACATTAAGTATTCAGAGTTAAACCTCAACAAAATTATGTCTTACTCTACACAATCATGAACCTCCTGCATTACTTGGATTGACTCAAAAATGTTAAATCTGCAAATGGCAAGAAAAAGTTTTTATTTTATAAACATTAGTACCTCACTTTCAGTAACTTTGTATTTCCTAATCCAATATTTGAAATTTCACACAATTCAAACCTAGCCTTAATCCATCTTTACAAAAATATTCCCCACATGGTAAACGTAAGCAAATTATCTGTTTCTATGCAGACAGCACTCCCTACCTAAACTGCATTTTCCCTTTTCTCTCATACAAAAGTTCTATCTCTTCAAGCACCAAACCAAGGTCCAACCTTCCCTTTATTTAAATTACTCTCTGATAACCAGACAAACACCTTCAGACATTCTTTTTACCCAACCTGATGTCAAATTCAAGATCAAAGATCAGGTCTTACACATCTCAGTATGTCTTACAGCAATAGGCACACGACTTGGCACTAGGTAAGCAGCCAAGAAAAGTGTGCCCTGACAAGAATCATTACACAATTTGTGAACTAGGAAATGCATCTGAAATAGGTAACAGATAATGCACCAGAACTTAACACCTCATCTCATAATTTGAATTGTTTACATTTACCAACAACTGTTTTGTCATAAATGGAAAACATTTCCTGCACAAGAGACTAAGCAAGATATGTATTAATTCACTTAAAATTTCAAAAGATGGTAACGAGAGAACTTACCAGAAAAGTTTCCATGAATGGCAAAGCTGATGCCAGTGGCTCTCTGCAAGGTTAAGTTGTACAGAAACATGGCTGCAGGAAACCTGAGCCACCCAGACCTCCAGGCCTTGGTTACACCAACAGTACGGAGTCCAAGAAAGCTAAGAAAACAGAAAACAGAAAAATAGCTGGGAGACTATTACTTCAACAGACATTTCTGTATGGGAAATTCTGGATGAAGACAGCAGAACCAGCAGAGCAAGCCCTATTAAGAAACAACATATGTGACCGGGCGTGGTGGCTCACGAGGTCAGGAGTTCGAGACCAGCTTGGGCAACACAGTGAAACCCCGTCTCTACTAAAAATACAAAAATTAGCTGGGCATGGTGCTGTGCGCCTGTAGTCCCAGCTACTCGGGAGGCTGAGGCAGGAGAATCGCTTGAACCTGGGAGGCGGAGGTTGTGGTGAGCCAACATCATGCCACTGCACTCCAGGCTGGGCGACAGAATGAGACCTCATCTCAAAAAAAAAAATAAATAAATAAAAAGCACGGGACCTTGAGAAATCCAAGGTCATTAGTATAGAATTAACATACATATTTGATTTTATTGTTAAACGAGAAGAGAGAATTATGAGTAAACGTCCTCATAAATAACTTTCTGGGCTGAGCAAAAGCAGGGTGGCAAGATCAATGCTCCAGGCTAGAAATGGGTCCTGAGAGATATAAAATTTTCTACTTGAGACTAAGGTATATCTTTTTTTTTTCCTTTTTTTTTTTTTTTTTTTTTTTGAGGCGTCTCAATCTGTCGCCCAGGCTGGAGTGCAGTGGCGCCATCTTGGCTTACTGCAAGCTCCGCCTCCTGGGTTCACACCATTCTCCTGCCTCAGGCTCCCGAGTAGCTGGGACAACAGGCGCCCGCCACCACACCCGGCTAATTTTTTGTATTTTTAGTGGGGTTTCACCATGTTAGCCAGGATGGTCTCGATCTCCTGACTTCGTGATCCGCCCGCCTCCGCCTCCCAAAGTGCTAGGATTACAGGCGTTGAGCCACCGCGCCCAGCCCATAGACTAAGGTATATGTTTAACGTTCTAGGACCACAGTAAAACATGAACGAAAAGGACCGATGTTGAAAGACCAGGGAGTGGAGAAACAACAAAAAAAGCAAAAGAGAGGAAGCTAGGAGCTGCTTCTGAATCCCTGAACAGCTCCCCGCAAGTTACTTTTCATATTTTGTAGCTGATCAAAACAGTCTACTTTCCCCTTTCCTTATAACTGATACAATCCATTACAAACCTTTGGAATTCATTTTTTCCCAAATCTAGTTGGATTCAGGTTCTCCAGCGACACCTTAACTTTGGATCGTGGAGGAAGGTGCATTTCGGAGGATCAGTCCAGTACTAGAAAAACTATATACGAGGCCAGGCGCAGTGGTGGCTCACGCCTGTAATCCCAGCACTTTGGGAGGCCGAGGCAAATGGGTCACTTGAGGTCAGGAATTGAGACCAGCCTGGCCAACACAGTGAAAACCCCTCTACTAAAAATGCAAAAACTAGCCGGGCGCGGTGGCACACGCCTTTAATCTCAGCTACTCGGGAAGCTGAGGCGTGAGAATAGCTAGAACCAAGGAGGAGGAGGCTGCAGTAAGCCGAGATCAAGCCGCTGCGCTCCAGCCTGGGCGACAGCGAGACTTCGTCTCAAAAACAAAACAAACAAACAAAAAATACATACCAGATAAATTTGGTAAGCTTTAAAACTTCCCCCACGTCTGGGCCGGGCGCGGTGTCTCACACCTGTAATCCCAACACTTTGGGAGGCCAAGGCGGGTGGATCAAGGTCAGGAGATCGAGACCATCCTGGCTAACACAGTGAAACCCCGTCTCTACTAAAAATACAAAAAATTAGCTGGGCGCGGTGGCGGGCGCCTGTAGTTCCAGCTACTCGTGAGGCTGAGGCAGGAGAATGGCGTGAACCCGGAAAGCGGAGCTTGCAGTGAGCAGAGATCGCGCCACTGCACTCCAGCCTGGGCGACAAAGCGAGACACCGTCTCAAAAAAAGAAAAATTAGCCGGGCGTGGTGGCACGCGCCCGTAATCCCAGCTAGTCTACTCGGGAGGCTGAGGTAAGAGAATCGCTGGAACCCGGGAGGCAGAGATGGCAGTGAGCCGAGATCGCGCCACTGCTCTCCAGTCTGGGCGACAGACTGTGACTCCGTCACAAAAACAAAACAAAACAAAACAAAAAAAACTTCCCCCACGTCTGTTTACCATTATTACAAAAAGCTTGTATGATTGCTCACTGCATCTTCTCCATCCTCCAAGGAAACATCATCGCATTTAAACTCTGTCCTCCATTACGCAAACGAGAAAATAGAGGTTCAGAGGAGGAGACAAGTTGCCCAACTACCAAAATACAAATTCAAACCGGAGTCTTGGCTCTAAAGACTGTTTCCGTTATTTACGCTTTTAACACGCTCCATCTTTCTATCTTCCCCTCGGTGTACCATTTACTCTACCCAGAGGGAGACATCCATGCCTCCCGCTGCTTGTCACACCTCCCCCGTCTCAGAGTCCCCAGAAGTTAAAAGCAATCTCCACGAGCCCTATTTTGAGATAGAATATGTTCCCACACTGTGGATGGAAGCGAGAGATAACTGCAGGAAGCCGTTTTGGCGCCTCAACCATCCCTCGGTACCTCCTCCTGGTCCCCAGCCTCTCGGGCCTAGACTGCCCGTGACCCCCGCCAAAGTCTCGGGTCCCCCTTCCATATGGCCGGTCTCCGCCTCCCCGGGCCCGGGGAAGTCTCCAGGCTGTTTTTTTACCCTGCAGCGAGAAGGATGGTGTGGATATCCAACGGATGCTACCTCCCTTCAAAACTTAAGCCACCACCAACTCCAACATACTGGCGTCCGCCATTAGACCTCAAGACAGGGACATTCTGGTGGCGCGCGGCGGAAAAAGGCACCCAATCCGCGCCTGAAGAATATATATAATTTTTAAAAAATGCTTCCGTCTTGCTTCCACACGGCATTACAAATTATTTAAACATGCTTTATTGCTTTGCTTTTTCCAGGAGAATAGAAAATTAATACGTTTTTAGAAGTAGACTTTAAAAAAAAAAAACCATTAGAGTTCATTGGGCACTTCTGTGGGCAGCCCCAAATAGGCGCCAACGAAGAGGGGGCCTCGCGGGACCGGAAGTGCCGAATGGGGACCAAGATGGCGGACCTTGATTCGCCTCCGAAGCTGTCAGGGGTGCAGCAGCCGTCTGAGGGGGTGGGAGGTGGCCGCTGCTCCGAAATCTCCGCTGAGCTCATTCGCTCCCTGACAGAGCTGCAGGAGCTGGAGGCTGTATACGAACGGCTCTGCGGCGAGGAGGTGCGGGGTCGAGCCTCTTCTTTTTCATGGAGGATCTAGGGAGAGTGGGAGCCTTCAGTCGGGAAATCCGGGCTGTGGGAAACTCTCCTTGCTGGGGGATACAAAAAAGCGGGAAAACAAAGAAGCGGAAGCTAGTCGGGTATATGAGTAGTCCTGTCAACTCTTTTCACGCTGTCGGACGCGCCGAGCTTGTCTTCCCTGATACCTGGGCGATCTGCAGCCTCTCCTCCCTAGACCCCCGTTGATTTCCCTGATCCATGATCACCAGTTTCTCCACGGGAGTAAAGTTAGTCTGAGAGTATTTGCCAAATTGCTTGGTTCTCAAAATAATAAGCGCCCTTTTGCATTGGCTTAATTTACAAATTATGAAACGCTCTCATCCTGTTATTTAAGAGGGAAGCCTTTGCAGATTAACTTCTTGAAGCGTTTTAAGACTTCCTCTTGTGGGGAGTGATTTGGGGGTGTGATTTTAGCGTTTTGGTCAAATGCACATCTTTGTAGAGGTTTAGCTTTTAAGACTCAGACACAATTCTCTAATCTTGGACAAGTCACTTCATCTCTGGTACCCTTGATATTTTATCAAATGAGGGGTGTGGACTATTCTCCAATTCCTTTCAGTTCATAACGTTCTATTTCCTGCCTCCTTTAATTTTCAGTGGCAACTCGATGCTGTCAATTCACTTTCGAATGTCAGTTGGGTTCCTTGCTAGTCAAAAGAGATCTAAGCTCTAAGCTTGTCAGCTGTTTCCCAGACCAAACTTCTAGCAAAGTTGAGCACAAAAGGCAGTTTCAGCCTGAGGGAGAGGTGATCGTTGATATCTTTGAGTATTTTCAAGTATAAACTTGCACTAACTCTAGCAGTTTCTGATACGTTTTTCAGCAAGATGTGTGTGGTGTTTTTTGTTTTGTTTTGTTATTTTTAGAAACAGGGCCGCTCTCTGTTGCGCAGGCTGGAGTGCTGTTGTGCTGCAATCAGAATGGATGAAACCAGAGGCGCACACCACCGTGCCTGGCTAGTTTAGTGTGTGGGGCTTTTTTTGTCTGGCCTCAGCAAGATGTGTTTTAAAATTTAGTATCTTGCGGGGCGCGGTGGCTCACGCCTGCCATCCCAGCACTTTGGGAGGCCAAGACGGGAGGATCACCTGAGTCAGGAGTTCGAGACCAGCATGACCAAAATGGTGAAAACCATCACTACTAAAAATACAAAACTAGCCGGGTGTGGTGACGCATGCCTGTAATCCCAGCTACTCGGGAGGCTGAGGCAGGAGAATTGCTTGAACCTGGGAGGCGGAGGTTGCAGTGAACCAAGATAGCGCCATTACACTCTAGCCTGGGCAACAAGAGCAAAATTGTGTCTCTTAAAAAAAAAAAAAGCCTGGCGCGGTGGCTCACTCCTGTAACCCCAGCACTTTGGGAGGCTGAGGCAGATGGATCACGAGGTCAGGAAATCGAGACCATCCTGGCTAACACAGTGAAACCCCGTCTCTACTAAAAATACAAAAAATTAGCCGGGCGTGGTGGCGGGCGCCTGTAGTCCCAGCTACTCGGGAGGCTGAGGCAGGAGAATGGCGTGAACCAGGGAGAAGGAGCTTGCAGTGAGCCGAGATCGCACCACTGCACTCCAGCCTCGGCGACAGAGTGAGACTCTGTCTCAAAAAAAAAAAAAAAAAAAATTTAGTATCTTGACTTAACATTCCTAAGCTCGCATTCATTCAGTCATTTAATATGTTGGGTGGAAAATTATGGAAATCTTACAGACAAAATGATATAAGTACTGTATTTGTATTCCATGACTGTCAAGAGGACGTTTTCCTCTGGAACCTACAGAACGATTTTAATAAAAATGTATATGGCCGGGCTTGGTGTCTCATGCCTGTAATACCAGCAGTTTGGGAGGCCGAGGCGGGTGGATCACCCGAGGTCAGGAGTTCGAGACCAACCTGGCCAACGTGGCGAAACCATGTTAGTCTCTACTAAAAATGCAAAAGTTAGCCGGGTGTGATGGTGGGCGTCTATAATCCCAGCTAATTGGGAGGCAGAGGCATGAAAATCGCTTGAACCCCAGGGCAGGGAGGTTGCAGTGAGCCAAGATCAGGCCACTTCACTCCAGCCTGGGTGAAAGAGCGAAACTCGTCTCAAAAAAAAAAAAAAGTATAGCTGCCTGGGCACAAGTGGCTCATGCCTCTAATCGCAGTTCTTTGGGAGGCTGAGATGGGCAGATAGCTTGAGCTATAGTTGGAGACCAGCCTGGGCAATAGCAGATAGTTGGGGACCAGCCTGGGCAATATAGTGAGACCTCGTGGCTACAAAAAAATTAAACAGTGGACCAGGGTTGTGCACGCCTATAGTCACAGATATTTGGGGGGCTGGGGTAGGAAGAGCACTTGAGCCCCCGCAAAAAATAAAAATGTATGGTTAATTTTAATGGCTGTTGTTGAACTATATGCCACATACCATGTTAAGCACTTTGTGTGGTTTCCTGTTTGACTCATTCAACAGCCCAGTGAGATTGGTATTGCTATCCTAGTTTTACAGATGAAAAAACCGAAGCATAAAAATGTTACATAAATTGAGGTTGCACAATAAATGGCTTGAATGAGAGATAATTATATTTATAACCCCTGGCTACTGACTATGCACCAAGAAGAAAAATTTTGGTAACTGTCACTGGAAATTTCATTTCAGCAAGATGTGTGTGGTGTTTTTTGTTTAGGCATTGTATTTTCTTTTTTTTTTTTTTGAGACAGCGTTTCACTCTTGTTACCCAGGTTGGAGTGAAATGGCACGATCTCGGCTCACTGCAACCTCCACTTCCCGGGTTCAAGTGATTCTCCTACCTCAGCCTCCTGTGTAGCTGGGATTACAGGCCCCCGCCACCACACCCAGCTAATTTTGTTTTTTGTTTTTTGTTTTTGAGACGGAGTCTCACTTTGTTGCCCAAGCTGGAGTGCAGTGGCATGATCTCGGCTCACTGCAAGCTCCGCCCCCCCCCCCCCCCACCCCCCGGGTTCATGTCATTCTCCTGCCTCAGCCTCCTGAGCAGCTTGGGCTACAGGCGCCCGCCACCACACCCGGCTAATTTTTTGTATTTTTATATTTTTAGTAGAGACAGGGTTTCACCGTGTTATCCAGGATGGTTTCGATCTCCTGACCTCGTGATCCGCCTGCCTTGGCCTCCCAAAGTGCTGGGATTACCGACGTAAGCCGCCGCGCCCAGCCTAATTTTGTATTTTTAGTAGAGATGGGGTTTCACCATGTGGCCAGGCTGGTCATGAACTCCTGACCTCAGGTGATCCACCCACCTGGGCCTCCCAAAGAGCTGGGATTACTTTGGGATCCAGTGCTGGCCAGGCATTGTATTTTAAATGCCTTCCTGTATTAGGCACTATGCTAATGATACTGATTAAAAGTTTATTTCTTCCTATTATGGTGCTCATCTGCCAGGTGGAATAAGATATACGTAAGATAACAATCATGCAACATAAGTGCAAAATGAAGCATTGTTAAAGTCTAAGGAGAACATAGTGGAAGGAAAAAAGGACTTGGAAATGAGATTCACCCTTCAGCTAAGTGATTGGATTAGATAACTCTTAAGGTTCCTTCTGATCATTCTGCTGACAGGATGTTTCTCTGTGTTTCAGAAAGTGGTGGAGAGAGAGCTGGATGCTCTTTTGGAACAGCAAAACACCATTGAAAGTAAGATGGTCACTCTCCACCGAATGGGGTGAGTCTGTGCATCTCAGCAAGAGCTAATGTAAATTCCAACAGGGTCAATTGGACAAGTGACCATTTTTTAAACTTTCTGTTATAAACACCAGTTCAGCTTGAAATGTAAAGGGTATTATCTCAAGATAAAGTGAACACCTAAGGGTATTAGTTTGATGGTTTTCAAACAGTCCTTGGACCAGTTGTACCAGCATCACACCTTGTTAGAAATGCAAATCCTGGCCGGGCGCGGTGGCTCACGCCTGTAATCCCAGCACTTTGGGAGGCCGAGGCGGGCGGATCATGAGGTCAGGAGATCGAGACCATCCTGGCTAACAAGGTGAAACCCCGTCTCTACTAAAAATACAAAAAATTAGCCGGGCGCGGTGGCGGGCGCCTGTAGTCCCAGCTACTCGGGAGGCTGAGGCAGGAGAATGGCGTGAACCCGGGGAAGCGGAGCTTGCAATGAGCCGAGATTGCGCCACTGCAGTCCGCAGTCTGGCCTGGGCAACAGAGCGAGACTCCGTCTCAAAAAAAAAAAAAAAAAGAAATGCAAATCCTAGGGCCCCACTCCAAACTTACAAAATCAGAAAGTCTAGGGGTGGGGTCCAGGAAGATGTGTTTTGACAAGCCTACCAAGTGATTCTAATGCACAGCTCAAGTTTGAGAACCACCTTTTTTTTTTTTTTTGAGATGGAGCTTCGTTTTTGTCCCCCAGGCTGGAGTGCAGTGGCATGATCTCGGCTCACTGCAACCTCTGCCTCCCAGGTTCAAGCGATTCTCCTGCCTCAGCCTCTCGAGTAGCTGGGATTCCAGGCATGTGCCACCACGCCCAGCTAATTTTTGTATTTTTAGTAGAGACAGGGTTTCACCATGTTGGCCAGGCTGGTCTCAAACTCCTGACCTCAAGTGATCCGCCCGCCTGGCCTCCCAAAGTGTTAGTATTACAGGAGTAAGCCACCATGCCCGGCCGAGAACCACCATTTTTACAGACTGGGTATATTTGTTAGTCATAAAAATTGTTCCCTGGCTGCGTGTAGTGGCTCATGCTTGTAATTCCAGCACTGTGGGAGGCCTCATCTAGAGGATCACTTTTGACCCTGTCTCAAAAACAAAAAAATAAAAATAAATAAATAAATAAATTAGTTGGGCATGGTGGTGTGCGCCTGTAGTCTCAGCTACTCAGGAGGCTAAGACAGGAGGATCATTTGAGCCCAGAAGTTGGAAACTGCAGTGAGCTATGATCGTGCCACTGCATTCTAGCCTGAGTGGCAGAGTGAGAACCTGTCTCAAACAAAAACAAAAATTGTTCCTTGATCTCACCATCCTCTCACATGGTACTGGTTAGTGCATCTTATGCTCACTTAGCAATTGAGAGAATTTGTTCTCTAGTTCTTTGACTGTACCTATTTAGGTGTGTCTTTATTGGTTTTAGAAGTTAATTTTGGCCAGGCGCAGTAGCTCACGCCTATAATCCCAGCACTTTGGGAGGCTGAATCACAAGGTCAAGAGTTCAAGACCATCTCCTGGCCAACGTGGTGAAACCCCGTCTCTACTACAAATACAAAAATTATCTGGGCTTGGTGGCACGCGCCTGTAGTCCCAGCTACTCAGGAGGCTGAGGCAGGAGAATCGCTTGAACCCGGGAGGCGGAGGTTGCAGTGAGCTGAGATTGCGCCAGTGCACTCCAGCCTGGCGACAAAGCAAGACTCCGTCTCAAAAAAAAAAAAGAGTTAATTTTTTATCAGGTATAGGTCTGAGTTTACAGTCAAACGTTCTTGAGAAAAAGCTGAGTATAGAGCAAACTGAGCTAAGAGTTACAGGTAGGTATGAAAGAAGTAGAAGACATAGTGTCCATATGCAAAAAAAAGTTTCTGTCTCTTCTCTGCCCTATCGTTATGTGTATGCTAACAATGTATTTCTCCAGTCCTAATCTGCAGCTGATTGAGGGAGATGCAAAGCAGCTGGCTGGAATGATCACCTTTACCTGCAACCTGGCTGAGAATGTGTCCAGCAAAGTTCGTCAGCTTGACCTGGCCAAGGTAATACATCAAGCTTTTTTTTTTTTTTTTTTTTTTTTGAGACAGGGTCTTGCTCTGTCACCTAGGCTGGAGTACAGTGGTACAATGACAGCTCACTACAGCCCCAACTCCCTGGGCTCAAGCAATTCTCCCACCTCAGCCTCCTGAGGAGCTAGGACTACGGGCATCCACCACTATGCCCAGCTAGTTTTTGTATTTTTTGTAGAGATGGGGTTTTGCCATGTTCCCCGGGCTGGTCCTGAACTCCTGGGCTCAAGTTATCCTTCCACCTTTCGCCATGTTAGCCAGGCTGGCCTCAAACTCCTGACCTCAGGTGATCTGCCCGCCTCGGCCTCCCAACATGCTGGGATTACAGGTGTGAACCACCTTGCCTGGCCAATAGCTTCTTTACTGCCCTCTACTAACTACAACATCAAAATGTCTATGGGGCTTTGCGTGGTGACTAACACCTACAATCCCATCACTTTAGGAGGCCAGAACAGGAGGATTGCTTGAGCCCAGAAGTTCAAAACCAGCCTGGGCAACATGGGAAAACCCCATCTCTACAAAAAATACAAAAATTAGCTGGACATGGTGGTGCACACCTGTATCCCAGCACTTTGGGAGACTGAGGCAGGCTAATTGCTTGAGTCCAGGAGTTTGAGACCAGCCTAGGCAACATGGCGAAGCCGTGTCTCTACTAAAAAATACAAAAATTAGCCAGGTGTGGTAATGCACACCTGTAATTCCAGCTACTTGGGAGGCTAAGGCAGGAGGATCGCTTAACCCCAAGAGGCAGAGATTGCAGTGAGCCAAGGTCATGCCACTGTACTCCAGCCTGAGTTGCAGAGTGGAGTTGCAAATTAAAAATAAATAAATAAATAAGTTAATAAATACCAGCTTCTATTTAAAAAAAAAAGCTACCACATTAGAGATTAGAAGAGCACCATTCAATAGAAATCTAATGTGAGATAACAAAGCCAGACAAAAATATCACAGAAAACTTCAGACCAGTAGCTCTTATGAATATAGACATAAAGGTACTCAACAAGGCTGGGCGCGGTGGCTCACGCCTGTAGTCCCAGCACTTTGGGAGGCCAAGGCGGACAGATCACAAGGTCAGGAGATCGAGACCATCCTGGCTAACACCGTGAAACCCCATCTGTACTAAAAATACAAAAAATTAGCCAGTGGTGGTGACAGGCTCCTGTAGTCCCAGCTACTCAGGAGTCTGAGGCAGGAGAATAGCGTGAACCCAGAAGGCAGAGCTTACAGTGAGCCGAGATGGCGCCTCTGCACTCCAGCCTGGGCGACAGAGAGATTCTGTCTCAAAAAAAAAAAAAAATTTAACTCAACAAAACCCTAGTAAAGCAAGTCTAGCAATATATAAAGAGGATTATATACTATGACCAAGTGGAATTTATCCTAGGAACACAAGGTTGATTTAACATCTGAAAATCAATTAAAAGTAGTGGCCAAGACCGCAATTACTTTTGCACCATCCTAATAATACACCATATTAATAGAAAAAAGGACAAAAAACACATGATCACCTCATAGACTCAGAAGAAAACATTTAACAAAATTCAATATCCTTTCGTGGTAGAAACACTCAACAAATTTGGAATAGAGGGGAACTTCTCAGCCTGATAAAGAGCATCTGTGAAAAACCACAGCTGGCCAGGTGTGGTGGCTCATGCCTGCAATCCTAACACTTTGGGAGACCAAAGCAGTAGGATCTCTTGAGGCCAGAAGTTGGAGACCAAACCTTGGAACACAGTAAGACCCTGTCCTACAAAAATTTTTTAAAAAAACAACCCTCAGCTAATATCATACTTACTGGTGAAACGTGTGATTCTTTCCCCCTAAGATGAGGAACAAGACAAGGGTGTCTTCTCTTACTATGTCTCTAGAACAAGCAAGCATGTTTTATTTATTTATTGATTGATTGATTGATTGATTTTGAGACAGAGTCTCACTCTGTTGCCCAGGCTGGAGTGCAATGGCTTGATCTCAGCGTGTGCAACCTCCACCTCCTGGGTTCAAGCAATTCTCCTGTCTCAGCCTCCCGAGTAGCTGGGATTACAGGCATGCGCCACCAGGCCTGGCTAATTTTTGTATTTTTAGTAGAGATGGGGTTTCACCATGTTGGTCAGGCTGGTCTCAAACTCCTGACCTCGTGATCCACCCACCTCGGCTTCCGAAAGTGCTGGGATTACAGGCGTGAGCCACCACGCCTGGCGCAAGCATGTTCTAAAAAAACCTTAATAGTGAGTTGGTGGCTGTATGGTTCTATCCAGGGCAATTAGGTAAGAAAATGAAGTAGGCCAGGCGTGCTGGCTTACTCCTGTAATCTCAGCACTTTGGGAGGCCGAGGAGAATGAATTGCTTGAGCTCAAGAGTTCAGGGCCAGCCTGGGTTTGGGCAACATGGCAAAACCTTGTCTCTACAAAAATTACAAAAATTAGCAGGTTGTGGTTGTGTGCACATGTAATCCCAGGTATTTGGGAGGCTGAGGTGGGAGGATTGCTTGAACCCAGGAGGCAGAGGTTGCAGTGAGCCAAGATTGCACCACTGTACTCTAGCCTGGGCAACAGAGTGAGACTCTGTCTCAAGAAGAAAAAAAAAAAAAAAGTTGGGCTCTGTGACTCAGACCTGTAATCCCAGCACTTTGGGAAGCCAAGGCAGGCGGATAGCTTGAGCTCAGGAGTTTGAGACCAGCCTGGGAAACATTGATGAAACCCTGCCTCTACAAAAAATACAAAAACTAGCCAGGCATGGTGGCACATGCCTGTGATCCCAGCTAGTTGGGAGGCTGAGGTGGAGGATAGCTTAGGCCCAGGAGGCAGAGGTTACAGTGAGCCATGATTGCGCCACTGCACTCCAGCCTGGGTAACAGAGTGAGACTCTGTCTAAAAAAAAAGAGAGAATGATTTGATCACGTTATTAACATTGTATGATATCTGTCAATGGTCTTGATCATCATCAATAACAGTTGCGTTAACAGTAGTGGTGGTGTTTGTGAGATTGCTATTGACATATGGTTGATCAGATTCAGCTCCTGAATCTCCCTACCTTCTTGAGGGGTGTTTTTGAAAGAATAGGACATTGTTTGTAAGTACCAAATCTTTTTGCAGAACCGCCTCTATCAGGCCATTCAGAGAGCTGATGACATCTTGGACCTGAAGTTCTGCATGGATGGAGTTCAGACTGCTTTGAGGAGTGAAGATTATGAGCAGGCTGCAGCACATACTCATCGCTACTTGTGCCTGGACAAGTCGGTCATTGAGCTCAGCCGACAGGGCAAAGAGGGTCAGCATCCGAAACTGTTGGTTTTTAGTTTAGTTAAAATCATCTGTAATCTGAAGTAAGCAGACTCGACCAATAAAAACACATCAGTTTTTAGGAAGTTTTCTTTTTTCTTTTTCTTCTTTTTTTTTGAGACGGAGTCTTGCTCTTGTCAGGATAGGGTGCAGTGGTGCCATCTTGGCTTACTGCAACCTCCGCCTTCTGGGTTCAAGCGATTCTCCTGCCTCAGCCTCCTGAGTAGCTGGGACTACAGGTGCACACCACCACACCTCACTAATGTTTTTTGTATTTTTAGTAGAGATGGGGTTTCACCATGTGGACAGAGTGGTCTTGAACTCCTGATCTCTGGTGATCTGCCCGCCTTGGCCTCCCAAAGTGCTGGGATTACAGGTGTAAGCTACTGCGCCCAGCCAGGAAGTTTTCTTGTCTGGTAATAGGCCATACGTAGGTCCTGTACCATCCTGGGGCAGGCTTTGTTAAAGCAGTCTCCCCTATGTGTGGTTTCACTTTCTGCCATTTCAGTTACCTGCAGCTTCAGTTATTCATGGTCAACCTTAGTCCAAAAATATTAAGGAAAAATTCCAGAAATAAACATCTTACTAGTTTTAAATTGCTTGCTGTTCTAAGTAGTGTGATAAAATCTTGTACCACCCTGTCTGTCCCTTCATCACAAGAAGGGTAAGTACAGTACAGTAAGATATTTTAAGAGAGAGGCCACATTTGCATAACTTTATCATGGTATGTTGTTATATCTTATTATATATTATTGTTAATCTCTTACTATGTCTAATTTACAAATTAAACTTTATCGTAGGTATGTATGTATGGGAGAAAACATAGTATATTTAAGGTTCAGTACTGTCGATGGTTTCAGGCATCCATAACGGTCTTGGAATGGATCCCCTACAGATAAGAAGAGACTACTGTATTCCCATTTTATGGAAAAGGAAACTGAATCCAGATCTACTGATTCTCTGGCCAGCGGGTTCTTTGCACTTGGCCATATTGCCTACTCATAAAATGAAATTCTTAGCCTGATATTTTAGATCTTCCATGATCTTTACACACTCTGTTTTTCTAGACTTGTTTAATGTTATTCACTTATGCATCCACTCATTGTGCAAGTATTTCTCAAGCTCCTCCATATGCCAAGGAATATGCTACTTGGAATACTCTGCAAATATTCTTTTCATCTTTCTGCTTCTATTCATGTCTTTCATTCCCTTTGCCTGGAATGTTTGTTCTCCTGTGCAGGTATCAGAATCCTGCCCATCTTTGAGAGGTGGGATGTCACCTTCTCTAGGAAGCCTTTTCTGATTACTTTAACCAGAAATGTGACTTTTTGACACCTTTCTTTTTTTTGAGACGGAGTCTCACTCTTTTGCCGGCTGGAGTGCAGTGGCATGATCTTGGCTCACTGCAACCTCTGCCTCCCAGGTTCAAGGGATTCTTCTGCCTCAGCCTCCTGAGTAACTGGGACTACAGGCGCATGCCACCATGCCCAGCTAATTTTTCTATTTTTAGTAGAGGCAGGGTTTCACCATGTTGGCCAGGATGGTCTCAATCCCTTGACCTTGTGATTCAGCCATCTCGGCCTTCCAAAGTGCTGGGATTACAGGCATGAGCCACCGTGCCCGGACTTTGGCACCTTTCTTATGACACATCATGTACTGTATTTCATCATCTTGATTTGTGCACAAACTATCTCTTCTACCTGATCCTAACTTCTGTGATGGTAGGATCAGGGCTGATTCATCTTGTAATCATGCATATTACTAGCACAGCATCTTGCACATGGTAAGTGCTTAATACGTATTTGCTGGATGAATAGTATTACACAAAGTGGCATGGACCTGCCACAGTACTATTCTTTACTTGAATTTTCATTTTCTCCCTGTTGAGCAGGGAGCATGATTGATGCCAACCTGAAATTGCTGCAGGAAGCTGAGCAACGTCTCAAAGCCATTGTGGCAGAGAAGTTTGCCATTGCCACCAAGGAAGGTGATCTGCCCCAGGTGGAGCGCTTCTTCAAGATCTTCCCACTGCTGGGTTTGCATGAGGAGGGATTAAGAAAGTTCTCGGAGTACCTTTGCAAGCAGGTATGGACCCTGATTGCTTGGCAGGATAATTGTGTGGCTGTCTGCCTGCAGATTGGGGCACTGGATGGATCCAGTTTCTGTGGATACTTTCTCTCTTCTGGATATGACTCCCCTTCCTGCCCTTGCTGTGTAGCCATGCAGGACTGGATGCATGTGTTCATTCAACACACCTGTTGCCAGCCTACTGTGTACCAGGCATGGCCAAGACATCTGCCAGTGCACATTCATTTCCAACAGACCAGGCGAAAGCATGTGAAATTAAAATGCAAGTTCTCTGACAAGTTGAATCACTCTTTTTTTTTTTTTGAGATGGAGTTTCACTCTTGTTGCTCAGGCTGGAGTACAATGGCATGATGTCAGCTCACTGCAACCTCCACCTCCCTGGTTCAAGCTATTCTCCTGCCTCAGCCTCCCGAGTAGCTGGGATTACAGGCATATGCTACCACGCCCAGCTAATTTTGTATTTTTAGTAGAGACTGGGTTTCTCCATGTTGGTCAGGCTAGTCTCGAACTCCCAACGTCAGGTGATCCGCCCACCTCGGCCTCCCAAAGTGATGGGATTACAGGTGTGAGCCACCACGCCCAGTCTGAATCACTCTTAAAGCTCAAGCAATCCTCCTGCCTCAGCCTCCCAAGCAGTTGAGACTGCAGGCACATGCCACCATGCGTTGCAATTTTTTTTTTTTTTTATAGAAACGGTCTCACTGTGTTACCCAGGCTGGTCTCGAACTCCTGGCCTCAAGCAGTCCTCCCACCTCAGCCTCCCAAAGTCCTGGGACTACCACCCCACCTGGCCGTTTTTTAGCTATATGTCTGTGTGTGTCACTCCCCTCCCACAAAAAAATTATCAGACCATTATTATGCCGTTAAGAAAAATGATACCGTTCCCTAAGTGCTGACATATTTTATTCTGTAACATGTGGTTTGTTAAACGGCACAAAACAATATGTTGTCATTCCTGTTTAAAATGAGGGAGTTAGCAATCAAGATATATTTGTATAAGCAGAGGATTTCTTTTGGAAGGGTTAACAATGGTCACCTCTGAAGAAAATTGGGAAATTAAGAGACACAGGTTAGAAGAAGAACCACTTTTCACTGAATATTCCTTTGTTCCTTTGGAATGTTTAAGTGTGCATTTTACTCATTCTAAAAAGTTAATTAAAAACAAAATACAGGCCAGGCGCGGTGACTCACGCCTGTAATCCCAGCACTTTGGGAGGCTGAGGCGGGTGGATCACCTCAGATCAGAGGTTCAGGACCAGCCTGGCCAACATGGTGAAACCCTGTGTCTACTAAAAAATACAAAAATTAGCCGGGCATGTTGGCGGGTGCCTGTAAGCCCAACCACTCGGGAAGCTGAGACAGGAGAATCGCTTGAGCCGGGGAGGCAGAGGTTGCAGTGAGCCAAGATTGTGCCACTGCACTCCAGCCTGGGCGACCAGCGAAATTCCATTTCAAAAAAAAAAAAAAAGGAAACCTGCTCTATGGTACTTTTTTTATCAGTATACTTTGACATCTGGGACCTAGAAATGGCTTCTACCTTTAATCCAGTAAAAGTCCCTTCTGCAGTACCCAGGTTTTGTCGTGCTTGAGAAAGCACTGTTAATGATAACATGCCAGGCATAATGGCTCACGCCTGTAATTCCAACACTTTGGGATGCTGAGGCAAGAGGATTGCTTGAGGCCAGGAGTTCCAGACCAGTCTGGGCAACATAGCAGGACCCCATCTCTACAGAAATTTTTAAAAAATTAGCCGGGCATGGTGGCTCTCGCCTATAGTTCCAGCTACTCAGGAGGCTGAGGTGAGAGGATCACTTGAGTCCAGGAGTTCAAGGCCACAGTGAACTATGACTGTGGCTCCCTTGTACTCCAGCCTGAGCAACAGAGTGAGTTTCTGTCTTATTTTAAAAAATAATAGAAAGTTACCCTTTGAGAAGATTGTTGAAACTGGGGACTCTCTCCCTTGGCTAATGGCAGTCCATATTTTCCAAGAGAAGAAAATAATGGAAGAGGAGCTACACCATGCTCACTTTCCTTGTCCTGCCTGAGGCTCAGACTGTCCCTCAAGGGAGTTTCCTCTGTGCTGCCTGGGCTTCCAGACATCAAGGGAAATGTGAAAAAAAAGAAAGTCAATGGGAGGATTTTTGGAAAACTGAGATATACCTGGTATGAGGGTGACCTTTCTGAGGAATGTGTGTGGGTTTTCTCCTTTTTTAGGTGGCCAGTAAAGCTGAGGAGAATCTGCTCATGGTGCTGGGGACAGACATGAGTGATCGGAGAGCTGCAGTCATCTTTGCAGATACACTTACTCTTCTGTTTGAAGGTGAGCCTCTTTCTCCGCTCTAGAGAGACTGGAGACTGTATATGACACCTGCATCCTAGCCTTTCTTCTCACCCTTCTAGCCTGATGACTTTAATTTAATCATGTAGTTTATTGTGTATTAATTGATTGGAGAATTAAATAACTTCCAGATTCAGTGCCTGATTAGCAAAGATTAGAGTCTCTCCAGTGTTTTGATCCTACCTAACCCTCAAACCCCAAACTCTGTACGAATAAATTTAACCCTAAAATAAATTACTGGAAAGCGAGTGATGCTGATTTCCAAAGATGCTGCTGTAGAAAACAGTATCAATGTAACTTACCAAATGCCTGCTGGTGTACCAAGCACTGTACATATTTAACATATTTGCCTAGCAACCCCTAGCATTGACTAGGCCTATTTGTGTTCATTTTAGAAAGTGAAGCAGCCAAAAGGATTGAGCTAGACCTTCGGTTAGTCCTGGATGGGAGCAAGTTTATTTTGTAGGAAGAATACTTGGAATATAACCCTATTGCTTCCTCCCTTCTAGGGATTGCCCGCATTGTGGAGACCCACCAGCCAATAGTGGAGACCTATTATGGGCCAGGGAGACTCTATACCCTGATCAAATATCTGCAGGTGGAATGTGACAGACAGGTGGAGAAGGTGGTAGACAAGTTCATCAAGCAAAGGGACTACCACCAGCAGGTGAGCAGGGGAAGCTACAGGTAGGGTTTGGTAGCAGCTTTAGCGAGGAACACTGAGTAGAATAAATTGTAGGGTTTGAAAAAGTGAAAAAAAAGGTGCAGACAGGAGAAAAATAAATGCTAAGCGCACACTGGCCTGCATCTTGCCCATTGACAGCTTACTTTGGACTTGAGGTGTTGTCGAGATGATGATGGCCTCAGTTCAAGACCAAAACGGAAATAAAAAGAGCTTCCTGAAAAGAACACAGCAGAAGTAGTAAACCAGTTCTCTATCACAAAATGTGCAACAGTGCCCTCTAATGATATAATGACAATTCTATTTCTTGAGGTCCTATTAAGTGTCCAAGTAATTGTCTCCAATTTCCCCTTCATTCCTAAGATGTTAAAGATAACGTTTGCTTTTTCAGAACTTTGTTTTTTCCTTCTTTTGAGCAGAGAAAGTAAAAGTACGACATAGAAATAGGAGTGGCCTCATACAATTGTATTTCTAGAACTCCAGACTAGGAGACTATAAACAGTAGTCTATTGGAACACCATTAGCATGACTTTTAAGCACAGTAATAGAGGTGAGTATTATTAGCATCCAACCCAAAAACAAATCTTTGGCCTGTCATCCTGAAAGCCCACTGCTGGCTTGAAGGGAAGGTAAACCTGGTAAACAAACTAAATCTAAATGTTCTTGTATGCCAAAAGTTTGGAGTGACCAGCAAGAGGCCAATAGATGTGGGGGTGGGGAAGAATATTCTCATTCCTGTGGTATGTTGCAGTTCCGGCATGTTCAGAACAACCTGATGAGAAATTCTACAACAGAAAAAATCGAACCAAGGTAATAATCCTTCTCTCTTCTTCAGCCCACAGGAGTTTGAATTGGTAATCATGTAATATAATTCAGACTACTCTGTTACAATGTGGTCTATGTTTTTAAAATATTTTATCAATTACTCTTATTTTTCAGTGCAATGTATCATATGAACAAAAGTATATATAAATAAATTGTGTAATCAGTCATAATCAGCCGGGCGCGGTGGCTCACACCTGTAATCCCAGCACTTTGGGAGACCAAGGCAGGCGGATCACAAGGTCGGGAGTTCGAGACCAGCCTGGCCAATATGGTGAAACCCCGTCTCTACTAAAAATACAAAAATTAGCTGGGCATGGTGGTGCGTGCCTGTAGTCCCAGCTACTCGGGAGGCTGAGGCAGGAGAATCACTTCAACCCAGGAGGCGGAGGTTGCAGTGAGCCAAGATTGCACCACTGCACTCCAGCCTGGGTTACAGAGCGAGACTCTGTCTCAAAAAATAAATAAATAATAAATTATAATCAGTACAATCACGTGTCATTTAATGACTGGAATACTTTTTTTTTTTTTTGAGACAGAGTCTCACTCTGTCACCCACGCTGGAGTGCAGTAGCATTATCTTGGCTCACTACAGCCCCTGCCTCCCAGGTTCAAGCGATTCTCCTCCCTCAGCCTCCCAAGTAGCTGGAACTACAGGCGTGCACCACCATTCCCAGCTAATTTTTTATAATTTTAGTAGAGACAGGGTTTTGCCATGATGGCCAGGTTAGTCTCGAACTCCTGACCTTAAGTGATCCGCCCACCTCAGCCTCCCAAAATGCTGAGATTATAGGCATGAGCCACCATACCCTGCCAACAACTGGAGTACATTCTGAGAAATACATCATTAGACGATTTCCATTGTGTCAACATCGTAGGGTGTACTTAGCCTACTACACACCTAGGCTATATGATACAAACTATTACTCCTAGGGTATAAACCTGCATGGCATATTACTATACTGAATACCATAGACAATTATAACACGATGGTAAGTACTTGTATATCTAAACATATCTAAACATAGAAGAGGTACAGTATTATGTACTGTACCATAGAAACATAGAAAAGGTATAATATTATGGGAACCCTCTTGTGTATACCGATACAGTTTTTTTTTGTTGTTGTTTTGGGGTTTTTTTGCTTTTTTGAGATAGGGTCTTATTTTGTTGCCCAGGCCAGACTGCAGTACGGTGGTATGATCCTGGCTCACTGCAGCCTTGACCTTCTGGGCTCAAGCAATCCTCCCACCTCGGCCTCCCGAGTAGCTGGGACACATATCAGTAGCTGGTGTACACATATTGTACACCACCATGCTGGGCTAATTTTTGTATTTTTTGTAGAGACGAGGTTTTGCCATGTTGCCTAGGCTGGTCTCGAACTCCTGGGCTCAAGTGATCCTCTCACCTCCCAAAGTCTTCCCAAAGTGATGGGATTACAGGCATGAGCCACCATGCCCAGCCCAGCAGTTCATTTCTGACCAAAATATTCTTATGTAGCATGACTACACTTTTGAAGCCCCCAGAGTGACTCTCCTCTTCCCTTCCCACAAAGGTAACTACTATCCTAAAATTTTAAACTTTTACTTTTTTTTTTTAAATTAGAAACAGGGTCTCTGTTTCCCAGGCTGGAGTGAAGTGGTACAGTGACACAATCACAGCACACTGTAACCACCAACTCGTGGACTCAGGCGATCCTCCAGCCTCAGCCTCCCGAGTAGCTCCTGACTAGCTAGGATTACAGTCACCACTCCCAGCTAAATGTTTTTTTTTTTGTTTTTTTTTTTTTTTTTTTTTTTTGAGGCAGTCTCGCTCTGTTGCCCAGGCTGGAGTGCAGTGGCATGGTGTGATATCGACTCACCAAAACCTCCACCTGCTAGGTTTAGCGATTCTCCTGCCTCAGCCTCCCAAGTAGCTGGGACTGTAGGCAGGTGCCACCACGCTCGGTTAATTTTTTTGTATTTTTAGTAAAGATGAGGTTTTTTTTAATTTAGACGGAGTCTCGCTCTGTCACCCAGGCTGGAGTGCAGTGGCACGATCTCGGCTCCCTGCAAGCTCCGCCTCCTGGATTCACGCCATTCTCCTGCCTCAGCCTCCCGTGTAGCTGGGACTACAGTCGCCCACCACCATGCCCAGCTAATTTTTTTTTTTTGTATTTTTAGTAGAGACAGGGTTTTACTGTGTTAGCCAGGACGGACTCGATCTCCTGACCCTCATGATCCACCCACCTCAGCCTCCCAAAATGCTGGGATTACAGGCATGAGCCACCGCACCCGGCTGAGATGAGGTTTTGCCATTTTGGCCAGGCTGGTCTCAAACTCCTGACCTCAGGTGATCCACCCACCTCGGCCTCCCAAAGTGCTGGAATTACAGGCATGAGCCACCATACCCGGCCAATTTTTTAATTTTTGGTAGAGATGAGGGCTTGCTATGTTGCCCAGGATGGTCTTGAACCCCAGATCTCAAGTGATTCCCCCTGCCTCAGCCTCCCAAAGCACTGGAATTACAGGCATGAGCCCCTGTATCCAGCCAAACTTTTATTTATTTCATTTATTTTCTTTTTTTGAGACAGAGTCTCACTCTTTCGCCCAGGCTGAAGTGCAGTGGCGCTATCTCGGCTCACTGCAAGCTCCACCTCCCGGGTTCACGCCATTCTCCTGCCTCAGCCTCCTGAGTAGCTGGGACTACAGGCGTCTGCCACCACGCCCGGCTAATTTTTTGTATTTTTAGTAGAGACGGGGTTTCACCGTGTTAGCCAGGATGGTCTCGATCTCCTGACCTCATGATCTGCCCGCCTTCAGCCTCCCAAAGTGCTGGGATTACAGGTGTGAGCCACCGCACCCAGCCTACTTTTTTACAATAAAAATAACATGTGCTTCTTAGAAGAAAATCCAGTGGGTGCGGTGGCTCACGCCTGTAATCCTAGCACTTTGGGAGCCCAAGGCGGGTGGATCACGAGGTCAGGAAATCAAGACCATCCTGGCTAACACGGTGAAACCCTGTCTCTACTAAAAAAAAAATACAAAAAATTAGCTGGGTGTGTTGGCGGGTGCCTGTAGTCCCAGCTACTTGGGAGGCTGAGGCAGGAGAATGGCGTGAACCCGGGAGGTGGAGGTTGCAGTGAGCCAATATCGTGCCACTGCACTCCAGCCTGGGTGACAGAGCGAGACTCTGTCTCAAAAAAAAAAAAAAAAAAGAAAATCCAAACGTAAAATATATTCATTCAACCAAAGTTTTACTGAGTACACATGTGCCAGATACTAGTCCTTGATATGGCAACAAGCAAAGTGAGCAAGCAAACATAATTTTTTCTTCGTGGCATCTATGGTCTATAAAGTAGATAATAGCAATAGCTAATACATATGTAATGTCAACTGTATGCCAGACACTATTCTGAACACTTAACAAATATTAAATCATTTAATCCAAGGTTTCTTAACTTCTGCACTAACGGCATTTTGACTGGATTTTTTTTTTTTTTTTTTGAGACAGTCTTGCTCTGTCACCCAAGCTAGAGTACAGTGGCATGATCTCAGCTCACTGCAACCTACGCCTCCCGGGTTCAAGCAATTCTCCTGCCTCAACCTCCCAAGTAGCTGGGATTACAGGCGCCCCACCAGTGTGCCTGGCAAATTTTTGTATTTTTAGTAGAGATGGGGTTTCACCATCTTGGCCAGGCTGGTCTCAAACTCCTGACCTTGTGATCCACCCGCCTTGGCCTCCCAAGTGCTGGGATTACAGGAGTGAGCCACCATGCCCGGCCTCTTTTTTTTTTTTTTTTTTTAAATAGAATCTCACTCACTCCGTCACCCAGGCTGGAGTGCAGTGGCTCAATTTTGGCTCACTGCAATCTCCGCCTCCCAGGATCAAGCAGTTCTCGTGCCTCTGCCTCCTGAGTAGCTGAGCTTACAGGCACTCACCACTATGTCTGGCTAATTTTTATATTTTTAGTGGAGAGGGGGTTTCACCGTGTTGTCTAGGCAGGTCTTGAACTCCTAACCTCAGGTGATCTGCCCGCCTCAGCCTCCCAAAGTAGTGGGATTACAGTCGTGAACGACTGCACCCAGCCTTGACTGGATAATTTTTTGTTAGGTGGGGACTGTTCTACGCATTGTAAGATGGTTAGCAGCATCCCTGGCCTCTATCCACTAGATGCTAAAATACCCCAGGGGGGTATGGGTAGGGGAATGGGGGAGCTGGGAATAAAATCGCCCTCAGTAGAAAATCACTGATTTAATCCATAAACACTTTCCAGAGGAAGAAACTGAAGGCTGGAGAGGTCAGATGACTTGCCCAAGGTCATGCAGCTAGAAAATGGCGGTGAGAAATGGAATCCAAGCAGTCTGACTCTAGAGTGGATGCTGTCAGCCACTGTGATATACTGAGTGTAGGGTGCAGGACAGCATGTCATAAAGAGATGTAGCCTAGTATGGGAAAGTTGAAGAAATAATTCCTGAGGAAATGACCTTAGATCTGAGACCTTAAGAGTAAGTAGGAGTTGGCCGGGCGCGGTGGCTCACGCCTGTAATCCCAGCACTTTGGGAGGCCGAGGCGGGCGGATCACGAGGTCAGGAGATCGAGACCATCCTGGCTAACACGGTGAAACCCCGTCTCTACTAAAAATACAAAAAATTAGCCGGGCGTGGTGGTGGGCGCCTGTAGTCCCAGCTACTCGGGAGGCTGAGGCAGGAGAATGGCATGAACCCAAGAGGCGGAGCTTGCAGTGAGCCGGGATAGCGCCACTGCACTCCAGCCTGGGCGACAGAGTGAGACTCCGTCTCAAAAAAAAAAAAAAAAAGAGTAAGTAGGAGTTAAGATGTGAGGAGTATTCCAGATAGAGCAAGGAAAGCATGTGCAAAGGTCATGTGTATTTTAAAAACTGAAAGAAGGCCAGTGTAGCTGAAGTTCAAAGAGTAGAGGAGAGCCTGAAATGGTGGATATGGAGAGATCATTAGAGTCAGGCTGTTAAGAGTCTTGTATTCTGAGAGGTATGGAAACTATATGATATGACCAGATTTATGTTTGTAAAGATGTCTTGGGGTCAGGTGCCAAGGTGGCTCACACCTGTAGCCCCAGCACTTTGGGACGCAGAGGTGGGCAGATCACTTGAGCCCAGGAGTTTGAGACCAGCCTGGACAACATGGGGAAACCCCGTCTTTACCAAAAATACAAAAATTAGCCAGACATGGTGGCACATGTCTATAATCCCAGCTACTTGGGAGGCTGAGGTGGGAGGATTGCCTGATCCCAGGGAAGCTGAGCCTGCAGTGAGCTGTGATTGTGCCACTGTACTCCAGCCTGGGAGACAGACAGTGACCCTATCTCAAAACAAAAAAAGAAAGAAAGAAAAGACCTCTTGGACTTCAGTGTGCAAAGGAAGTTAATTTTTTTATATTATGTGAGGTAGGGGTTCAACTTGATTCTTTTTCATGTGGATCTCAGTTGTCCTAGCACAATTTGATGAAAAGACCCTTCGTTGTTTATTGAATTGTCCTAGCGCTCATTGAAAATCAGTCAACCATCTGGACTCACAGTTCTGTTCCATTAATCCATATATCTATTCATATGCCAGTACCACATAGTCTTGATTGCTGTGGCTTTGTAGTTAGTTTTGAAATTAGAAAGTGGGATTCCTCCAACTTTGTATTTTTCAAGATTATTTTGGCTATTCATCAGGATAAATGAATGGGTGTAGGGCAGTTTAATGGTATTTCCTAACATCCTGCCAGGGCTAAATTAGAGATTGGAGAGTTTTCTTTCACATGAGACACTGATAATTTTTTTTTTTTTTTAAGACGGAGTTTCACTCTTGTTGCCCAGGCTGGAGTGCAATGGCGTGATCTCAGCTCACTGCAACCTCCGCCTCTCGGGTTCAAGCGACTCTCCCGCCTCAGCCTCCCTAGTAGCTGGGATCACAGGCATGTGCCACCATGCCTGGCTAATTTTGTATTTTTAGTGGAGACGGGGTTTCTCCATGTTTTGGTTAGGTTAGGCTGGTCTCGAACTCCCGACCTCAGGTGATCCGCCCACCTCAGCCTCCCAAAGTGCTGGGATTACAGGCGTGAGCCACTGCGCCCGGCCTCTTTTTTTTTTTTTTTTTTTTTTTTTTTTTTGAGACGGAGTCTTGCTGTGTCTCCAGGCTGGAGTGCAGTGGCGCGATCTTGGCTCACTGCAACCTCCGCCTCCCGGGTTCAAGCGATTCTCCTGCCTTGGCCTCCCGAGTAGCTGGGACTACAGGCATGCGCCACCACACCCAGCTAATTTTTGTATTTTTAGTAGAAATGGGGTTTCACCATGTTGGCCGGGATGGTCTCAATCTCTTGACCTCATGATCCGCCCGCCTCAGCCTCCCAAAGTGTTGGGATTACAGGCGTGAGCCACCATGCCTGGTCATAGGTAATCTTTATTCAAACCACAAAAGAGGCCAGGCACTGTAGCTCATGCCTGTAATCCCAGCACTTCAAGAGGCCAAGGCAGGAGGATCACTTGAGGCCAGGAGTTCGAGACTGGCCTAGCCAACATGGCAAAATCCCAATTCTACTAAAGATACAAAAATCTGAAAAAAAAAAAAAAAATCTGCCAGGTGGGGTGGCACACTCCTGTAATCCCAGCTACTCATGTGGCCAAGGCATGAGACTCACTTCAACCTAGAGGCGGAGGTTGCAGTGAGCCAAGATTGCACCACTGCACTCCAGCCTGGGCAACAGAGCAAGACTCTGTCTCAAAAAGAAAAGAAAATAGGCCGGGCGCAGTGGCTCACACCTGTAATTCCAGCACTTTGGGAGGTTGAGGCGGGCGGATCACGAGGTCAGGAGATCGAGACCATCCTCGCTAATACAGTGAAACCCCGTCTCTACTAAAAATACAAAAAATTAGCCGGGCATGGTGGTGGGCACCTGTAGTCCCAGCTACTCAGGAGGCTGAGGCAGGAGAAATGGCGTGAACCCAGGAGGCGGAGCTTGCAGGGAGCTGAGATCGAGCCACTGCACTCCAGCCTGGGCAACAGAGCAAGACTCCATCTCAAAAAAAAAAGTAAAGAAAAGAAGACACATCTCCCAACCTTTTATTTAGGTCTGGCAGAATTTTAGGGAGTGAATGATTTAGGTGAAGCAGGTAAATGGAAAATGTGATTGACAGCTATCTCTGATTCTAATTGGGCCAGCAGAGCTAGGAGGGCCATCTGGCAGAGCTTTTCCTTATGGGCCCAGTGGGGAGGGGGAATTTGGGACTCTCTTTGCCCTGTAGCTCTTGTGTCTAAGGTAATCCATTGTCGTCCTATTCCTTCTGCTCCATGTGTCTCAGAGAACTGGACCCCATCCTGACTGAGGTCACCCTGATGAATGCCCGCAGTGAGCTATACTTACGCTTCCTCAAGAAGAGGATTAGCTCTGATTTTGAGGTGGGAGACTCCATGGCCTCAGAGGAAGTAAAGCAAGGTAAAAACGTTTCCCATATTTTTGGGGAGGGTTGAGGTATAATTGGCAGTGTTTCTTAATAGTTAAGCCACAAATCTCTTATTAAGGAAACAATTGGAACTTATTAGCCCCTGGTGGTCTGTAGGCAAATTGACTCCCAGGAAGAAATCTAAATTTACTGGATTTTAGAATTGGACTAGATCTTTGAGGCCATCTAATCACTTTACAGATGAGGACACTGGTGCCCTGTTTTAAATTTTATGGGATATAAATTATACTTCAATGAAGTGTTCTTTTTTTGTTTTTAAAGAGTACATAGGCCAGGTACGGTGGCTCACATCTGTAATCCCAGCACTTTGGGAGACTGAGGCGGGTGGATTACCGGAGGTCAGGAGTTCGAGACCAGCCTGACCAATATGGTGAAACCCCATCTCTATTAAAAATACAAAAATTAGCTGAGCGTGGTGCAATACACCTGCAGTCCCAGCTACTCGGGAGGTTGAGACGGGAGAATTGCTTGAACCCTGGGGGGCATAGGGCCAAGATCACGCCACTGCACTCCAGCCTGGGTGACAGAGCCAGACTCTGTCTCAAAAAAAAAAAAAAAAAAAAAGAGTATATAATGTACAGGAATCCTCTCATCCCTCTCAGTCTCCCAGTTCCCCCAGTCACAATTTTTCAAGGAATAATTGACATTGATAAGAAAGGGGGCTGGGTGCAGTGGCTCACACCTGTAATCCCAACACTTTGGGAGGCTGAGGCAGGAGAATCGCTTGAGCTCAAGAGTTCAAGACCAGTCTGGGCAACATGACAAGACCCTGTCACTATATTAAAAGATAAAAATTTTGACTGGGTATGGTGGCTCACGCATAATCCCAAAACTTTGGGAGGCCGAGGAGGAAGGATGCTTGAGCCCAGGAGTTTGAGACCAGCCTGGTCAACATAGTGAAACCCCATCTCTAAAAAATTAAATTAAATTAAATTAAATAATAAAAGATAAACATTTAAAAAAATTTTTAGGTCGGGCGCGGTGGCTCACGCCTGTAATCCCAGCACTTTGGGAGGCCGAGGCAGGCGGATCACAAGGTCAGGAGATCAAGACCGTCCTGGCTAACGTGGTGAAACTCCGTCTCTACTAAAAATACAAAAAAATTAGCCGGGCGTGGTGGCGGGTGTCTGCAGTCCCAGCTACTCTGGAGGCTGAGGCAGGAGAATGGCGTGAACCCGGGAGGCGGAGCTTGCAGTGAGCCAAGATCGCGCCACTGCACTCCAGCCTGGGCGACAAGCGAGACTCTGTCTCAAAAATAAATAAATTGTTTAAAAGGCATGCCAGAGTCCAATTTCATTTACAGATTGACTCGCTAGGTTTTTAAGATGACCATTTAATTCCTGCTGGCTACTAAAGTAAGAATTAAAGGAAAAAAATTTAAAAAAATAAAAATCCTGCTGGGCAAATATATGCAGGGTTCTTTGGGCTGGGACTTGAGACCCACCCAGCATCTGTGGCATTCTGCATGGCTTGTGCCAATAATATGTGGCAGGGGCATTACAGAATCAGTGTATAAAGGAAATTGTGTGCTCATTTGGAGTTCGCTTGTCAATGTCAGTGATGACTATCACTTGATCTTAGCCAAAAGACTGAAAAGCAATAATGATGACTATCACTATTCAGAGCTGTGCTGCCCAATACGTAGCCATTCATGAATTCAAATTCAAATTCAAATTTAATTACAATTAAATAAAATTTTAAATTCATCTTTCTCAGCTGGATTCTGAGAAAAAAAAATTTAATAAAAAAAAAAATATTCAGTTCCTAAGTTATGTTCATCACATTTCAAGTGCTCAATCGCTAACATGGCTAATGGCTACTATATCAGATAACAGATACGGAATATTTTCTCTTTTCTTGTTGTTTGTTTATTTTTTGTAGAGACAGAGTATTGCTGTGTTGCCCAGGCTGGTCTCAAAACTCCTGGACCCAAGCGATCCTCGCGCCTTGGCCTCCCAAAGTGCTGGGATTACAGGTGTGAGCCACCACACCTGACCAGAATATTTTCATTATCACAGAAATTCTACTGGACAGTACTGGTGTAGAGAATGAAATATTCTATATCCAATATATTTTTATCTTTGCCATGGAAACTTACATCTTTTGACTCCTATTAATTAATCCTAAGGGAATAATGGAAAAGGAGTAAAAAGTTTTTCATACAAAAGTATTCACTATAATCTCCAATTATTGTGATATTCTGTTATCTCCAGTAATGGCAAAACATTTGGAAATAACCAGGTGTCTAAAAATAGAGTGGTTATTTTCTCAATTTCACATGAAACAACATGAAAGTTAAAAATAAGGCCGGGCATGGTGGCTCACGCCTGTAATCCCAGCAATTTGGGAGGCTGAGGCAGGCGGATCACCTAAGGTCAGGAGTTCAAGACCAACCTCAACATGGAGAAACCCTGTCTCTACTAAAAATACAAAATTTGCCGGGCGTGGTGGTGCATGCCTGTAATCCCAGCTACTCGGGAGGCTGAGGCAGGAGAATTGTTTGAACCTGGGAGGCAGGGGTTGCGGTGAGCCAAGATCACGCCATTGCACTCCAGCCTGGGCAACAAGAGTGAAACTCCGTCTCAAAAAAAAAAAATAGTTAAAAATAAAAAAAGTAGTTTTTAAAATGTGGATTATGCACCTGATGAAATGCCACATAGTCATGAAAAATAAGGTAGGTGAAAACATGGAAAATATTTATGATATACTTTTTTAAAACAGAATTCAAAATTGCTATCTGTATCATGATTGTAACGATGTAAAATATGTACATATTTCAAAGAAAGACTATAAAGGAACCTGAAAAAATGAAAAAAGTTGCTCTGTTTCCCTTGGGGAAAAAAAATGAGTATTCCTTTCTTGGCTGTCCCCTAGAGCACCAGAAGTGTCTGGACAAACTCCTCAATAACTGCCTTTTGAGCTGTACCATGCAGGAGCTAATTGGCTTATATGTTACCATGGAGGAGTACTTCATGAGGGAGACTGTCAATAAGGTAGGACATAGGACGCATCTCTTGGAAATGGGGCTTCCGGTCCAAGAAGCCAGGCTGAGGGAAATGGCTGAGGCATGTCATATTTATTGGTCCTGCTTTGAGAATACTCTTGCATGCAGATTGAGTGGTACCACTTTGTATGTTTAGAGAGCATCTTTGGAGTCGTTGTGTTCTTTGTATACCCAGCTAGGACTTCCTTCCCAAGAATTAAAAAAGAACAGCTCAGCTCAGCTCTTCAGGGAGCCCACTTGTTCCCTACCTCCCTGAAGGTTTGTGGGTAAGGAGCCTCAGGGAAGTAGGGCCCCTGCAGATATCTTACACTCCCCAGGTAATGGATCTCTGCAGGGCTAAGGCCCGAAATATTTAATTTGTTCACCTAGTGATCAATAGGGAAGTAAGCTATTTTGACAAGGAGGATGCACGCCATGTTGGGAGAAACATGGACAAGGTACAGAAAAGGGAGCAGAGCTAGGGCCAGTGTACCCAGAATCATCTAGAACATGACATGCACAACTGGGACCCTCAGTGTTGGCTTTGCCTTTTGGGTAGGCTGTGGCTCTGGACACCTATGAGAAGGGCCAGCTGACATCCAGCATGGTGGATGATGTCTTCTACATTGTTAAGAAGTGCATTGGGCGGGCTCTGTCCAGCTCCAGCATTGACTGTCTCTGTGCCATGATCAACCTCGCCACCACAGAGCTGGAGTCTGACTTCAGGTACAGTTGACTCCCTTTCTCCTTTCTAGGCAGAAAGGCCCTTCCTGTTGATTCCTGAGGCCCATTTGTTTCTGCCCTTTGTCCTCATGATTCTAGTTAAGTTCTATACAGGACATCAGCTCCTATCCCTAAGATAGTATCCTTGGCTCCAGGAAGCTGTTGGTCAGCCATATATCTCATGGGCCAAATTTCTGTTCCCTGGACTAGACTGAAGGAGCTATGGGCCCTTAGACGTAGGAAAGAGAACAGGCAGTTCAGATGAATAATACCACCAATAGGTACCATTGCTACAGGCCCAGCACTATGCTAATCTCCTGCGCTTTTGAGGTCCTAATAACAACCCTATGAAGTAGGAACTGTTAGCTCTGTTTTATAGATGAAGAAACTGTGCTTTAGGGAGATTCCGTCCTCGTCAAAGATCCACCACTTAGGAGTCAGTGGTGGAATCCAGAACTGAGTGACTCAAAACCTGTTCTCAACTCCTACATGGTACTGCGTTCACTAAGCCGCACAGCTTTGTTGGGAGTGCAGTGGTGATGGCTAAAAGCCTCATGAACAGTAGAGATTGGCCAGTCTCCCCTGTATGTTCTTGTCACATCAGTGTCCTTGACGGGGTGCTGGTTACTTTCATACCCTGGCTCCTCAGGTCTCCTACAGTGGTCTTAAGGACTGGTTATTCCCCCTAAAAGAGCACCTTGTGCTGCTGGGTCAGAGTGGTGAAGACTGGCCCTTCTGTCCTGGTGGCCAAGTTGAGCACTGTCAATTCCTCTATGCAATCCTGCCCCCCAGGGATGTTCTGTGTAATAAGCTGCGGATGGGCTTTCCTGCCACCACCTTCCAGGACATCCAGCGCGGGGTGACAAGTGCCGTGAACATCATGCACAGCAGCCTCCAGCAAGGCAAATTTGACACAAAAGGCATCGAGAGTACTGACGAGGCGAAGATGTCCTTCCTGGTAGGTACCCCACAGCTCACGAGCTGGGTTGGTTTATCTCGAGAGGTTACGCTATCACTGCTAAGCCACAGTATAATTGGCCTCTAGCTAGAGACTTTTCCTCCAGTGTCTATATAGAAGGAAAATTCCTCCTTTAAGGGAATTTCCTCCCAGAAGGTTCTGAAACTATTTCTTACTCAGGGACATATTCTGAGTCACCTGAGCCACGATAGAGGCTGGGCTGTCCAGCTGTCACCTAGAATTCATTCCCCAGAGCACTGGCCAGCTGCTCAGGAGCCCACTGAGTGCCAAGCTTGGCTTGCATCTGCCACAGAACCAGCTCTACCATCTGTGCCAGACCACCAGACTGCTTCTCTGAGGAGAGGCCCGCAGCATGGGCAGGCGCCAGTCCTTCGGGCCTGCCATCACTGCTCTGCTAGTACATGTCTTAGGCTTTCAACTTCCTCTGGAAAGGAGGCTTTATTAAAGCCCTTTGCTACCCAGAATGACAGATGTGATAAAGCAGCAAGCCTTCCATTGTGTGACAGCTTGGAAAGGAGGAGCACAGAAGGATGAAAGGATTTGTACAAAGCAACAACCAGTTTGTGATGAGCCAGAAAGACCACAGATGAATCCTAAGCTCAAGATCAGGCCTCTCTGGCACACGCTGTCTTAGCACGCATGGGAGTAGCACAGTCCGAGGTCCATTCTGCTCCATCCCCCACATTGGCCGCACCCTGAGTCTTGACTCCTGAGGCTCAGAGCCTGAAAGAAACATCTAGTAGCATCTGTAGCCCACAAGTGGGGTTGGACGCAAAAATGTTCACATGCATTTTTGGGTCACAGGGTCCTTCCTTAGCTTTTATCAGATTCTTTTTTTTTTTTTTTTGAGATGGAGTCTTGCTCTTGTTCCCCAGGCTGGAGTGCAATGGCATGACCTTGGCTCACTGCAACCTCCGCCTCACAGGTTCAAGCGATTCTCCTGCTTTAGCCTCCCGAGTAGCTGGGATTACAGGCATGCGCCACCATACCTGGCTAATTTTTTTTTTTTTTTTTTTAGTAAAGACTGGGTTTTGCCATGTTGGCCAGGCTGGTCTCGAACTTCTGACCTCAAGTGATCCACCCGTCTTGGCCTCCCAAAGTGTTGGGATTACAGGCATGAGCTACCGTGCCTGGTTATCATATTCTTAAAAGGATCTGTGACCCCCAAAAGAGTTCAGAGCTGTTACTTGCAGAGAGAGAAGCCTAAACTTGCTAATATCTACCAAGCCCTGTGCAGAGGAACCCATAGTAACTAGTTATGAGACAGATCCAATGTGAAAGCTGTTTAGGCAGCCCCACTCTCTTCCTGTCATAGAAAATATTTGCCCTGTGTATGGTTTCTGTCAATCTAGGATATCATGGTTGCTGCCAAAAAAAGATCAGATCCAAAAAACTGTTGCCTGTGAAAGTTGTTACCTTTGGAGAACTTTGCCAAAATGCCCAGCAACCAGCATCACATCATGAACCAACTTAAATTTTTATTTTGTTTGTGATTTTTTTTACAGAACTTACTTTCATTTCTGTGCTCAGAAATAATCATTGGCTGCTTGCTGCCTACCACATCAAAGCTAGATGTCTTTGTTTAAGCCTCCTAACTCTAACCCATACCACCTTTCCAGTTCCGTTTTCCACCACTTGACTACATGTCTCCAAAACCGGCCAGTGCATATTCGCTCTGTGAGGACCTCCCATTAACACAGTTTCATTGTTTGAGGCCCCAGAAGATAAGACCAAAAAGAGAGGCGATGCTAAATGCTTGGTGACAGGTTTCTGGTTTTCCTGACACCAAGTATTTAAAATGTCATCACTCCCATTGCAGGGCCTATTTTTTATGTCACCTTGATTCATTTGGCTGTCTAGATGAATTCTCCAAATTTACTGACATCATGCACTGTGGGCAGGGAATAAACCCAGTGAATCCACGCTTACTAGGGCTGTCAGTACAGGGGAAACTTTGAAATCAATACCATTTGAACTCAAATCCAGAAGTCCTCATGACAGTTATTCTTGGTGCTCTTAAATGCCTTGGAAACACTTATGGCCTTCATCCTTCAGCTGTCAGGACAGGACAGTTATTTGGAAACTTGTGACATTAGAGGCCTCATGTTGTGGCATATTAAAGAAAGACCTTTAGGCTTATCTGTCCACAATCAGAGTGGCCTAAGCAGCACTGTCAGCATCATGACTTTCAGCACTGGCTGCAGGACACCGACAAGGGAAGCACTCTGGGCAAGATGAGAGGGACTTCCTAATCACAGCCCCTGGGGTTCTGAGATCCTCCTTTTACCCTGAAATCCTGAAGCTCCTGACTCATGTCTCGAAGACTGGCTCCTCCTTACCTCACCCCTGCCTTCCTCATCATGCCACCAGCAGACCAGTTTACAGGCAGTGGGATCCCCAGGCCCTCTATTTCCTCCCTCCCACGGCCTCTAGATGAGTATTCCTGAACCACAGCTGTGCTCATGTGGCATTCACCTGCTTTAAAAATCCTCAGTGCCAGCCCACTGTCCACAGGTCACAGGGCTAACTCTGCAGCAGAGCACCCAAGTCCCCGTCAGTCTCTGCCCCTCGCAGCTCTACCTCCTGCCACTTCCCTGCACGTGTCTGTGAACTGACTCTGCTATTTCTCAAATACCTTTTTGGGTTTTGTGCCATTCTGCACTTGCTTATATTATCCCCTTTCCAGAATATGTTCATTCACTCTCTTACTCATTGCACAAATATTTATTGAGAAACTTCTAAATATCAGGCACTGTTCTGGGTTCTAGAGCTACACTGCCCAACATGGTAGTCACCAGCCACAGGTGGCTATTGAAATTTACATTTAAATTAAAAATCCACTTCCTGAGTTGTACTAGCTATGCTTCAGGTGCTCAATAGCCACACATGGCTGAGGGCTACCATACCAGACAGTGCAGTTAGAATATTTCCATCAAGCAGAAAGGTAGACAGTGCTGTATAGAGACGCAGTGGTGAAGAAAACAGGCTAGATCCATGCAGACAAGAAATAGATAAACCAGAGAATGTCAGGAAATCCTAAGGACCATTAAGAAAATATCAAATAGGACAGTGAGCTGGAGAGAGGCTGCTGGGGGTGGAGAAATGTTCTCACCTTCATCTCCTGTCAGAATTATGTTCTACCCTTTTATGTTCAGCTCAGCTACCAACCCTGTCATGGAACCTTCCTTGAATGCCTTACACCGAAACAGTTTGTTCTTTCCTCTGAATGGCCAGAGCAATTAGTGCCTTAATAATTTTGCCCCATGCTACTTTTTTTTTTGGAGATGGAGTTTCGTTCTTGTTGCCCCAGCTGGGGTGCAATGGCGCGATCTTGGCTCACTGCAACCTCCGCCTCATAGGTTCAAGCGATTCTCCTGCCTCAGCCCCCCAAGTAGCTGGGATTACAGGCACCTGCCACCACACCCGACTAATTTTTGTATTTTTAGTAGAGACGGGGTTTTGCCATGTTGGCCAGGATGGTCTCGAACTCCTGACCTCAGGTGATCCACCCGTCTCAGCCTCCCAAAGTGCTGGGATTACAGGTGTGAGCCACCGTGCCCATGCTACCTTTTTTTTTTTTTTTGAGACGGAGTTTTGCTGTTGTTGCACAGGCTGGAGTGCAATGGCGCGATCTTGGCTCACTGCAACCTCTGCCCGCTGGGTTCAAGTGATTCTTCTGTCTCAGCCTCCCAAGTAGCTGGGATTACAGGCATGCACCACCACGCCCGGCTAATTTTGTATTTTTTTTAGTAGAGACGGGGTTTCTCCATGTTGGTCAGGCTAGTCCCGAACTCCCAACCTCAGGTGATCTGCCCGCATCGGCCTCCCAAACTGCTGTGATTACAGGCATGAGCCACTGCGCCTGGCCTCCATGCTACTTTTATCATTGGTATTTCTGCACCTAGTCTGTAAGACAGTCGTGTTATGAAAAAAGTCATCTTTGGACCAGAGTAGGGAGACCTGAATTCATTTTTTTAGTTTATTTGTTTATTATAAAGGATATTATATAGGATACAGATGAAGAGATGAATAGGGCAAATTATGGGGGAAGGGGTATGGAGCTTCCATGCCCTCCCCAGGTGGCCACTGTCCAGGAACCTCCACCTGTTTATCCATCTGGAAGCTCAGAGACCCGAATTCTAAGCCTGGCTCCAGCTTTGTGGCCTTGTCACTCTGAGTGTCTGTCCCTTTTCCTGCTTTATTATTCTTCCTGGCATTATATAATGCATTTGTTTACTATCTGGCTTCCCTTCTGGAATGTCAGCTCTGTGAGGAGTGGACCATGTCTTTTTTGTTAATTGCTTTCTCTCAGTGCCTAGAACTGTGCCTGGCACATCCAGGTGCTCAGTAAATATTTGCTGAATCAGTTGCTGTCAGACCTTCGTGAATCATTTTACTTTTTTTTTTTTTTTTTTTTTTTGAGACGTAGTTTTGTTCTTGTCACCGAGGCTAGAGTGCAGTGGCGTGATCTCAGCTCACTGCAACCTACGCCTCCCAAGTTCAAGCAATTCTCCTGCCTCAGCCTCCCGAGTAGCTGGGATTACAGGCACCCGCCACCACGCCTGGCTAATTTTTTGTATTTTTAGTAGAGACGGGGTTTCGCCATGTTGGGCAGGCTGGTCTCAAACTCCTGACCTCTTGATCCACCTGCTTCGGCCTCCCAAAGTGCTGGGATTACAGGCATGAGCTACCCTGCCCCAGCTTTTTTTTTTTTTTTTTTTTTTGAGACAGAGTCTTGCTCTGTCATACAGGCTGGAGTGCAGTGACACAATTTCAGCTCACTGCAACCTCTCATCTCCCAGGTTCAAGCGATTCTCCTGCCTCAGCCTCCTGGTAGCTGGGTCTACAGATGTGCACCACCACGCCTGGCTAATTTTTTTGTGTGTATTTTTATTAGAGACAGGGTTTCACCATGTTGGCCAGGCTGTTCTTGAACTCCTGACCTCAGGTGATCCACCCGCCTTGGCCTTCCAAAGTGCTGGGATTACAGGCGTGAGCCACCGTGCCTGGCCAAATCATTTTACCTTCTGAGGAGTCTCATTTCCTCCCGTGCACTGGGCTTGATAATACGTGTTCTATGGGGGTATTTAGCAGACTCCATGAGATAAAGAATGAGAAAATACCTCATAGGTGGCAGGCTCTCTGGAAGCTTTTCTTTAATGAATGTCAGGCTTTGTATCACTGACCTGGGGCTTGACCGTTTGGAGCCTCAGAACTTATCCTGGACCTGTATGCCTGAGTCATTTCTGCTCTGTAGGTAACACAGTACAAGAAGACCTGAAACCTCGCCGGGCGCAGTGGCTCACGCCTGTAATCCCAGCACTTTGGGAGGCCGAGGTGGGCAGATCATGAGGTCAGGAGATCAAGACCATCCTGGCTAACATGGTGAAACCCCGTCTCTACTAAAAATACAAAAAATTAGCCTGGCGTAGTGGCGGGCGCCTGTTGTCCCAGCTACTCGGGTGGCTGAGGCAGGAGAATGGCATGAACCCGGGAGGCAGAGCTTGCAGTCCAGCCTGGGTGACAGAGCCAGACTCCATCTCAAAAAAACAAAAAAACAAACAAAAAAAGAAGACCTGAAACCTGAGCTCACTACCTCTGAGGTCCTGATAGCTTTAGGCTCCCTGTCATCAGGCACAGAAGAAAGGGCGAGCCTGCTTCCCCATTCTGCCCAATCCAAGATCTGAGCGTCCTGCTCAGATGTAGCAGTGTGGGTTTTCATTAGCGCAAGTCTGAACTCCAGCCAGCCCTTCTCTGAGCTTCATGGAGCACAGCTGTCAGCCAGTCTGGCATTGGAGTGGGTGGCAGGCACAGTCAGCAGGAAGTCACGTTCTTCCTTCCTCATCTCCCAGGTGACTCTGAACAACGTGGAAGTCTGCAGTGAAAACATCTCCACTCTGAAGAAGACACTGGAGGTACGAGGGAAATTGCCTATCAGTGGTCAGCAGCCATCTTTTCCCATGTTGAGATAGAGCCCTATACAAACATCATGGTGAAGACACTTATCTTGGTGACATTGAGCCACACTTGAGGGGATTCTTTGGTGACTGACATGATAGCAAGGCATCCTTGGACCAGGGAGAAAAGCTCAGGAGTTGGAAGATCAGAATTCAAATTAGATCTTCCAGGCAAGGCACGGTGGCACATTCCTGTAATCCCAGCACTTTCGGAGGCCAAGGCGGGTGGATCACTTGAGGTCAGGAGTTCGAGACCAGCCTAGCCAACATGGCGAAACCCCATCTCTACTAAAAATACAAAAATTAGCTGGGCATGGTGGCAGACACCTGTAATCCCAGCTGCTTGGGAAACTGAGGCAGGAGAATCACTTGAACCCGGGAGGCAGAGGTTGCAGTGAGCTGAGATCGTGCCACTGCACTCCAGCCTGGGCGACAGAGCAGACTCTATCTCAAAATAACACACAAATTAGATCTTCCAGCACATAGTTGGCGTGTGACCTTGGACAAGTCCCTTAGCCCTCTGAGCCTCAGTCCTCTCATCTACGAAATGAGATGCATAGCTCCATCCAGCCCTAGCTTGTGTTTCTTGGGTAGCCTAATGAAAAAACAGGATTGAGGCCAAGTGGCTCATACCTGTAAGCTTAACATTTTGGGAGGCCAAGGCAGGAGGATTACTTGAGGCCAGGAGTTTGAGACCAGCCTGGGCAATGTGGTGAGACCTCATCTCTACAAAAAAAAAAAAAACTTTTTTTTTTTTTAAATCAGGATCAAGGCCAGGTGAGGTGGCTCATGCCTGTAATCCTAACACTTTGGGAGGCTGAGGCGGGTGGATCATGAGGTCAGGACTTCAAGACCAGCCTGGCCAAGATGGTGAAACCCCATCTCTACTAAAAATACAAAAAATGAGCCAGCCATGGTGGCAGGCGCCTGTAATCCCAGCTACTCGGGAGGCTGAGGCAGAGAACTGCTTGAACCTGGGAGGCAGAGGTTGCAGTGAGCCGAGATCACGCCACTGCACTCCAGCCTGGGCGACAGAGGGAGATTCTGTCTCAAAAAAAAAAAAAAAATCAGGATCAAAAGCACCTTATAAAAATGACAAATCCCTGTATAAATGTAGGAGATTAAGATAAGGTTTGCCTAATCCTATACAAAGCTAGTAGCTGTTATTTTTAGAGGAAGGAAGCAGAGTATAGTGGAAATTGCTTGGGCTTTGAAGCCAGATACCCCAAGTTCAAATCTTCACTTGACCACTGCCCAGCTGTGTGACCTTAGGCAAAAGTTCTGTAACCTCAGTCTTGTCATTCATAAAGCAGGGATAATGACCTCTGTGCCACATGACTGTTATGAGAGGAATGTGGTAATATGAACCACTTAGTACATGAGAGGCATGCAGTGGTACTTATTAGTTGTATTAACAGTTAAAAATAACAGTAGCTGGGCCGGGTGTGGTGGCTCATGCCTATAATCCCAGCACTTTGGGAGGCCGAGGCAGGTGGATCACCTGAGGTCAGGAATTCGAGACCGGTCTGGCCAACATGATGAAACCCTGTCTCTACTAAAAATACAAAAAAAATTAGCTGGGTGTGGTGGCATGTGCCCATAATCCCAGCTACTCGGGAGGCTGAGGCAGGAGAATTGTTTGAACCCCGGAGGTGGAGGTTGCAGTGAGCCGAGATTGCGTCACTGCACTCCAGCCTGGGCAACAAGAGCGAAACTCCATCTCAAAATAACAATAGCTGGGTGGCTCGTGCCTGTAGTCTCAGCTACTTGGGACCCTGAGTCAGGAGGATTGCTTGAGGCCAGGAGTTCGAGGCCAGCCTGGGCAACATAATGAGACCCCATCACTTAAAAAGCAATAATAGGCTGGGCGCAGTGGCTCACGCCTATAATCCCAGCACTTTGGGAGGCCAAGGCAGGTGGATCACAAGATCAGGCATTCAAGCCTGGCCAAGATGGTGAAGTCCTGTCTCTACTAAAAATACAAAAATTAGCTGGGCATGGTGGCGGGCGCCTGTAATACCAGCTACTCAGGAGGCTGAGGCAGGAGAATTGCTTGAACCCAGGAGGCGGAGGTTGCAGTGAGTCGAGATCACGCCACTTCACTCTAGCCTGGGCAACAGAGAAAGACTCCATCTCAAAAGAAAAAAAAAAGGTAAAAATAATAGCCAGGTGTGGTGGCTCACACCTATAACCCCAGCACTTTGGGATGCCAAGGCGGGAGGATTACCTGAGGTCAGGAGTTTGAGACCAGCCTGGCAAACATAGTGAAACCCCATCTCTACTAAAAATACAAAAATTAGCCGGTTGTGGTGGTGCACACCTGTAATCCTGGCTACTCAGGAAGCTGAGACAGGAGAATCGCTTGAACCTGGGAGGCAGAGGTTGCAGCAAGCCGAGATCGTGCACCTGCACTCCAGCCTAGGCAACAGAGTAAGACTCCGTCTCAAAAAAACATAAAAAAAAAAGTAAAAATAGTAAAAATAAATTTAAAATTAACAAAATAAAAATAACAGCATGGAGGGATCACTTTGTGAACTATTGGAAAATGAGGGGGGCCCAGTTCTTCCCCACTCCCAAACTCAGCCTCTGGGAAAGAAGTGAGGCCAGGGCCCTGCCTCCACAGTGAACACTTGTACAACATAACATAGTATCTGTCACATCGTATGTGTTCAACAAGTTGGCTGTCATCATTGTTGGTTTTTTTTTGAGACGGAGTCTCGCTCTGTCGCCCAGGCTAGAGTGCAATGGCGCGATCTCAGCTCACTGCAACTTCTGTGATTCTCCTGCCTCAGGCTCTGGAGTAGCTGGGATTATAAGCACCTGCCACCACGCCCAGCTAATTTTTGTATTTTTAGTAGGGATGGGGTTTTGCCATGTTGGCCAGGCTGGTCTCGAACTCCTGGCCTCAAGTGATCCACCCGCCTTGGCATCCCGAAGTGCTGGGATTACAGGCATGAACCACCTCGCCTGGCCTTGTCTTTTTTTTTTTTTATTTTTATTTTTTTATTTTTTGAGACCGATTCTCACTCTGTTGCCCAGGCTGTAGTGCAGTGGCATGATCTTGGCTCACTGCAACCTCTGCGATTCTCCTGCCTCAGCTTCCTAAGTTGCTGGGATTACAGGCACCTGACACCATGCCCAGCTGATTTTTGTATTTTTAGTAGAAACGAGGTTTCACCATGCTGTCTAGGCTGGTCTCAAATTCCCGACCTCAGGCGATCCGCCCACCTCAGCCTCCCATAGTGCTGGGATTACAGGTGTGAGCCACCATGCCTGACTTTTTTTTTTTTTTGAGATGAAGTTTCGCTCTTGTTGCCCAGGCTGGAGTGCAGTGGCGCAGTCTCGGCTTACTGCAACCTCCACCTCCCGGATTCAAGCGATTCTCCTGCCTCAGCTCCCAAGTAGCTGAGACTACAGGTGTGCGCCACCACACCTAGCTAATTTTTGTATTTTTTAGTAGAGACAGGGTTTCACCATTTTGGCCAGGATGGTCTTGATCTCTTCACCTCGTGATCTGCCCGCCTCGGCCTCCCAAAGTGCTGGGATTACAGGCGTGAGCCACGGCGCCCGGCCGACATCATTGTTTGTAAGTCATGGCACTTTAGACTATTTCTGACCTCATCCTTAACATGAGTCTGTTGGGTTTTGGAAGTAAAATTTGGGGAAATATTAGAAATTCATAAGTGAGCTGGTAGAATTAGCCAAGTAAAATAGCTGAAAAACCTATTCCCGTAAATCCCAGCTGCCCTTAGATTTGCATTTCACAGATGTTCTTTCTTAGCCCCATCAGCAGCCCTTTGAGATAGGCAGATCAGGTGGCATGACGTTCAGCTTACAGGGAAGGTTACAAGACTACTCAAAGACAGTAAGTGTCAGGAATACTGTGGGAGTGAAGGGCCTTTGTCTGCTAGGAGAGTCCCTCTTAGTTCTTCCACTCTGCTTCCCCTCTGGAGCCAAAACAGCATGAACTTTCTAAGAAGGCTACGAGCAATGCGGCAGCTCCTGGCAACCCAAAACATGAGTTTCAGGCAGTTCCCCCTGGAGAGGTCTCTACACCTACGCTGTAGTGTGGTGATTAGAAACAGGCATTCTGGGCTGGGCGCGGTGGCTCACGCCTGTAATCCTAGCACTTTGGGAGGCCAAGGCGGGCGGATCACAAGGTCAGGAGATCGAGACCATCCTGGCTAACACGGTGAAACCCCATCTCTACTAAAAATACAAAAAATTAGCAGAGCGTGGTGGTGGGCGCCTGTAGTCCCAGCTACTTGGGAGACTGAGGCAGGAGAATGGCGTGAACCCAGGAGGCGGAGCTTGCAGTGAACCGAGATCAAGCCACTGCACTCCAGCCTGGGTTATAGAGCAAGACTCCGTCTCAAAAGAAAAAAAAAAAGACAGGCATTCTGGGCCGTACACGGTGGTTCACGCCTGTAATCTCAGCACTTTGGGAGGCTCAGGCGGGCAGATCACCTGCAGTCAGGAGTTCAAGACCAGCCTGGCCAACATGGTGAAACCCCATCTCTACAAAAATACAATAATTAGCTGGGCATGATGGTGGGTGCCCGTAATCCCAGCTACTCCGGAGGCTGAGGTGGGAGAGTCACTTGAACCCGGGAGACAGAGGTTGCAGTCAGCCAAGATCATGTCGTTGCACTCCAGCCTGGGTGACACAGCAAGACTCTGTCTCAAAAAAAAAAAAAAAACAAAAAAAACAGGATTTTTGGAGTCAGAATACCTGGCCTAGAGTCCCAGCTCCATGATTTATCTATGTTAAAAGACAGGGTCTCTGCCAGGCGCGATGGCTCACACCTGTAAATCCAGCACTTTGGGAGGCTGAGGCGGGTGGATCACCTGAGGTCAGGAGTTCGAGACCAGCCTGGCCAACATGGTGAAACCCTGTCTCTACTAAAAATAGAAAAATTAGTTGGGTGTGGTGGCAGGCGCCTGTAGTCCCAGCTACTCGGGAGGCTGAGGCACGAGAATCGCTTGAACCCAGGAGGCGGAGGTTGCAGTGAGCCGAGATCATGCCACTGCACTCCAGCCAGGGCGACAGAGTGAGACTGTCTCAAAAAAAAAAAAAAAAAAGAGAGACAGGGTCTCACTTTGTTGCCCAGGCTGGTCTTGAACTCCTGGGCTCCAGCAATCCTCCTACCTTGGCCTCACAAAGTCCTAGGATTACAATAGTGAGCCACCATGCTCAGCCTTTCCTGACTTATTGCCATGGCTTTGAATAAATTATTAACTTCTGTGCCTCAGTTTTCTCATCTGTACAATGGGGATAATAATTTTACCTATTTCATAAAGGAGATACTTTTTTTTATGAAGGTCAAAGTAACTTACAATAGTTGTGGGGGTTTTTTGGTTTTCATTTTGTTTTGTTTTTAAGTAGAATAGGTACTTTGTTCTCACTCTGCTGCCCGGGCTGGAGTGCAGTGGCAGTCATAGCTCTCTGCAACCTTGAACCCTTGGGCTCAAGGGATCCTCTCGCCTCAGCCTCCTGAGTAGCTAGGGATGCAGGGGCGCACCACTACATCCAGCTAATTCTTTAATTTTCTGTGGAGACGGCTTCTCACTATGTTTCCCTGCTGTTCTTAAACTCTGGCCGCAAGTGGTCCTTGCACCTTGGCCTCCCAAAGTGCTAGAATTACCCGCATGAGCCACCTCGCCCAGCCTGGTACTTTAATAAAAGTGAAATGCTTAGAACAAAGCCAGGTATACAGTACGCCCTTAAACCTTAGCTATGATCTTGACCATCCCCTTTGGTAGCCATACCAAAATATTTAAGAAGCAGAAACTGACTTTTGTGGTTTTTTGGTAAATTTAAATAAAATTTAAGAAGAAGTAAATAAATATAAAAGGGGGGGAAAGGAGGAACTATAGCAATAATAGCTAGTGTCTCCTGTGCCAGGCATTGAGCTAGGCACGTTGTGCTTCATCTCATACATGAGGAGCAGGAATTGGTGTTCCCATTTTATAGACAGGAAAATTGAAGCTCAGAAACTTTAAATCATTTGCCCAAGGTCACTCAACTAATACATGACTGAGCCAGGACTTGAACCTAGGAATGTCTGACTCTAAAGACAGGAAAAACTTTCTGGTATTTCTGTTTCTTACTCACTTCCCCGACATTGGTACCCCCATATTACAGAGGGGGAAGTGGGAGCCAAGTGGATAACCACCAGGATAGAATCCAGGTTTTCTGAAACCCATCCGGGCTCTTGACAGGCCATAGCTGGCTGGAGGAGTAGAACTGGCTGGTGGCTCCTCACACTCCCATGGCCCACGCGTGCTCGGTGGTCTTACAGCAGTGTTCTCCCCTAGAGTGACTGCACCAAGCTCTTCAGCCAGGGCATTGGAGGGGAGCAGGCCCAGGCCAAGTTTGACAGCTGCCTTTCTGACTTGGCCGCCGTGTCCAACAAATTCCGAGACCTCTTGCAGGTAAGCCCCAGGTTCAACTGCTGACTGAATCCTGTGCCTGTGTGTTGCTCTGAGAAGATTGTTAGCTGGCTCATCGTGTGCAAGGAAGCCAGGAGGACGGGTGAGGGAGCAGCACGCAAGCCCTGGAGCCTGGAGTTGTGCAGGTCCCTTGAGACTAAAGGCCCTGTTGGTTTCTCAGCAGTGAAGTTGTCACACTGACAAGCCAACATCTGGTGCTCTAGACTTTGCACTTGGCCCCACAATGACAAGAGCTCTCAGAAGATGCTCAGAGGAAGTGGAGCCACATGGTTGTTCTGACCTAGCCGCAGGTGCTGCCTAACATTGAGCATTCTGAAATCTCTTGTGAGAGTTTATCAGAACAGTCTCAAGGCCTCATCGTTACCCTGGACCTGAATCAGCTGAGATCTGGAAAGGGGCATGTTCCTGGCTCCTCCTTTCATTAGCACTAGCTCTGTTATAACCTCCAACAGGGCCTGCAGAAAGCCTCAGGGCTGGAAGAACGCCCTGCAGTCAAGGGATGGGGAGAGGAGAGAGGGAAGGGATGGGGAGAGGAGAGGAGGATGGGGTGGGGAGAGGAGAGAAGGAAGGGATGGGGAGAGGAGAAGGGGATGCGGTGGGGAGAGGAGAGAGGGAAGGGGTGGGGAGATGAGAGGGATGGGGTGGGGAGAGGAGAGAGGGAAGGGGTGGGGAGAGGAGAGAGGGAAGGGGTGGGGAGACGAGAGAGGGATGTGGTGGGGAGAGGAGAGAGGGATGGGGTAGGGAGAAAAGAGGGATGGGGTGGGGAGAAGAGAGGGAAGGAGTGGGGAGAGGAGAGGGAAGGGGTGGGGAGAGGAGAGGGAAGGGGTAGGGAGAGGAGAGGGAAGGGGTGGGGAGAGGAGAGAAGGAAGAAATGGGGAGAGGAGAGAAGGAAGGGATGGGGAGAGGAGAGGAAAGGGATGGGGAGAGGATAGAGGGAAGGGATGGGGAGAAGAGAGAGGGAAGGGATGAGTCGTGCCTTCTGTGTCACATGTCTCCACCTTGTCCTTGTGCAGGAAGGGCTGACGGAGCTCAACAGCACAGCCATCAAGCCACAGGTGCAGCCTTGGATCAACAGCTTTTTCTCCGTCTCCCACAACATCGAGGAGGTTAGCCTGGCCACAGGCAGCCATCAAGCCCCGATGACCCCTCATCCCTAGCCCCAGCTAGAGGGAGCAGAGCCATCTGAACAGACTAGACCTTCCATGCTTCCCAGGCCCACTTCCCCCACCCTGACCCATGAAGACTAGGTTCCTCCCAGGAAACAGTTTGTCCCTAGTCAGAAGGGCTCAGAAAGACATGGAGTTTGCCTTGACCTAACTTATTCCCTTATTGGAGCTCTTTTTGCCCCGCCTATGATAGACTTAGAAGCGTTTTTTTCCTCCTGGCGTAGTGATTTCATTCCTGTAGAACAAGAGATCCAAGAAGGAATAAAATGCCAGGAACTTTACCATGTTATGTGGGCCACTGCTACAGCCCTGGGCTGTTTGCTGGTCAGTTTCTGCCAGCCTGGGTGTCTGAGCTGGTTTTAAACTAGATGAGTCAGAAGGCACAGGGAAGGAAGAATGTTTTACATTATTTTCTTAGAGGGATAGAGGTGGGTGGCAATGAATGGTACTTCTTATGAGGCCCATGGTGACCAGCCCTGCTTCCTGACAACAGGAAGAATTCAATGACTATGAGGCCAACGACCCTTGGGTACAACAGTTCATCCTTAACCTGGAGCAGCAAATGGCAGAGTTCAAGGTGAGCAGGGGCCCTAGGGATCCACTTAGGGAATTACCCACGTCAGCCCAAACCAGCAGCCTGCAGGGTCTCATCACATTCCTTCTGGGGACCCTGAAAGCCCTTCCAACCCTCACCTGTAGAAACTCCCCCGTGGCCTCACGCTACTATCCTCACCACCTAAGACTCCAGCATAGAGGCAGAGGAGTTAGGTGGGGCTCGGCTGATGTCAACCCTCTGTGTGCAGGCCAGCCTGTCCCCGGTCATCTACGACAGCCTAACCGGCCTCATGACTAGCCTTGTTGCCGTCGAGTTGGAGAAAGTGGTGCTGAAATCCACCTTTAACCGGGTAAGGTAAAGGGGTCATGGGTCTGCGGCTCTCGTTTCTCCTCTGAGGAAGACATGTCATGCCACCACCCCCAGGACTTGCATCCCCTCTGTCTGCTGCCCACAGGCCCTGCATGTCTGGGTCCAGTCCTGCTCTGGCTTCTGAAGCCGTAGAGCAAACAAACCACAGGGCACCACCTGAGGCCTGGCGGGCCTTGCCACCCAGCTCTGGGGGCAACTGGAGGCCAGTTCTGCTTGGCCAGGCCTAAGTAGTGACTGGGCTTGGGTTCTCCTGCAGCTGGGTGGTCTGCAGTTTGACAAGGAGCTGAGGTCGCTCATTGCCTACCTTACCACGGTGACCACCTGGACCATCCGAGACAAGTTTGCCCGGCTCTCCCAGATGGCCACCATCCTCAATCTGGAGCGGGTAGGTGGGGCACCCTTGGCCCAGCCAGGGAGGGGTGACTGAAAGAGGCAAAGATGGATCCCCGCCACTTCCCTCTAAACCATGTCTGCCAGCAGCCAGCTCTATAGGACACCTTCCCCTTCCCGGGTGCCCCTGCTCTGCCCCTGGTAGAGGCCAGAGCCCTCTTTCAGAATAACCCCACCTTGCTGACTGGTCTCTATGTCCTTCCCCACAGGTGACCGAGATCCTCGATTACTGGGGACCCAATTCCGGCCCATTGACGTGGCGCCTCACCCCTGCTGAAGTGCGCCAGGTGCTGGCCCTGCGGATAGACTTCCGCAGTGAAGATATCAAGAGGCTGCGCCTGTAGCTGCCTGGATGAGCACACCTGGCTCATCACACTTGCAGGCCTGTTCCCTAAGGGGCCCCAGCCAAGGAGCTGAGCGAGGCTGTCTGGCTTGGGGGAGATCTGACAGCCCAGACCTTTCTACGGCTGGCAGCAGAGAAACAAAGTCTGGACCCACTCCATGCTCTGCCCTCAGACCTGGCCAGGTGATGCTCTGGGGGCAGCATCTCCCCACCGAGAGAAGCGGGCTCCTAATGAGGTGGGAAAGCCACGGCAGGCAGCGAGCAGCCCAGGCCAGCTTTCTGCATGGATGGTCAGTCTCTTGCCCTCAAACACTACAGCAAACAAGCTACCCCTGCCAGTCCTAGACAACTTGGGTACATCTGGGGACCTAGCAGTTAGGCTTGACTTTGAGGAGAGGCTGTGATGTTTATGATCCCTGAATAAAGCTACTCCTTGGAGAGATGCCAGTGTGCTGTTACCAGGGAGGGCCAGATGCTATGGGGCAGGGCAGGTCTATCAGTTGCACTGAAATAGGAAGGTAAAACCCAAGACCTCAGCCTGCTCCCACACACAGTGCAGCACACAGCTGTGTCCGGGGCCCACATGATGGCAGGAGCCCCCATCCAGTCCCAGACCCTCGTGCCCCTCTTGGGCCCCCAGCACCACAAGCTGGATCACCCCAGGGCCAGTTCCCCATGGTGTAGAGAAGTGGGAACTGCTCCCAGCAGGAGCAAAAGTGACTTTACGAGGACCACCTGCAAGGACAGAGTGAATTTATTCCAAGAATGCCAGTCCTGAGAACCCACTTCCCACAGGCACCAGGTCACTTGGCACGCTCCGTAGTTTTGCTAGTTAAGGCCTGGGATGGCAGTGAATCACTGGGTCACTGCTACCAACTTGGCAAGGGACCGCCACCCTCACTCCCACGCTCACATGAGGGTTGAGTGTAAGTCTACAACTCTAAGCCATAGGGAATGCCTCAAAGGGCCTCTTCAGGGTTGGCCTTGCTAAGGGACTCCCAGCCATATGCCAAGGCTGGCTGTCAACCCTTTCCAGGGCCCTTGTGGAATGAGAAGGCCAGCCATAGGATTTGTAAAGGCCACGTGGGATACTAAGCTTGGGACCTTCCTATGTCCAGGAGGAACAGAGGCTACATCTAGGCCCCTGTCCACCAGGTCACAGTCCTGTCCCAGGCACTCTCTGCTTGCCCAGATCTTGCTCTGGTCAGCTTCCTTTGGGAGCAGATTCGCAGAGGTGGGTGGGGAGTAGGAGGTGGAGGTTCCCATGGGGCAAGGAAGGTGGGGGACACTGTAGCTCCAGGTTTTCTCCTGTTGCAGAGAGAAGCCAGCTTCATGGGAAAGGGCAACAGGTTGAGGCCTCGGTCCCCAGCAGCTTCAGGCTCAGGCCCTGAGTGTCCACTTCAACCAGGTGGATGCTGTAATTCCCAAGGCCCTGGACAAGACAGGAAGTATTTAGAAGGCTCTGGACAAATCTCAGGCCTTCTGGAGGCTGGACTGGGCCTGCAGGACCAGGGGGACTTACAGATATAGCCCCTGGTTAACTGGTGGGCCACAGTGAGGTCTCTTGCCCCCAGAGGTCTCTTTACCAACCCCAGCCCCATCAGTACCTCGGTCTTGGCCAGCACCGCCTCCAAGGCCTCCTTTTGCTGTGGCTCCTTGGTCAACAGATAGAGAAAGCCTCCACCGCCTGCCCCAGCCAGGCTCTGGCCATGCACGTGGGGGGCCAGGACATCCATCATACGCCGCACAGTCAGGGGCTCACAGCCTGGAGCCATGAGCTTCTTCTGCTCCCAGTACGAGGTCAGGCACTGGCCCAGCAGAGGCAGGCTTCCTGAGGTGGGGCAGAGGGGAGTGACGTGCCTGGGCCAAGATACTCAGCACCCATCTGGAGATTGCATGAAGTGCCAAGACGTGCTGCTGAGCCAGTGTCATGGTAAAGAAGCCGGATTCCAGTGCCGGCTGGAGCCAGGAGTAACCCACTTCCCAGGACTGCCTGAGGACCAATGTGCAGGAAGCAACCAACACCACACCCAGCATAGTCGGCATCTAGGGAGCTGTGAAGCCACACACTGGGGACCCTGCCCAGCTCAGACTTCCTTGGAACTCAGCCATGGGTTGAGTCCCTTCCCCTCTCTGCTTCCTGTTAGGGCTGGAGGGCCTTTCCCATGATGAAAATTTTGTCCTCAGATGTAGCTCTCCCCTAAATGTGAGACCCTGGAGAGGACAGACAGTAGGCTTCTGTTCCCAGAGGCCGAATATCTGGAGCTTGTGCCAAGCCTGCAGATGACCCTGGCCTCAAACCCACAAGTGACAGAATACTCGCTCCCAGTGCCCTGACCCCCCCAGAGGAAGCCCCTCACCTTGGCGGAAGCCTTCAGCACACTCCTCAGTTTGCCGTACCAGGCTGTGGGCATTCTGCACCACAGCAGGAAGTCGGGCATACCAGCTCCTCAGCACATCCTGCGGACGGGGCAGGAGAAGGGGTGGTGAGGACCCAGGCCCAGCTGGCAGGCCCCCTGCCTGCCTCCCTCATGCTGGGGCCAGAGCTCACCTGCAGCAGGTTCCGAGCCAGGCGGGTCTTGCCAGTGTACACCAAGAGCAGGTGGTCATTGAGCTTCTGGACAAAGCCCTCAGGCACCGTGACCTCTTCTACCTCCACCTTCAGTGGCAGCTGAGCCCGGGAGCGCCCCACCTTGATGCCAGGCATTAGGCCACCTACTTGGTCCTGCCAGCCACCTCCTGTGAGCCCAGGGACTGTCACTGTTGGAGTCTATCTGGCCCAGCTTCACTCTCCCAGCCTAGGCTCCCGGCCCTGCACCCCTTGCTGGGACCAGTGTGGAAAGATAGCTTCCCTCAACTCCACAGGACAGTGAGCTATGCAGCTTCTGTCCCCAGAACAATCCCAGCAAGGGAATGGGCTTCACTCTAGGGCAAAGCTTGGAATTCCCAAGGCCTGAGTTTTGTTTTAGACCTAATGTATAATTGGAATTGGGATAAACCACACTGAAGAATAAAGATTTTACACTATGGCCGGGCACGGTGGCACACGCCTGTAATCACAGCACTTTGGGAGGCTAAGGCGGGCAGATCATTTGAGGTCAGGAGTTTGAGACCAACCTGGCCAACATGGTGAAATCTAGTCTCTACCAAAAATACAAAAATTAGCCAGGCATGGTGGTGCATGCCCTGTAATCCCAGCTTCTAGGGAGGCTGAGGCAAAGGTTGCAGTGAGCTGAGATCGCACCACTGCACTCCAGCCTGGGTGACAATGTGAGACTCTGTCTCAAAAAATACATATTTTACACTGACCTCTGCCCCTCCTAGGGGAGTTTTAGTCAGAGGAGAGGCTGACAGATACCTTCCCTTTGGCCTGAGTCTCCCTGCACCGTCTTCTGACAGGTGGTTTATGTTGGAAGGAAGGTCATCAGGATCTGTTTTTCTCTTATCTAACTTACACATCTTTCCATCTTCAGTAATGAAAGGTATGTATCATTTTCCTCCTTGTAGCTGCATAAAAATAACAAAACTAGTCCGGGCATGGTGGCTCACGCTTGTAATCCCAGCACTTTGGGAGGCCAAGGCAGGCGGATCATGAGGTCAGGAGTTCAAGACGAGCCTGGCCAACACAGTGAAACCCCATCTCTACTAAAAATACAAAAAATTAGCTGGGCATGGTGGCAGGCACCTGTAATCCCAGCTACCTGGGAGGCTGAGGCAGGAGAATCTCTTGAACCCGGGAGGTAGAGGTTGCAGTGGGCTGAGATCGCACCACTGCACTCCAATCTGGGTGACAGAGCTAGACTCCATCTCAAAAATAAAAAAAAATTAAAAATAACAAAACTTGAGTTGCTTCTGGGACAGGCCCTTGATAGTTAGGGAAGGGCCTGCAAGGGTTTAAAGTATGAAATGCAAAAGACAGAAGCCATCTGGAACTTTGCAGCCAAAACCTGGTAGTTGCAAAGTGGCTAAGTCTTGAAATGTCAAGACTTAACTGTGCCCCTCTGCTTCAAAGCACTTGGCACAGTTTGTAATACACATGCACCTGAGTAGTTATTGATTAATGTCTGTCTCCAGGAGACCACAGGACTTTTGAGGGCAGGGACCCCATTTTTGCTCATTTTATCCCTGGGGCCCCACAGAGTGGGTTCTCAACAAATAGTTTTCCGTTGGCCAAATGTAGAACTTGAATGGTACACCTCAAAAGAAAACTGAAAATGCTTCCCCATCTGCTCCTTTTGCTAATGACTACCGATTATGGGATATGAGTCACTACAGTGAAATGTGAGGCTTGAGCTGCAGAGTGACAGAAAACACCACAGTCAGGCTTCAGTAGGCCTTTGCAGCAGTTTCTTTCCAGGGGTGTGCTGGAGACGGGACCTGACACCCTGAGGTGGACCTGAAACCAGACAAGCTGTAGCTGCTCTACACTGGCCATGGGTTCCAGGGGGCTCGGTGGCCAGGAGGAGTGAGAAGCCTGGCGCTGGTGACATTCATTAGATCATAGTCATTGTTGGGCTCTTGCTGTCCCACCATATGGCCAGGGGGTGGGGGCGGGGGCACAGGTGATCATATCTCAAGTAAGGGCACGATGCCAGGACAGGCGGAAGGTCCAAAGCAGCTCTGCCCAGCCCTACCCCAGCACAGCCCTGGAAAGGCACAGTCACGAAGCACAGCACCTGGTTCCAACAAGCATGAGAGGCACAGCACAGGCCGGGCGCGGTGGCTCACGCCTGTAATCCCAGCACTTTGGGAGGCCGAGGCGGGCGGATCACGAGGTCAGGAGATCGAGACCATCCTGGCTAACACGGTGAAACCCCGTCTCTACTAAAAATACAAAAAAATTAGCCGGGCGTGGTGGCAGGCGCCTGTAGTCCCAGCTACTCGGGAGGCTGAGGCAGGAGAATGGCGTGAACCCGGGAGGCAGAGCTTGCAGCGAGCTGAGATCGCACCACTGCACTCCAGCCTGGGCGACAGAGCAAGACTCCGTCTCAAAAAAAAAAAAAGGGCACAGCACAGAATCTGGCACTCAGTAGATGCTTGTGAAACGGCTCGTTGGGAGGTAGAACATTTCAGGTTGAAAACGACCAGAGAAGGTCAAAGTGACTAGAAGGAAAGTATTTCCAACAGCAGCACAGTCTTGTGGCTGTTGGCCAATCACATGCAAATCCAGGGGAGCCCCACTCCCCCCGCGGGCCCTTGGGAAAGTGTCAGTGACCTCCTCCAACTCCAGGGCAGTCACATACCAGTGGTGAGCACCTGCTCCAGGTGCAGCACTGCGTGGATCAGGGCTTCCGTGCCCACCACCCGGCCTGCGGCTCGCTGCAAGGCAGCCAGGGCAGTGCCTGCCAGGATGCTGCTGGTGCCTGCAGGGCGGAGAGGAGAGAGCAGACATGAAACACCTCCACCCTGCCCAGGCCTGCCTGACTCCGTCTAAGGGCAGAGGCCAGGAAGGGGGATCACAGGCAAGGCTGGAGGGCTGTAACAGTCGGTGGGTAGCAGGAGGCAGGGCCCGCTCACCCAGGCCAGAGCCGTGGGGCAGCTCAGACCAGGTGTGCAGCTCAAAGCCGCCCCCGAAGGTGCGGAGCAGCTGCTCACTCAGCTGGAGTTCCGAGTGGACATGCACGATCCCTGCACAGATGAAGGCCGCCTTCAGCAGGGCCCCTGCAGAAGGACAGGCATGAGAAAGGAATTCAGTCTCGATGGGCAGACGCAGGCACCCACCCACCCTGGACTTCCCAGCCCAGTGCGGGACTCATCCGGTGGGACAAAAGCCCAGCAGCAGTACTGGCCCCATCCCCAAGCCACAAAAGGGCCTCTGGGCTCCCAGACAGGGACACGTGTCATCTTTGCAGGTTGACTCCCAGCCCCTTCCTTCCCTTCAGGCTCCTCAGCCAGACTGGCTGGCCCTCAGGCCAGACCCCACTGGCCTGCAGTCTCTAGCTTCTGCCCCGAGCCCCCAGCTGGCCAGCCCCACCTGCAGAGGTCCCAGGGTGCCTGACCTGGGGCATGAGGCTGGCAGTAGTCCCGCAGGTCAGCCAGGCACCGGCACACTATCTTCACAGTCATCTCATCCTGCCGAGGCCCCACCGCCAGCCACAGCTCAGGCTCCGGGATGCGGCGTGCCCTGGCTCCGATGGGCCGGCGGCCGTCCACTCGCACAGCCAGGCCCAGCACAGCCCCGCCAAGCTCATAGGCAAGGGGTGGCGTGTCACTCCAGCCCCCTATGGCAGTGTGGCAAGACTCAAGCTGGTCACAGAAGCTGCCAGCCTGGCTCTGGGGCAGCTACCCTCAACCCCACCTGCCACAAGGGGCTCACCAGAGAAATCCACACGGGCCGGGCACTCAGCCACCACCCACTGCCCAGGTCCCGGCAGTTCCACCTGCTCTGTGGAGACAAAGTGCTGGGCTGACATCACAGCCTGGCGGATCAGGATCTGACCAGCCCCCTCATAGTGGCGGGCCGCTCGCACCAGCAAGGCTGGCCTGCCAAGAGAAGGGGGAGGGATGGTGGCATGCAGCCCCAAGCTGGGGGCAGATTGCCTGGCTTTGGGGACCTGACTGTCCCGGGGTACCCAAGGGAGCCCCACCTCTCTCTGGGTTTCCTCCATCAGGGTCCACTTCCCAGACAGCAAGGGGCTTATCCAAGGGATCTGACCTCCATTAGTACACACCTGCTTAGCCACTTGTCCCTCTCCTGGGCAAGCGCCTCCACGCCCGCTGCCAGGTCTCCACACTCCAGGTATGAGAAGGGCCGCATCCACTCAGGGTTGGCAGCTGGCCCGCTCCGCAAGCCCCCACGGCCCTCTGCCATGCAGCCCAGGACGTCCGCCACACAGGCCAGTGCCCGTGCCGCCACACCAGGGTCTCCTGCCCCAGCTGCAACTGAGGGACAAGGAGTTGGGGGTGGCAGGGGAGGAGGCCTGTCTTCAAAATCCTCTTTCACGAGAGGCTACTCAACAGTCCCTAAATGCGCCAGACCCCTCACACCTCCTGGCTTTTGCCCACAATGTATCTTTGACTGTAACTGCACTCCTGCTCTCTGCCTGGCAGAGATCATCTCGTCTTGCCAGTCCCAGCCCATAGGTGTCTCTTCACCCCCACCCAGGACACCCATAGTGGTGAAGAGCTCAGGCTCTGGGCTCAAACCACCTGGGCTCAGGTCTCAGCCTCACCACCAGCTAGCCGTGTGGCTCTGGGTGAGTGGCTTCAATACCATTCATGTCCACGGTCCCTGGGACCTTCCATGAGGTTCAGCCTAGGAGGCTAAGGCTGTGAGCCCCCGGAAGTGTGCTTGGGACCTCATGCAGAGATGACCATGTCCCCTGGGGGCTCTGTCCCCTCGCCACGCTCTGCACCCACATCCTGGCACCCAGTACAGAACACGCAGGGTTTGCCGATGTGCCTAGGACCTAGAGCTCAGCTGCCAGGCCTCAACCTCTGACCAAACCCCACTGACAAGGATGAACATGCCTCAACCTCAGACCAAACCCCATTGACAAGGATGAGGCCTTCCAGAATCCTAAAAGTAAACTCCAGCATGCCCCTTCCCTGCTTGAGCACCTCATGGTCCCCTAGTCCCCTCAGGGGATGGCCCAGAGGACAGGGAGGGCAGGTGCCCCTGGCCTGATTCTGCAGCACTACCAGCCTGCACACTCACCCTGGTCCAGCGTGGCCAGCAGGGGCCCGGGGCAGCCCTCGCGGACAGCAGCCCAGATCAGCGGGCGCAGGCTGAGGTCCTGCCGGGCCTCCAGCACGTGCCGCGCCTTATGCAGGGCCTGGCGGAAGAACAGGTCCCGGCGAGAGGCCAGCGTGGCAGCCCGATCCAGGCACGGCTGCAGCTGCTCCCAGGACAGGCGCCAGGAGGCCCGCCAGGCTCGCAGGGCCTCGCCCCCATCCTCCTGGTGGTCCAGCATCCACAGCAGGTCCTGGGGTCCCAGCTCCCTCGAGGGGTGGAGCACAGGAAAGAGGCGGGCGCTGGGAAGGCAGTACTCTGCGGGCAGCGTCTCAGGGTCCCACAGGTCCCAGGCTCTGATGTGGGGAGAAGGCACATTCCCAGGAGGGAAGCAAAAGCTCCAGTCTCTTCCCCAAGCCCTGAGCCGCCTGTCAGTTCATGGGGACAGGACAGACTCCTCCGAGGTAGCATAAGTGGGCAATTCAGGTCGGGGGCCAGGCTGCCTGGCATCCTTTCCCAGACCATTGAACAAGAAAGCCAAAGTCAGCACAGCCAGAGACTGGGAGCTGCCCGGGGGAAAGTACTGGAGAGAATCCGGCTGCCCAAAACCACCCAGGCCCCTGGATGGTAACACGGCCCGTGCTGCTCTGGGGCAGGGGAGGGACACACCTCAAAGAGCAGCAGCCACCCCAGCTGCCCAGGCCCACAGAGGCCCTAGGGGTGTCCACCTTACCGAACACCTGTCCTCTTGAAGAATTCACTCCAGGGCACGTTGAGATATGTGCCTGCCCCCTGTCTCTGGGGGAGAGGAAGAAGCAGTCAGGGCTGCAGGGGCCACAGGAAAGGGTTAGAGACACTCGGCCAGGGGGCCAGGAGCTGCTCAAGTGCTCACATGAGGGCAGGAAGACAGACAAAGAACATACTTGACCCACCCAGGCTGGAGTGCAGTGGTGTGGTCAGCTCACTGCAGGTATGAACTCCTGGCCTCCCACCTCGGCCTCCCAGAGTGTTGAGATTACAGGCATGAGCCACTACACCCAGCCATGGAGCAATTTCTGAAATTGTTTTCAGCCCTGCAGCCCCAACACTCCCGCCAAGGTGCCTGAAATCTGGAGCAGAACCCTGGGTTCCAGGCCCAGCCCACCACAACAGGCTGCAGCCCAAGGCGGGTTACCTCCCTCTCTGAATCCCAGTCTCTAGCCTGTCAAATAAGGATAAAAACCCCCACCCAGCCGTGCGCGGTGGCTCACACCTATAATCCCAGCACTTTGGGAGGCCGAGGCAGGCAGATCAGTTGAGGTCGGGAGATTGAGACCATCCTGGCTAACGCGGTGAAACCTCATCTCTACTAAAAAATACAAAAAAATTTGCCAGGCGTGGTGGTGGGCGCCTGTACTCCCAGCTACTCAGGAGGCTGAGGCAGGAAAATGGCGTGAACCCGGGAGGCAGAGCTTGCAGTGAGCCAAGATTGCGCCACTGCACTCCGGCCTGGGAGACAGAGTGAGTCTCAAAAAAAAAAAAAAAAACAACAACCCCACCCAACCAGACTAGCATGGCGAAACCCCATCTCTACTAAGCTGGGCGTGGTGGTGCACGCTGGTAGTCCCAGCTATTCGTGAGGCTGAGGCAGGAGAATCGCTTGAACCTGGGAGGCAGAGATTGCAGTGAGCTGAGATTGGGCCACTGCACTCCAGCCTTGGTGATAGAGCAAGACTCTATCTCCAGAAAAAAAACAAAATCCCCACCCAGCCCACCTGGCAGAGCAGATGCAAGGAGGGAGGTAAAGGCCTGTGGAGACTCTGCTGGTCTCACAGCCTATCTTCACCCTATCTCCTCCCTCATTCTCTCCTCCCTACATCCGACCCTCCTCACAGCCTGTCCCACGGGCCAGTGCTCAGAGAACCCCGCAGTGGGGTGGGGGCCAGGACTCCTTGGGCTCCCCAAAGCCTGAAGATGGGGGTGAGGGAATGCAGGGTGACTGCCTACCTCCCAGCTGTCCAGACGGCCAACGAGGGTGAAGGCGTGGCCCGGGGAGCCGTGTAGCCGCGTGTGGTGTCCCTGCAGGACAAGGTCACGCAGCTCCCGGCCATGCAGGGCCTTGGAGTGGGCTGTATCCAGGCCAGTCACCAAGCAGCCAGCGCCTATGTGAATGGGGCCCTGGTGGGGGACAGGGCAGGCATCCTGGGTGGGCAGGCACCCAACACCCCCCAACACATGCGGGATGCCAGCACCCTCGCCCCAATCTGCCCACACGCTCAGGCCTCACCTGCAGGTGGCAGTGCTGCAGGACGCTCCCAGGACCCAGCTGGACAGGGCCCTCCAGCAGGCAGCTGACCACAGAGCTCCCGGCCGCCAGAAGCTGCTGCTCCTGTGCAGCCAGGTAGGAGGAGCATGAGGGGGGTCGAGGCCCAGGGCTGCCCCAGCTCTCCTCCCAAGCCAAGCATCCAGGGGCAAAGCGTCCAGGCCTACTGCTCCCCTGCCCTGCAGCACCCTAGACTCCTCTCTGGACCTGCCTTGGCCCCAGCCTGAGACCTATTTCCATCCCACCTGTCCAACTACGCCCAACCTTGCCACCCTGGGGGCCACCTCTGAACCCTACCTGTCCCCTTCCTCAGCAGCACGGCACTGACCCAGGCCCACCACTGTCACCCCAGGCAGACCCCAAATAAAGGTCTCCTTTAGCTTCTCAATCAGGCAAGCTCAATGCAGAATCCTGAGTTGGCCACTTACTGGCTCTGTGGCCTTAGGCAAGTTACTTAGCCTCTCTGAGCCTCCAGCACTTCATGTGTAAACCAGGGTAACACCTGCACTCGGGTCATCTGTTCCAAGTGCCGGCTATTTTCTTCCCGGGAATCCACATCCCACCTGACCCCAGACAACCAGCAGGCACCGGAGGGGCAGGGAGGTCTCACCTCCACCTGGGAGTGCACAATCTGGGCCCCAGGAGCCCCGGGGAGTGTGAGGCTGAGCAGGAACTCACTGGCTGAGGAGGTCATGTAGCTGTAGCTGCCGCTGGAGACATAGGCTGTAAAGACATAAGTACTGAACCCAACCCCATGCCTGCTGCGACTCAGGGGCCAGGCTGCCTCCCAGCAGCAGAGACACATGGGGGCAGGTGTGGCCATGAGCCTGTTAGGGGAAGCTGAGTCAGGAACCTGCCCAAAGCCACACAACACAGCTAGAAAGTAGACAGGTTGGCCGGGCACAGTGGCTCACGCCTGTAATCCCAGCACTTTGGGAGGCCGAGGCAGGCAGATCACGAGGTCAGGAGTTCGAGACCAGCCTGACCAACATGGTGAAATCCCATCTTTACTAAAAATACAAAAATTAGCCAGGCATGGTGCCACGCACCTGTAATCCCAGCTACTCAGGCAGCTGAGGCAGGAGAATCGCTTGAACCTGAGACGCAGAGGTTGCAGTGAGCCGAAATTACGCCACTGCACTCCAGCCTGGGCAACAGAGCCATACTCTGTCTCAAAAAAAAAAAAAGAAAGCAGACAGGTTAGGGCCGGGCATGGTGGCTCATGCCTGTAAGCCCAGCACTTCGGGAGGCCAAGGCAGGCGGGTCACCTGAGGCCAGGAGTTCAAGACCAGCCTGACCAACTAAAAATAGAAAAATTAGCCAAGTGTGATGATGCATGGCTATTATCCCAGGTACGCAGGAGGCTGAGGCAGGAGAATTGCTTGAACCCAGGAGGCGGAGGTTGCAGTGAGCTGAGATCGCACCACCTCACTCTAGCCGGGGCGACAAAGAGAGAGTCCGTCTCAAAAAACAAAACAAACAAACAAAAAAAAACAGAAACAAAAGTGGACAGGCTGGGAGAGCCCAGGAATGAGACAAAAGGAAGACAAGAAGGGGAAGGAGGTAGCTCAGTGGGGGGCTCTGGCACAGGACAGGAGAACTGCCCAGTCCCTGTGCTGGGCTGCCTGGCCCAGCATGCAGTGAGCAGCTCCATTCTTGGGGTCCTCACTCCCATGGTCTCCCCACCCCAGGGAGCTGAGAGGCAGTACCCACCCATGGTAAGGGGCTGATCGCGAAGCTCCCTCCACAGCTGGGCCCGGGCGCTCTGCAGATAACCCGCTACATCTGCATCGCCTTGCCCCAACTCTGGGGGCCTCCCCACCAGGAAGTCCTCCCTGGTCACGTTCTCAGCCATGCAGTGGAGAATGTCAAAAAACAGAGACAGCTAGGGGAAGGGGAAGAAGCACAGCTATTGGCATGGCAGGGGTTCAGCCCCCAAGTTCTGAGGCTGAACCAGGGCAGTCCCGTCTGCGGAGACTCTGCCCCAGAGAGGGGAAGTGGCTGGCCTGAGGTCACACAGTGCCTCGCCCCCAAGCCAGGCCCCACCTAGCTGCCCTCCCCCAGTCACCTGGACAGGCCGGGCTCCGGAGTCCAAGCCTAGGTAGGTGCAGGCATCCAGGGGCGGGCTCACGTGGGTGGCTAGGAGGCGCTCGGCAGTCTCCACAGAGAAGAAGACAACCCCAGAGACCTGGAAGGGACCCCAAAAGGATCAGAGATGGAGGGCCCTGGACCAGGCCCTGGTACAAGTCAGGGAGGGCACATGCAGATGGGCCACATGAAGCTGAGTGCCATACCAGGCAGGGAGTGTCACCTTCTGACCACTCCAGCAGCCAGACTCCAGGCTTACTTGGGGTAGCTCCCACCAAGACACCTTCTGGGACACCCTCAACTGTCAGGCCTTCTCCTGAACCCAGTTCTCCACCCTCGCCATGGTCCACTCCCAGATCTCCATGCCTCTCCAATCCTTGCCCCTCATGATGGAAGCATTCCCGGAGTCTGGCTCTAGGCCTCCTCCCAACCGCACTCCCTAACTTGCTCACATTCTGGTTCTAGGCTTTCTTTTTTCGTTTGAGTTTTTGAGGTTTGCTTTGTTTTGTTTTACAGCGGGCAGGGGATTGATTCAGAGTCTCGCTCTGTCACCCTGGCTGAAGTGCAGTGGCACGATCTCTGCTCACCGCAACCTCCGCCTCCTGGGTTCAAGCGATTCTCGAGCCTCTACCTCTCAAGTAGTTGGGATTACAGGCACACACCACCATGCTCAGCTAATTGTTGTATTTAGTAGAGACAGGGTTTCACCACGTTGCCCAGACTGGTCTCGAACTCCTGACCTCAACTGATCCACCCGCCTCAGCCTCCTAAAGTGCTGGGATTACAGGCGTTAGCCACCGTGCCCGCCTGGTTCTAGGCTTTCTGGCTCAGGACAAGACCCTGAATTCCAAGGCTACCCTGTCCTCAGATTCTAGCTCTAGCTTGTCCTGGAGGCTTCTAGAAGGAATCGAAGGAAGTCAGACCCTCCCTCCCTGTCCCATAAGGTCCCCAAAGCCCCGCAACCTGGGCCCAGCAGCCATACCAGTGGCACCCGCCCATCAGGCCTGACACACCGCTGAATCTCTGCCTCAGTGCCCTGGTAGTAAATGTCCAAAACAAGGCCCTATGTGCAGGGAGAAACAGAATCAGCGGAGGGAGCAGGAAGGGATCTGGAAGGAGGCCACAGCCACAGGTGGCAGCAAGGGCATTCTCCAAAGGAAAGCTGAGGACGCAAGGCTGGCAGTTGCTGGCATTCTCAGGGGGGGCCTGAGATTTCTACTCCATGATGGCAGAGGGCAGGCTTTAAAGGTCTTTGCAGCCCTGAGCCTGGGCACAGAGACTGGACAGGCGGTCGGTGTGAAATGTATTTTTGGCGAGAGTAAGGGAGCACTGGTGCCACTGCCACGGAGGAAACTCCTTGGATTCAGGAACATGCGAGGAAATCCAGGATGAGAGGCTGCCCACTGACAGGGAGGAGGCTGCCCACTGACAGGAGGAAGGCTGCCCCAGCCGGCTCCACTGTCCCCAGGGGCACTACCTGGGGGTCAGTTAGGTAGACGCCATGATTCTGAGCGTAGGCCGGGCTCCCTGGGAGGGCGATCACTCTGGCTCCCCGGAAGCTGTCCCAGCTGATACCTGTGGGGTGGGGCAGTCAGGAGGCTCCCAGGGGCCTCCACCCAAGGCACGGATTTCCCCACCAGGTGGAAGCAAGAGCCCAGGGCTGCGGCACCTGGGCACCTCTAAAAGGGAAATACGGTTTCCAAGCCAAATGGACATTCGCCTGGGAGAATGACAACCCTCCTCTCCCAAAGTTCTTCCGCAGAGCCCTGTGGGACAGAAGGGGCAGGGCTGCTTCTGTCCATCCTATAGACAGACAGACTGAGGCACAGCAGGAGAAGCCCTGCCTCCACCAGGCTTCATTCTCCACACCCTCCAGCTTCCCGTCTAATAGGGCAGCGGGGCAGGCCCAGAGGCAGGGTGGGCAAGAAGGGCAGAGCTGGCTTCTTGCTGTGGCTGTGACGAAGGAAGGCAGTCCCAGGTAGTCTCAGGCTCACCAGGATTTGCAGGAACAGACAGCAGCATGTCGGTGCTGCAGACCCACACGCCTGGCGGGGAGCCCGGGCCCAGCTGTGGGGGGAAGGAGACAGAACACAGCTGGTGCCTGGCCCAGGCCTTCACCTGCCCCCTCCTTGCCCAAGGATACTGTGCTGTTGAAGTAACAAGGGCCTCCAAGACCTGGTCTGCCCCCACCCACTCTCTGACCTGGGTTTACAACTTTCCCCATGTGACCAAGACTAACTTATTTGTTGTTATTGCGACAGGGTCTCACTGTCACCCAGGCTGGAGTGCAGTAGTGCGATCGTAGCTCACTGCAGCCTCAAACTCCTGGGCTCAAGCGATCTTCCTGCCTCAGCCTCTTGAGTAGCTGGGACTACAAGTGCATGCCATCATGCCCAGGTAATTTTTTAAAAATTTTTTTGTAGAGATGGGGTCTTGCTGTGTTGCCCAGGCTGGTCATGAACTCTTGGCCTCAAGCGATCCTCCCACTTTGGCTTCTCAAAGTGCTGAAATTATAGGCATGAGCCACTGCCCCCAGACACAACTAACTTCTTGAAGCTCTTAACTAACATTAGGCACCCTCAAAACCATTCCTTCTCCCAGCTGAGCCAGCATAGATCATACCTGGGGGAACAGTGGGAGGGAAGTGGCTCTATCTGGGACGAGGCACCACGGGCCACCACCCAGCCTCACCCGATAGGTCATGATGTCCAGCAGGCAGTCCAGGTTGCAGACCAAGGCTTCCACGGGGGCCTCGGGGTTCTCCACGGGGAGGCAGGTGAAAGCCCTGCCACAGTCATCAAAGGGGAAGTCTCGACCCTGGAAGTCGGGGGACTGGTGAGGAAGCCTCAGTGCACAGAGCCCAAGGCCACCTCATCAGCTGTGCAGGCAGAAAGCCATCCAGTGGAGGGCTGATAAAAAATGTTCTCTTGATATTTTCTCCTACAATATATTTTTATATTATGCATTGCATTGCATTGCATTGCACTGCAATTTTTTAGACTAAGTCTTGCTCTGTTGCCCAGGCTGTAGTGCAGTAGTGCGATCTTGGCTCACTGCAACCTCCGCCTCCTGGGTTCAAGCAATTCTCATGCCTCAGCCTCCCAAGTAGCTGGGACTACAGGCATGCACCACCATGCCTGGCTAATTTTTTGTATTTTTAGTAAAGACAGAGTTTCACCATGCTGGCCAGGCTGATCTCAAACTCCTGACCTTGTGATCTGCCCGCCTCAACCTCCCAAAGCGCTGTGTGAGCCACTTTACAGATGTGAGCCACTGCGCCCAGCCTATAATTTTATTTTTTGAGAAAGGGTCACACAGGCTGGAGTGCAGTGGTGTAATCATAACTCACTGCAGCCTCAACCTCCCAGGCTCAAGTGATCCTCCCACCTCAGCCTCCTGAGTAGCTGGGACTACAGGTGTGCACCACCATGGCGGCTAATTTTTGTATTTCTTATAGAGATGAGGTTTCACCATGTTGCCCAGGCTGGTCTCGATCTCCTGGGCTCAAGCAATCCTCCCGCCTTGGCCTCCCAAAGTGCTGAGATTTACAGGCATGAGCCACTGCGCCCGGCCCTAGATGGACCTTTCAATCTAATATTCTGCTGGGAAAATATGTGGTATATATTTAGCCATTTCCCAATTTTTGGACATTTAGAATCTTTCAGATTTCATCTTGCACACACACAGTGGCAGAACACCCCTGAAGTCCTGCTCAACTCCACGAACTGGGATTCTGGCCTTCTGCTTGGCCCCTGCCCCAAAGTTCATTTACCATGTGCAGAATGAGGATCCAGGCCGAGTGCAGGACATCGGATGTGACCACCTGCAGGAGTGGGAAAGCCCTGTGAACAGAGGCCTCAGGCAGACGCCCTGGAGGATGGCACCCTCGAATCCAGAGAGAGACTCCAACACAAATCCACTCAGGTACCCAAGGGACAAAAGGCAAGGTCAAACCAATGGCCACAGGCAGACAAGGGGCAGCCCTGGTCCCTCCTGGATAAGGGATCCCAGGGCCCTCCACCTGGGCCACCTTCTTGCTGGCTGGTTTGTTGCTGTTGTTGTTGTTGTTTTGAGACAGGGTCTCACTCTGTCACCCAGTCTGGAGTGCAGTGGTATGATCCCAGCTCACTGCAGCCTTGGTCTCTTGGGCTCAAGCGAGCCTCCCACCTCAGCCTCTTAACTAGCTGGGACTACAGGTGTGCACTGCCACGCCTGGCTACCTCTTAAATTTTTTTTTTTTTTTTTTTTTGAGATGCAGTCTCGCTCTGTTGCCCAGAATGGAGTGCAATGGCATGATCTCAGCTCACTGCAATGGCATGATCTCAGCTCACTGCAATGGCATGATCTCAGCTCACTGCAACCTCCACCTCCTGGGTTCAAGCGACTCTCCTGCCTCAGCCTCCCGAGTAGCTGGGATTACAGGTGTGTGCAACCAGGCCCAGCTAATTTTTGTATTTTTAGTAGAGACGGGGTTTCATCACGTTGGTCAGGCTGGTCTCCAACTCCTGACCTCAGGTGATCCACCCACCTCGGCCTCCCAAAGTGCTGGGATTAAAGGCATGAGCCACCGCGCCCGGCCTCTGCTGTCTGTTTTGAAGGGGAGGTTACAGGCAACAAGAGTTGGGGGCTGGCTGGGTGACTTAGGGGAGTCAGCGCCATGGCAGCTACAGTGGTCCCCTCCCCTGCTGGTGCCATCTCCCTCTGCAGAGCATGTCCAAGTCTGTGCTCGCCCTCACTCTGCACACAAAGATGCTATGCAGACAAGGTGACCGGGTGAAGTGGCTGGTTGCATGGGAGACACGGGACCAGCAGGGATGCTGACTCACATGGCCTGCCCAAAGCAGGCAGCCGCAGCTCAGGTCCAGCGAACAGTTCGTTGCCATATGGGGATGACAGCCCAGGCTAGCAAGACCTTTGAATGTTTCAAGAGAAGCCAGAAAGCCTCACTTTGAGATATTGGCTACAACTCTCTAAAAACACTGCAAAAGCTGGCCCTGCCTTCTGCCCTCACTTGAACGGCAAGGCAGAGATGAGTCCGCCCAATTTACAGAAACAAAAACTGAGACCAATGCTGAGTTGGCCAAGGCGATGGAGCCAGAGGAGCTGGGGATCTCAGAAATGACCTGGTTCCAGCAGGGACACAGACCAGGGAGGTGGCCCTGGTGAGCACTCACAGTGAAGCCTGCCCGGGCACTCAGGTGTTCAGCAGCCACCAGCAGGGCGTTGAGGGTGGCTCCTCCGCTGCCCACACGCTTCTCTGGGTCCTCCACGGCCAGTAACAGCGTCCCAGCAGGGATCTGCTCCCGCTTCTGCCGCACTTCCAGTTCTAGGGTCAGAAGAGACACTGGGACCTGCCCCCCAGCTCTCTGCCCTGGCCCAAAGCACGTAAGCAAGCCTACTGATCATCAGTGTTTGATCTTCCTTGACTTAGCTTTCCATGTAGGAGGCCACTAGATCTTCACCCAACTTAGTGAGAGAAGTCATATTACTCCCATCTTACAGATGAGAAAACTAAGGCACAAGGAATGACATGCCACGTATGCTGTCACATGGCTAGGGAGAAGTGCAATCTGGGTTTGAACCCAGGTTGGCCTGGCACCTGGTGTTGGAGGGACATAGCCAGGAAGGGGAGGGAGGTTCTCCATTAGGGGCAAGGTGGGAAGGGGAGTCCCCTACCTCTCTGAAAGACCTGGACACTGTCCTTGTACTGGCAGGTCAGGATGATGACTGTCCAATCAACTCCCTTCGGCTGCTCCATTCTGGCCAAGCGGAGGGGCTTCCTGAGACAGCAATATGGGTAGATGTGACTATTTTTTAAACCATCATAACTAAAAGTAATTAATTTTATATACAATTCTATGATTTTAACATGTGTATAGATTCGTGTTGGTATCACCATCTACACTCAAAAAAACTTCCTCATGCAACCTCTCCTCCCCGCCTACGCCCTGACAACCACTGATTTGCTCTCTAAAGCTATAGTTTCATCAACTTAGAAAATGTCGGCCGGGTGCAGAGGCTCATGCCTGCAATCCTAGCACTTTGGGAGGCTGAGGTGGGGGGATCACCTGAGGTCAGGAGTTGGAGACCAGCCTGGCCAACATGGTGAAACCCCGTCTCTACTAAAAATACAAAAATTAGCCGGGTGTGGCGGGGCATGCCTGTAATCCCAGCTACTCGGGAGGCTGAAGCAGGAGAATCGCTTGAACCCAGGAGGCGGAGGCTGCAGTGGGCCAAGATCGCGCCACTGCACTCCAACCTGGGCGACAAAGGGAGACTCCGTCTCAAAAAAAATAAATAAATAAAAGAAAAAATGTCGAACAGGCCAGGTATAGTAGCTTACATCTGTAATTCCAGCACTTTGGGAGGCCGAGGTGGACAGATCACCTGAGGTCAGGAGTTCGAGACCAGCCTGGCCAACATGGCAAAACCTCTTCACTACTAAAAATACAAAAATTAGGCAGGCGTGGTGGCGTGTGCCTGTAGTTCCAGCTACTCAGGAAGCTAAGGTGGGAGGACTGCTTGAGCCTGGGAGATTATGGCTGTAGTGGGCTATGACTGTATCACTGCACTCCAGCCTGGGTCACAGAATAAGACCCTATCTCTAATTAATTAACTAAAATAAAATAAAGGCCAGGACAGGTGTAGTGGCTCACGTCTATAATCCCAGCACTTTGGAAGACCAAGGTGGGAGGACTGCTTGAGCCCAGGAGGTTAAGGCTGCAGTGAGCCATGATCACTCCACTGCACTCCAGCCTGGCTGACACAGCAAGACCCTCAAAACAAAACAAAACAAAAAAAAGTCAAATAAAATGGAATATAATCTTTTGAGATTAGCTTCTTTCATCCAACATGATGCCTCTGAGATGTATCCAAGTCATTGTACATATCTGTGGCCCAAGCCTTTTTTCGGAGGAGCAGTGATCCCTCGCATGGATGGGCCGCATCTGTTTCTCCATTTACCCACTGAAGAGCATCTGGGCCATCTCCAGTTTTTGGCAGATGTGAATAGTCCTGCTATGAACCTCCGGAGATAGGTTCGTGTGAACAGAAGATTTCATCTCCCCAGGTGGACACCAAGGCGGATGGCTGGGTCACGTGGTCAGCATGTCTGCTGACATTCCAAAATGTGGATGGGTGTGATTTCCCCAGGGAGTGTGCCCAGGAAGGAGGAAGGGAGGGCAGCAGGATGGGGTAAGAGTTGGGGCCACCCAAAGCAAGGGGGAAAGGAAGGCGAGAGCAAATGCCTAACCCCACCCCCCAGGCTCCTCAAGCTGATGGGGGTTCCCCGGAGAAGGGGGCAGCTGTGGGGAGCGCATATGCACTCAGAGCTGCAGGAGCAGGCACTTGGAGACCTCCCTTCCCAGGGGTCTCAGCCAGCCCAGCGGGGGCTGCAGCCCTACCTGCCCGCCATCTTCCTCCAGGGCACTCTCAGCAAGTAGGGGGAAAGCAAGGCCAAAGATTTGGCTTCACCCCCACCCCTGTCTCCCCCAACCTGCCAGCACTCCTGCCAGATGGAAAACCAATCTGACTCCTGAGCCCCTGGCCTCCCCGAGACCGAGTCCCCCAGGAGTACCCACACATTCACCTCTGGCAGGGCTCCCACTGCTGTCCCACAAAGCAGCACCCCCATTTCCTCCCTCCACCCCTCAAAACTCAGCATGGGAAAAGCCCATGCAAGTAAGCTGCTCACCACTGGCTGAGCTGCGCCCTGAGCACACATCTGGTGGTCAGCCCACACCCCAGCCAAAGTGACAGGAAACCTGAAGCTCAGCCACAGGCTATTCCAGTGCCAGGCTCTGCTGCCACCAGAAGAGAAGAGGCTGACAGGACACCACCACTCAGCAACACCCACGCCTTCAGGAAAAGCCTCTGTCAGAAATTGCTCCATTCCCTACTCAGCCCAGCAGGGAAATCCAGAGGGGAAATTCCAGCTAGAGATCCCAGCCAGGCACTTGAGGGTGAAGGCTCCTCCCAGGATGCCCACCAAGCCCTCCCTCCAACTTTGCCACCAATTTACTGTATGGCCGTAGGCACGTCTAACCCTCAGGTCAGCTGCAGCAGGGAGTGTAACTAACAGACGCCCCCAGCTGCTACGATCTGAATCTCCCACCTTGTTTACATGGAGGCCACGCTTTGAACGAACCTTCTCACAACCAGTGACTGAGCACAGCTGGGACACTGAAACAGACCTATTCCTGTGAAATTCCAGACTCCTCTGGCAGGCAGCTTAGAACTGCACTGCCACCTGGGCGCAGTGGCTCACATCTGTAATCCCAGCACTTTGGGAGGCCAAGGCGGGCAGATCACGAGGTCAGGAGTTTGAGACCAGCCTGGCCAATATGGTGAAACCCCGTCTCTAATAAAAATACAAAAATTAGCCAGATGTGGTGGCACGTGCCTGTAGTCCCAGCTACTCAGGAGGCTGAGTCAGAATAATCACTTGAACCCAGGAGGCAAAGGTTGCAGTGAGCCAAGATCACACCACTGCACTCCAGCCTGGGCGACAGAGCGAGATTCTGTCTCAAAAAAAAAGAAGTCCAGGCACGGTGGCTCACGCCTGTAATCCCAGCACTTTGGGAGGCCGAGGAGGGTGGATCACAAGGTCAGGAGATCGAGACCATCCTGGCTAATGCAGTGAAACCCCGTCTCTACTAAAAATACAAAAAATTAGCTGGGCGTGGTGGCGGGTGCCTGTAGTCCCAGCTACTCGGGAGGCTGAGGCAAGAGAATGGCATGAACCCGGGAGGCGGAGCTTGCAGTGAGCAGAGATCACGCCACTGCACTCCACTCCAGCCTGGGCGACAGAGCGAGACACCGTCTCAAAAAAAAAAAAAAAAAAAAGAGGCTAGACGTGGTTGGCGGCTCACGCCTATAATCCGAGCACTTTGGGAGACAGGGGCAGGACTGCCTGAGGTCAGGAGTTTGAGACCAGCCTGGCCAACATGGTGAAACCCCATCTCTACTAAAAATACAAAAATTAGCCAGATGTGGTGGTGGGCACCTGTAATTCCAGCTACTTGGGAGGCTGAGACAGGAGAATCACTTCAACCTGGGAGACAGAGATTGCAGTGAGCCGAGACCATACCATTGCACTCCAGCCTGGGCAAGAAGAGCAAAAATCTATCTCGAAAAAAAAAAAAGATGAAGAAACTGCTGGGTGTGGTGGCTCATGTCTATAATTCCAGCATTTTGGGAGGCCATGTCAGGAGGATCGCTTGAGCCCAAGAGTTAGAAACCAGCCTGGGCAACATACAGAGACCTGGACTCTACAAAAAAAAAAAAAAAAAAAGACGGAGAAATGAGGCACAGAGAGATGAAGTAACTTGCCAAAGCTAGCAAGTGGCAGAGTGAAGTTTGAAACTAAACTTTTTTTCCAGAGTATCTATTTTATTACCTTTTTTTCTTTCTGAGATGGAGTCTTACTGTATCCCCCAGGCTGGAGTGCAGTGGTACAATCTCAGCTCACTGTAATCTCCACCTCCTGGGTTCAAGCAATTCTCCCTGCCTCAGCCTCCCGAGTAGCTAGGATTACAGGCATGTGCCACCACGCCTGACTAATTTTTGTATTTTTAGTAAAGACAGGGTTTCACCATGTTGGCCAGGCTGGTCTCAAACTTTTGACCTCAGGTGATCCACCTGCCTCGGCTTCCCAAAATGCTGGGAATGAGCCACCATGCCCGGCCTCTTTTTTTATTGTCTTTTTTACTTTTTTTTTTTTTTTTAAAGACAGGGTCTCAATCTGTCACCCAGACTGGAGTGTAGTGGTGCAATCATAACTCACTGCAGCCTCGACCTCCCAGGCCCAAGCAATCCTGCTACCTCAGCCTCCTGTATAGCTGGGACCATAGGCACATGCCACCATGCCTAGCTAAGGTTTTCACTGTTTGTTTTCTTTTTAAGAGATTGGGTCTTGCCACATTGCCCAAGCTGGTCTCAAACTCCTGGACTCAAGCAATCCTCCTGCCTCAGCCTTTTTTTTTATTAATTTATTTTTAAATTTAATTAATTAATTTTTAAATTCATGCTCCCCACTACAGGGTCCACTTGCTTAACCACTACAATAAACCTACTTTGTAGAGCTGAAGTACAAAAGGAGGAAATATATGTAAAGCACTCAGTATGTATTATCTATTATAATTATGACAAAGCCTAAACAAATACAAGGGAGGGATGATTTTAGTAATAATAGCCACTAGGATGCCAGGCATGGTGGCTTATGCCTGTAATCCCAGCACTTTGGAAGGCCAAGGCAGGAAGATTACCTGAGGTCAGGAGTTCGAGACCAGCCTCGCCAACATGGTAAACCCTGTCTCTACTAAAAATACAAAAATTAGCCAGGCATGGTGGCAGGCACCTGTAATCCCAGTTACTCGGGAGGCTGAACCTGGGAGGTGGAGGTTGCAGTGAGCCAAGATCACGCCACTGCACTCCAGCCTGGGCGACAGAGTGAGATTCCGTCTCAAAAAAAATAAAATTAAAATTAATAGGCCGGGCATGGTGGCTCACGCCTATAATCTCAGCACTTTGGGAGGCCGAGGCGGGTGGATCACCTGAGGTCAGGAGTTTGAGACCAGCCTGGCCAGCATGGTGAAACCCCATCTCTACCAAAAATTCAAAAATTAGCCAGGCATGGTGGCGGGTGCCTGTAATCCCAGCTACTCAGGAGGCTGAGGCAGGAGAATCGCTTGAACCTGGGAAGCGGTGGTTGCAGTGAGCAGAGATTGTTCCACTGCACTCCAGCCTGGGTGACAGAGTGAGACTTTGTCTCAAAAAAAAAAAAAAGAAAGAAAGAAAGAAAAAAAATTAATAATAGCCACTAGGACTGAGCACTCTGGACCACAGTTAAGGTGCTGTGATTTTTTTTTTTTATCTTGACAACACCCTTAGACCCTGCAAGATAAGTATTATTATCTCCTATTATCTCCACTTCACAGAGGCCAGGAGACGCTATAGTCAAAGTTGCAACACACCTGGGTCTTTTGGATCCTTATTCAGGTGATAGTGATAATGATATCTGGTCCCAAGCAAAGGCACTGAAAGACAGCAAGAGGCCAGGTGCAGTGGTTCACACCTGTAATTCCAGCACTTTGGGAGGCCAAGACAGGCGGATGGCTTGAGCCCAGGAGTTTGAGACCAGCCTGAGCAACATGGCAAACCCCATCTCTACCAAAAAAAAAAAAACAAAAAACCACACACATACAAAAATTAGCCAGGCACAGTGAATGTGCCTATAGTCACAGCTACTCAGGAGGCTGAGGCGGAAGCATTGTTTCAGCCCTGGGGGCAGAGGTTGCAGTAAACTGGCACCAATACATTCCACCCTGGGTAACAAAGCCAGACCCTGTCTGAGGAAAAAAGAAAGAAAGAAAGAAAGAAAGAAACCCTTGAAATGGCCAGATGTGGTAGCTCACATCCGGAATCCCAGCACTTCGGGAGGCCAAAGTGGGCAGATCACTTGAGTTCAGGAGTTCAAGGCCAGCCTGGCCAACATGCCAAAACCCCATCTCTTTTAAAAGTACAAAAATTAGCCGGGTGTAGTGATGCGCGCTTGTAGTCCCAGCTACTCAGGAGGCTGAGGCAGGAGAATCACTTGAACCCAGGAGACGGAGGCTGCAGTGAGCCAAGATCACGCCACTGCACTCTAGCCTGGGCAACAGAGCGACTCTGTCTCAAGAAAAAAAAGAAATGCCCCAGAGAGTCCAATGGCCCAGAAGTTCTGAGCCCAGTCTTCATCTCAGCATAGTGATAGAGAGACATGGGCAGGTGACAGGTCATGGCCAGAGTGGGGAGAGTATCCCTTACTAATGACAGGGGCAGAGGAACAGTCCTGGGTTGCGTATCAGTCCCAAAAGGCTCTGTCCCCATCTCTACCTCTTCCTGCTTCCTGTAGGATCCTGAGCAAGTTACTTAATCTATTTTTTTTTTTAAGATGGAGTCTCGCTCTGTCACCCAGGCTGGAGTGCAGTGGCGCAATCTTGGCTCACTGCAACCTCCGCCTCCCAGGTTCAAGCCATTCTCCTGCCTCAGCCTCCCGAGTAACTGGGACTACAGGCGCGCACCACCATGCCTGGATAATTTTTTGTATTTTTAGTAGAGACGGGGTTTCACCATGCTGGCCAGGCTGGTCTCAAACTCCTGACCTTGGGATCCGCCTGCCTCGGCCTCCCAAAGTGCTGGGATTACAGGCGTGAGCCACCATGCCCAGCAGTTACTTAACCTCTCTAAGCCTCAGTTTCCTAATCTGAAATTTAAGGCCAAAGACATCAACCTCCCAGGACTGTTTTCAGCATGAAATACAATGTAAAGTATGTGGCACACACCAGTGGCTCAATGAATGATAATCCTTCCAGCCAGGCAAGGAAGCAGGAGAGTTTAACCTGTCCCTGAAGGAGGAAGGACTGGAAGCTCTCAAACATTCTCTGAGTTAAAGACTGTCCTGAAGAAGAAAAAAATCAGGGAAGGCCTCGGGAATCAAGCAAGGCTGAGGGACATCCCCTGAGAGATTAACAAAAAAGGTAAAATGATACAAGTAGCTAATACATATGGAGTGCTTTTTCAGGCACTATGGCAAAGGCACATCAGTGTCACTTCATATGACCCACCCAACAGTCCTAAGAATTGGTTCTTATCTCACTGAAGCTCTAGACAAGAAAACTGTAGTTTAAAAAGCAGAAACATAGCTATTAGGTTGGTGCAAAAGTAATTTTGGCTTTTGCCATTGCTTTAATAGCACAGGCAGGCTAGGCTTTTGTTTTGTTTTGTTTTGTTTTTGAGAAACAGGGTCCGGCTCTGTCACCAGAGGGCGGAACGCAGTGATGTGATCACAGCTCACTGCAGCCTCAAACTCCCGGGCTCCAGCGATCCTCCCATCCCAGCCTCCCAAGTAGCTGGGACTATGCATGAGTCCTGCTAGTTTTTTATTTTTTGTTGAGATGGGGCCTCCCTTTGTTGCCCAGGCTGACCTACAACTCCCGGACTCAAGTAATCCTCCCGCCTTGGCCTTCCTAAGTGTTGGGATTACAGGTGTAAGCCACCATGCCTGGCTTTTTTTTTTTTTGAGACAGTCTCCCTCTGTCGTCAGGCTGGAGTGCAATGGCGCGATCTCGGCTCACTGCAATCTCCGCCTCCCAGGTTAAAGTGATTCTCCTGCCTCAGCCTCCCAAGTAGCTGGGATTACAGACGTGCACCACCACGCCCAGCTAATTTTTGTATTATTAGTAGAGAGGGGGTTTTGCCATGTTGGCCACGCTGGTCTCAAACTCCTGACCATAGGTGATCTACCTGCTTCCGCCTCCCACAGTGCTGGGATTACAGGCGTGAGCCACCTCGCCCGGCCTTTTTTTTTTTTTTAATTAATAGTTTGCTGGAGTTACACAATCTCAAGAGGTCCTGAGAAAGTGTGCCCTAAGGCCCTAAGGTTCTTTTGTTGTTGTTGTTGTTGGTTTGTTTTGTTTTGTTTTTGAGACGTAGTCTCGCTCTGTCGCCCAGGGTGGAGTGCAGTGGCGTGATCTTGGCTCACTGCAACCTCCATCTCCTGAGTTCAAGCGATTCCCTCGCCTCAGCCTCCCAAGTAGCTGGGATTACAGGCATGAGCCTTGGCGCCCAGCCTCTACCCACTTTCAATACAGCCTCATCTGCTGAGATCAAGTTGAAATATTTTTTAGTGTCCTCAGCCCCACGCTGTCCAAGACTGGGATAGGGTTGGGGAGCCAGAGATAGAATAAAGTACTAAGAACTCTTCATATGAACCTTTTGAAGACAGGTGGGTCAGGGACTGCACATTTTAGAACTTTAAAGAGGAAAAAAAGGCTCACGGAGGACTCTGACTTGCTGCCTTCTAAATAACAGACCGAAAGAAGTTACTTGGGAGTAAAATCGTTTTGTAAATTACCCAAGAGCACATCATTGAGATTTGTGCATAATACTGAGCCCTGGCCGGGTAAACTGAGAGAGGAGAAGCGGCCTCAAAGTAAAATCAGAGCAGCGCCGGCATCCAGGGCCCCACCTGCCTCAGGGTGAGGATCCTCTGAGGCCCGCATCCCTCCCGGTCCCAGCTGCCAGCAGGTCCGGCCGCACCAGCCGGGTCGCGGGGCTCCCCTTGGAAGACCCAGGCCAAATGGACGCGGGAGCGTAGAAACACCTGTGGGCTCCCGGGGCACCGCAGAGCTCCCGGGGACTCTTCCCTGTCAGGACCCGGGCGGCCCGCGGGTCGACTCGGTGCTCCCAGTCAGGGAGGGTGCACCGGAAAGCTGAGGGGGCGCAAGGGGCGCAAGGGGCGCAAGGGGCGCTGCGGCGACCCTCGCGGACTGACGTACCTGCCGTCGCCCGGCGCTCGGCGGAGCGGGCTCTTTAACGCGAGGCTGCGCGACCCTCGCGGTGCACTCCGGGAAGTGTAGTTTCACCTCCGCGCCCCCCCAAGGCCGAGCCCCCGTCCGGCAAAAAACACGGTCGGAGCCACCGCATAGGCCAGCGTGGGTGGCCGGGGCAGCGCTTTCCTGAAGGGCAGCGGGGCTGCAATCCAGAAGGGAGATGGGAAGGGGGCCGCTCCAGGACCCACGAAACTACAACTCCCAGAGGACCGAAGCGCCTTAAAGACAGAGGCCCGTTTTCTGGGACTCCGGGATCCAGGTTAATAGGTTAATGTGTAGCTTTTTTGTTTGTTTTCTCGTTTGGGTTTTTTTTTTTTTTTTTTTTTAACACCTTCTGGACGGCACCAGGAGCTTCCGCTTTCCTCTGGAGAAAAATCCACTGATGGAGGAAAAAAAAAAATCACGCTTTGCCCAAGCGGAAGCAGCTGCCATTCGATTTGCAGTTGGAAAGGTTTGCGCTGGTTTCATCACGTGGATCCTTTGGGAAGAAACTTTCCAACTCCGTAATGGGGAGGGGATCTGCGGACCTTTTGGGAAAGTTGTGAATGGCAGCATTGATTGTCATAGATGACAATTGGAAATACTCTGAGTGTCTCTCTCTAGGTTACTATGTGAAAGGAAAATAAATCTCAGGACCCCAAAGTCACTAAGTCAAAGGGAAAAGTCAAGCTGAGAACTGCATCAGGGAAACCTACCTCCCATTTTATTCTTAAACAAGATAACTACAAAGATAAAAAAGCTAGATATGGCCTGGCCCTCACAACTTGCCCACTAGGAAATTCCTTGTGTGCCCCCAAATCTGTACCCTAAAACAGTTGTGTGGAATTTCAGTGACAATGTAAATTTATAGCTTATCTTCACAGGTGCTGGGCTTTGACAGCACTGAAAGTCATCTCTCAGCTCACCTGAGACAAATGCATATCTCATTGCTTCCTCTGCCCTATGTTTATTTTTTCTTATGTAAAAATGCATATTCACTGAGCTAGATGAATGCATAAGTGACTAGTCCTCTATCCCCCTCTAACATGTGAAAGGCTTATCAAAGACTCAGAAGAATGCAGCCATTTGCCTCTTACCTACCCATGCCTTTTAAAAATTTCCTCTTTCAGGCCAGGCACGGTGGCTCGCACCTGTAGTCCCAGCCCTTTGGTGAGGCCGAGGCGGGTGGATCATGAGGTCGGGAGTTGAAGACCAGCCTGGCCAATATGGTGAAACCCCGTCTACTAAAAATACAAAAATTAGCTGAGCGTGGTGGCGCGCACCTGTAGTCCCAGCAGCTTGGGAGGCTGAGGAAGGAGAATCGCTTGAACCCGGGAGGCAGAGGTTGCAGTGAGCTGAGATTGCACCACTGCACTCCAGCCTGGGCAACACAGTGAGGCCCTGTCTAAAAAAAAAAAAAAAATTCCTCTTTCCCCAATATCTGACCTTTCCCCTTTAAATATTGAAGCCCTCAAAATCATCTTTGGAGAAAGGTACAGACCTGTCTCCCAGGTGCACACATTCTTAACTTTGGCAAAATAAACTTGTAAATTGATTGAGACCAGTATCTGGTGCTTTTTGGTTTACAACTGGAAAACTAAACTAGGCACATCCATGCAAGACAGATGCTCTATATGTTCAGTAGGGAGTGATGTTCAGGACATCATGTTAAGGGAAAAGCAGCAAGTTGTAGAGCAATATGTATGGGAAGCCCCTCAAATAAAAAATAATGTTTATGGACAGATAGTGTGTGGATACACAGGAACAGGGCTGGAAGCGAACGCATGCTAGGGAGAGACTGCTAAGCATGGGGACAAGCGGGGAGAACTTGAGCTTTATCTGTATTGTTTGAATTTTTCTTACAAGAATGTACTTTCCAAATCTGTTGTTAATAAGGAGCCTAAAGCTGGGCACAGGTGCTCACGCCTGTAATCCCAACACTTTGGGAGGCCAAGGTGGGAGGATGGCTTGAGCTTGGGAGTTTGAGACCAGCCTGGGCAACATAGCAAGACCCCGTCTCTAAAATATATATAAATTAGGGCCGGACGAAGTGGCTCATGCCTGTAATCCCAGCACTCTGGGAGGCCAAGGCAGGCAGAAAACTCGGGGTCAGGAATTCAAGATGAGCCTGGCCAATTTTTTTGTTATTGTTGTTGTGAGACAGAGTCTCACTCTGTTGCCCAGGCTGGAGTACAGTGGTGTGATCTCGGCTCACTGCAACCTCCGCCTCCCAGGTTCAAGTGATTCTCTTGCCTCAGCCTCCTGAGTAGCTGGGATTACAAGCATGTGCCACCACGCCCAGCTAATTTTTGTATTTTTAGTAGAGACGGGGTTTCACCATGTTCAGGCTGGTCTCCAACTCCTGACCTCAGGTGATCCACCCACCTCGGCCTCCCAAAGCGTTGGGAGTACAAGCGTGAGCCACCGTGCCCAGTCAGTGGCCAATTTTTTTTTTTTTTTTTTTTTTGAGATGGAGTCTCACTCTGTCTCCCAGGCTGGAGTGCAGTAGCACCATTTCGGCTCACTGCAAGCTCTGCCTCCCAGGTTCATGACATTCTCCTGCCTCAGCCTCCTGAGTAGCTGGGACTACAGGCACCCGCCACCACGCCCAGCTAGTTTTTTGTACTTTTAGTGGAGACGGGGGTTTCACCGTGTTAGCCAGGATGGTCTTGATCTCCTGACCTCATGATGCACCCACCTCGGCCTCCCAAAGTGCTGGGATTACACGCATGAGCCACAGTGCCCGGCCGCCAATGGCCAATTTTTTAAATACAAAAATTAGCCAGGCGTGGTGGCAGGAGCCTGTAATTCAGTTATTCGGCAAGCTGAGTCAGGAGAGTCATTTGAAGCCAGGAGGCGGAAATTGCACTGAGCTGAGATCGTGCCACTGCACTCCAGCCTGGGTGACAGAGCGAGATTCTGTCTCAAAAAACAAATAAAATTTAAAAAAAAATAAATTTACAAAATAATGAGGCTGAGAGGCACTGAGGTCAGTCACAATGGAGATGGACCCTGCTCTAACTCTGTGTAACCATCTATAAAGTAAGTTAATAATAGTATCAAATATCTGAGATTGTTGTGAGGGTAGGATAAATGCTTGACTCCATAGTAAATACTCAAAAAGTATTAACCATTATGATTATCGTCATTATTCCCATCCTGCTCCATTAAAGCAGGATGTTTGGTTTGTTCACCATTGTATCCTCAGGCCTTAGAACAGTGCTGAGGACATGGTAGTGAGAGGTGACAGCGTGCTGGTAGTCCTCACAGCCCTCGTTCGCTCTCCGCGCCTCCTCTGCCTGGGCTCCCGCTTTGGCGGCACTTGAGGAGCCCTTCAGCCCACCGCTGCACTGCGGGAGCCCCTTTTTGGGCTGGCCAAGGCCGGAGCCGGCTCCCTCAGCTTGCAGGGAGGTGTGGAGGGAGAGGCGTGGGTGGGAACCGGGGCTGTGCGCGGTGCTTGCGGGCCAGTACGAGTTCCGGGTGGGTGTGGGCTTGGCGGGTCCGCACTCGGAGTAGCCGGCCGACCCTACCAGCCCCGGGCAATGAGGGGCTTAACACCCCGACCAGCGGCTGCAGAGGGTGTGCTGGGTCCCCCAGCAGTGCCGGCCCACTGGCGCTGCGCTCGATTTCTCGCCCGGCTTTAACTGCCTCCCCGCGGGGCAGGGCTCCGGACCTGCAGCCCGCCATGCCTGAGCCTCCCCAGCCACGCCGTGGGCTCCTGTGCCGCCAGAGCCTCCCCGACGAGCGCCGCTCCCTGCTCCACGGCGCCCAGTCCCATCGACCACCCAAGGGCTGAGGAGTGCGGGCGCAGGGCGCAGGACTGGCAAGCAGCTCCACCATGCAGCCCCAATGCGGGATCCACTGAGTGAAGCCAGCTGGGCTCCTGAGTCTGGTGGAGACGTGGAGAACCTTTATGTCCAGCTCAGGGATTGTAAATACACCAATGGGCACTCTGTATCTAGCTCAAGGTTTGTAAACACACCAATCAGCACCCTGTGTCTAGCTCAGCATTTGTGAGTGCACCAATCCACACTCTGTATCTAGCTACTCTGGTGGGGCCTTGGAGAACCTTTGTGTCGATACTCTGTATCTAACTAATCTGGTGGGGACGTGGAGAACCTTTGTGTCTAGCTCAGGGATTGTAAACACACCAATCAGCGCCCTGTCAAAACAGACCACTCAGCTCTACCAATCAACAGGATGTGGGTGGGGCCAGATAAGAGAATAAAAGCAGGTTGCGGAGCCAGCAGCGGCAACCTGCTAGGATCCCCTGTGGTATTGGGGAGGTCTTGTTATCTCGCTCTTGGCAATAAATCTTGCTGCTGCTTACTCTTTAGGTCCCCACTCCTTTTATGAGCTGTAACGCTCACCGCAAAGGTCTACAGCTTCTAGTCTTGACGCTAGCAAGACTAGGAGCCCACCGAGAGGAACCAACAACTCCCGACGCACTACCTTAAGAGCTGTAACTCTCACCGTGAAGGTCTGCAGCTTCACTCCTGAGCCAAGGAGACCACGAACCCACCAGAAGGAAGAAACTGAACACATCCGAACGTCAGAAGGAACAAACTCCAGACGCACCACCTTAAGAGCTGTAACACTCACGGCAAGGGTCCGTGGCTTCATTCTTGAAGTTAGTGAGACCAAGAACCCACCAATTCCGGACACAGTAGGTGGTTAAAAACAATTGATTGGCCAGGTGTGGTGGCCCACACCTATAATCCCAGCACTTTAGGAGGCCGAGGCAGGAAGATCACCTGAGGTCAGGAGTTCGAGACCAGCCTGGCCAACATGGTGAAATCCTCTCTCTACTAAAAATACAAAAATTAGTTGGGCATGGTGGTGGGTGCATGTAATCCCAGCTACTCAGGAGGCTGAGGCAGGAGAATCGCTGGAAGCCGGGAGGTGGAGGTTGCAGTGAGCTGGGATTGCACCACTGCACTCCAGCCTGAGCGACAGAGCGAGAGACTTTGTTTCAAAAAAAAAACCCAATTGGTTGAATGAATGAAGAGCAACCTTCTGCTCAGCTCTCGCCACCCACCTTCTCCTCACACTGTCTGCTTCCCTCAGTCTTCTCCCACTGGAGTCATTCTCCATCTACACTTGGCCCAGGTCTCATCCTCCTTCTCCCACTTCAATGCCTGCTGTTTCTTCTGTGAACCTAGGAGGCCTCCAGGGAGGTGATGAACTGCCTCTCACTGTTGCTGTTCTCAGCAATGCAGGTCCTGGGCTCTGCAGTGAAGTGGGAAGTAGGGATGCCTGCAACTGCGGGTTTGGTGGGGGCTCAAGAAAACAGTGTGCCCCCAAGGAGCTTAGAGGCCTTATGCTCCACCCTATACCTCCTAGGGCAGTATGGTTAGTAGAGGAGAGGTAGCTTCCAGGCTGCTCTGGCATCTCCTTGCCTGAGGAGCAAAGAAACTCAAGGAAGGTTTTTAGTAAAATGAAGCCCTCAGTGCAGCAGCAGACCCAAAAATCTGTACGTGGCCTCACCATCTGGGGTACACAGAGCCATTACACACACATACACACAAACTGTTATAAAATAAAGCACAGTCGGCCAGGCATGGTGGCTCATGCCTGTAATCCCAGCACTTTGAGAGGCTGAGGCGGTAGGATCACGAGGTCAGGAGTTCGAGACCAGCCTGGCCGACACGTAAAACCCATCTCTACTAAAAATACAAAAACTTAGCAGGGCATGGTGGTGGGCATCTATAATCCCAGCTACTCAGGAGGCTGAGGCAGGAGAATTGCTTGAAACCACGTGGTGGAGGTTGCAGTGAGCCGAGATCATGCCACTGCATTCCAGCTTTGGCAACAAGAGTGAAACTCCATCTCAAAAAAATAACAATAAAATAGAGCACAGTCGGACGGGCATGGTGGCTCATGCCTGTAATCCCAGTACTTTGGGAGGCCGAGGTGGGCATATCATTTGAGGTCAGGAGTTTGAGACCAGCCTGGCCAACATGGTGAAACCCTGTCTCTACTAAAAATACAAAAATTAGCTGGGCGTGCTGGCGCGTGCCTGTAATCCCAGCCACTCAGGAGGCTGAGGCAGGAGAATTGCTTGAATCCAGGAGGCAGGAGATGCAGTGAGTCAAGATCATGCCACTACACTCCAGCCTGGGTGACACAGCGAGACTCCATCTCAAAAAATAAAAAAGAACAGAGTCTAGTGATTAAATCCAAGGATTAAACTTAGACAAATCCGCTCAGCTGCCACGACTTTCTTTTTTTTTTCTTTTTCTTTTTTTCTCTCTTTTGAGACAGGGTCTCACTCTGTTGCCCAGTTTGGAGTGCAGTGGTGCAATCACGGCTCACAGCAGCCTCCAACCCCTGGGCTCAAGTGATCCTCCCAAGTAGCTGGGACTATAGGTGTGTGCAACCACACAGGGTCTTGCCATGTTGCCAAAGCTGGTCTCGAACAGCTGGGTTCAAGCAATCCTCCTGCCGTGGCTTCCCAAAGTACTGGGATTACAGGCATGAGCCACCACACTCAGCCCTTTAAAAACAATATTTTTTTTCTTATAGCATAGAGACTGGGTCTCACTACGTTGCTCAGGCTGGGTTTTTGTTTTTTTCTTGTTGTTGTTTTTTTATTTTATTTGAGATGGAGTCTCGCTCTGTCTCCCAGGCTGCAGTGCAGTGGCCCAATCTCGGCTCACTGCAGCCTCTGCCTCCCGGGTTCAAGTGATTCTCCTGCCTCAGCCTCCTGAGGATTACAGGCACATACCACCACACTTGGCTAATTTTTTTTTTTTTTGAGACAGAGTCTCACTCTGTCGCCCAGGCTGGAGTGCGGTGGCATGATCTTGGCTCACTGCAAGCTCCGCCTCCCGGGTTCATGCCATTCTCCTGCCTCAGCCTCCCGAGTAGCTGGGACTACAAGTGCCTGCCACCACGCCTGGCTAATTTTTTGTATTTTTAGTAGAGACGGGGTTTCACCGTGTTAGCCAGGATGGTCTCGATCTCCTGACCTCATGATCCGCCCGCCTCAGCCTCCCAAAGTGCTGGGATTACAGGCATGAGCCACCGCACCTGGCCAAACACATGGCTAATTTTTGTATTTTTAGTAGAGATGGGGTTTCATCATACTGGCCAGGCTGGCCTTGAACTCCTGAACTCAGGTGATTTGTCTGCTTCACCCTCCCAAAATTCTAGGATTATAGGCATGAGCCACCACTCTTGGCCTCCAGCCTGGTCTTGAACTCCTTGGCTCAAGCGATCCTCCCACCTTGGGCTCCAAAAGTGCTGGGATTACTGGTGTGAGCCACCACACCTGGCCTCTCATCACTTTCTAACCGTGCGAGCAAGCCACTCAACCTGTTTGAGCCCAACTTCCTTATCTGTGAGATTAAAATAGAATTTCCAAATTAGGTTGTTGGGAGGGTTTCATGAGCTAATGCACATAAAGGGTTTAGCGCAGTGCCTAATACAATGTAGGCATCCAAACTCCTTATTGTTAAACAAATGACCTACTGCCAGAATGTGAGGGTCCAGGTCTGGGAGGGAGGACTTTTTGGAGAAGGTGAAATCTTCAGGCCCCTGATGAGATGTGTGGCTGTTACTGGTAGCAGAAATTCCCTCTGGGAGCCAGAACTGCCCATAGGGATATTTTAGGTTGGGTGCCTAGATGCAGAGCCTGAGACAGGAATTCTTGTGTAAGCGACTTCCTAGGGGAGTGGGGAAAGCAGGATAGGGCAGGGAAAGAAACCAAGTAAAGATGTAAGTTCACCTAAATTTTGCCTCAATCTGATTGAACAGGGAGCTCTGGAGCATAAAATGCAATCCAGGCCAGGTGCAGTGGCTCACACCTGTAATCCCAGCATTTTGGGAGGCCGAGGCAGGCGGATCATCTGAGGGCAGGAGTTCCAGATCAGTCTGGCTGATATGGAGAAACCCCATCTCTACTTAAAATACAAAAAGTAGCCGAGCATGGTGGCATGTGCCTGTAATCCCAGCTACGTGGGAGGCTGAGGCAAAAGAATGGCTTGAACCTGGAGGGTGTACGATGCAGTGAGCTGAGATATCGCTACTGCACTTCAACCTGGGTGACAGAGCCAGACTCTGTATCCCCCCACCCCGCAAAAAAGCCAATTCCTTGGCACTGGAGGAAGAAAACTAAAAAAGAAAAAAAAAGGCCGGGCATGGTGTCTCCCATCTGTAATCCCAGAATTTTGGGATTAGGTGGCACAGATTTCCAGTTACACTAGCAGTGGATAAGAATGCCCCACACTCTTGCCAAGATAGTTATCAAGCTTTTTGATTGTTGCCAATCTGGTATGTGAAAAATGATATCTCAGTGTGGTGATTTTCATCTGCATTTGTTTTATTAAGAGTGATGTGGCTAGGTACAGTGGCTCACGCCTGTAATCCAAACACTTTGGGAGGCCAAGGCGGGCGGATCACGAGGTCAGGAGTTCGAGACCAGCTTGGCCAACATGGTGAAACCCCGTGTCTACTAAAAATACAAAAATTAGCTGGGCATGGTGGCAGGCACCTGTAATCCCAGCTACTCGGGAGGCTGAGGCAGGAGAATTGCTTGAACCTGGGAGGCGGAGGTTGCAGCGAGCCTAGATCACACCACTGCACTCCAGCCTGGGCAAAAGAGCAAGATTCTGTCCAAAAAAAAAAAAAAAAAAAGAAGGAGGAAGGACAACGAGAAGGAGAGGAAAGGGAAGGAGAAGGAGAAGGGTAAGGGGAAACTTGATGCTCCCTTTGCATCCCATTGAGGTACAGAGGGAAAAAAAAAAAAAAAGAAGAGTGATGCTCTGAGAAAATACCAAGTGTTAGGCTGGGTGCGGTGGCTCACGCCTGTAATCCCAGCACTTTGGGAGGCTGAGGCAGGGGGATCACCTGAGGTCAGGAGTTCAAGACCAGCCTGACCAACATGGAGAAACCCCGTCTCTACTAAAAATGCAAAAATTAGCAGAGCATGGTGGTGCATGCCTGTAATCCCAGCTACTCGGGAGGCTAAGGCAGGATAATCGCTTGAACCCAGGAGGTGGAGGTTGCGGTGAGCTGAGATCGTGCCATTGTACTCCAGCCGGGCAATAAGAGCGAAACTCTGTCTCAAATAAATAAATAAATAAGTGTTAGTGAAGGTGTGGAGAAATTGGAAGCCTGTCCACTGTTGGTGGGAGTGGAGAATGGTGCAGCAGATACGGGAAACAGTATGGTGCTCTTCAAAAAATTAACACTAGAGTGCTCGCTTCGGCAGCACATATTCTAAAATTGGAACGATACAGAGAAGATTAGTATGACCCCTGCGCAAGGATGACACGCAAATTCATGAAGCGTTCCATACTAAAAAAAAAAAAAAAAAATTGAAGGCCGGGCGCGGTGGCTCACACCTGTAATCCCAGCACTTTGGGAGGCCGAGGTAGGTGGACCACGAGGTCTGGAGTTCAAGACCAGCCTGACCAATATGGTGAAACCCCATCTCTACTAAAAATACAAAAATTAGCCGGGTGTGGTGGCATGTGCCTGTAATCCCAGCTACTCAGGAGGCTGAGGCAGGAGAATCGCTTGAACCCGGGAGATGGAAGTTGCAGTGAGCTGAGATTGCACCATTGCACTCCAGCCTGGGCAAAAGAGCAAGACTCCATCTCAAAAACAAAACAAAACAAAAAAAACACTAGAATTACTAGATCTGGACTGGACAGGCAGGGCTTGCGAAAGGATCAAGTCTTTGGCTACAGATTTATTACATCCGTCTTTGGAAGAGGAAAAGAAAAATCATAAAAGAAATGGCTAGTTCAAAGTCCAAATTCTTATTTTATGGTTGTAAAATGTTGAGATTGTCCCAAGATTACCATAGTTTTCAGCCATGCTCAGACAGTGGTTCTTTGTGTGGGTTGTTCAACAGTATCAGCCTACAGAAGGAAAGCCCAGACTCACAGAGGGTGTTCACTTAGAGGAAAGCAACACAAATGGAGTGATCCACACCACTTCCTGAATCTGTGTTATCTCACAGAAAGCCTTATCATAAGTCTAGCAATTCTAATTCATCTACCAAGATAATGTATTCATAATTATGTTTGATTTTGCAAAGTATACAATAGTGATCTATTTTGGTGTCCATTTTCCAATAAAGATTATGAGCAAAAAAAAAAATTACTATATGATCCAGCAATTTCACTTGATCTGTTGCCCAGGCTAGCGTGCAGTGGCACAATCATGGTTCACTGCAGCCTGGACCTCCCAGACTAAATTGATCCTCCTGCTTCAGCCTCACAAATAGCAGGGACTACAGGCATGCATCACCACGCCTGATTAGTTTTTACCCAGCCAAAAAATCATTTTATTATGGAAACTTCAAATATATTCAAAGATGAAAAATTGTTATAATTAATTAACCCAGAGAAACTACTCATCCCCTCTTTTTTTTTTTTTTTTTTTTGGAGATAGAGTCTCGTTCTGTTGCCCAGGCTGGAGTGCAGTGGTACGATCTCTGCTCACTGCAACCTCTGCCTCCTGGGTTCAAGCCATTCTCCTGCCTCAGCCTCCCAAGTAGCTGGGATTACAGCCATGTGACACTATGCCCGGCTAATTTTTGTATTTTTAGTAGAGACAGGGTTTCGCCTTGTTGGCCAGGCTGGTCTCAAACTCATGACCTCAAGTGATCTGCCTGCTTCGGCCTCCCAAAGTCCTGGGATTATGGGTGTGAGCCACCATGCGTGGCCTCATCTCTTCTATAATTATCAATTTAACCAACCTTGTTGTATCTATACCTATACCTCAAACCTGGATTATTTTGAAGCAAAAATTGAGAACAAGACCCTGTCTCGAAGAAAAAAAGAAAATAGACAACACAATTGAAAGCAGGAGCTCAAAGAGATATTTGTACACTCATGTTCATAGCAGTAGTATTTAAAGTAGCCAAGAGCTACAAACAACCCATCATTGACAGATGAATGAATAAAGAAAACGTGGTATGTACATATAATAGAGTATTATCCAGCTTTACAAAGGAAGGAAATTCTGACATATGCTACAATATGGATGAACCTTGTGGACATTATGCTAAGTAGAATATGCTGGTCACAAGAGGACAAGTACTGTATGATTGCACATTTCCTATTAGCTACTTGGTACATTTTCTTTTATTTTTTGAGAGACAAGGGTCTTGCTCTGTCATGCAGGCTGGAGTGCAGTGGCACAATCCAGCTACTCGGGAAGCTGAGGCAGGCTGTCGCACAAGCTGGGGTGCAGTGGTGCGATCTTGGCTCACGGCAACCTCTGCCCCCAGGGTTGAAGTGATTCTCCTGCCTCAGCCTCCCGAGTAGCTGGGATTACAGACACCCGCCACCATGTCCGGCTAACTTATGTATTTTTAGTAGGGAGAGGGTTTCACCATGTTGGCCAGGCTGGTCTCAAACTCCTGACCTTAAGTGATCTGCCTGCCTCAGCCTTCCAAAGTGCTAGGATTACAGGCATGAGCCTCCTTGCCCAGTCAAAAAAGACATTAAAAAAAAAAAAAAAAAAAGGCCCAGAGCAGTGGCTCATGCCTGTAATCCCAGCATTTTGGGAGGCTGAGGCTGGCGGATCACAAGGTCAACAGATAGAGACCATCCTGGTCAACGAGGTGAAACCCTGTCTCTACTAAAAATACAAAAATTAGCTGGGCATGGTGGTGCGTGCCAGTAGTTCCAGCTCGGGAGGCTGAGGTGGAAGGATCCCTTGAGCCCAGGAGTTCGAGGATGCAGTGAGCCATGATCACACCACTGCACTCCAGCCTGGGTGAGACAGCAAAACCTAGTCTCTAAAAAGAAAAAAAAAAGGTGGTAAGAACAGATTTTAATTTGTAATATACTATTGCAATAGGGAAGAGGGTCCAGCGTGAACTTGGCCCAACTTTGATTTGTACAGAAGTGACTGGGAATTTAAATTTATTTTTTAGAGATGGGGTCTTGTTACGCTGCCCAGGCTGGTCTCAAACTCCTGTCCTCATGTGATCCTGCCACTTCGGCCTCTAGAGTAGCTGGGATTACAGGCACAAGCCAGTGAGTCTGGCAAGATAACTTGTGTTTTTTGTTTGTTTTGTGACAGAGTCTTGCTCTGTTGCCCAGGCTGGAGTGCAGTGGTGCGATCTCAGCTCATTGCAACCTCAGCTCATTGCAACCTCTGCCTCCCAGGTTCAAGTGATTCTCCTGCGTCAGCCGCCCAAGCAGCTGGAACTACAGGCACCCACCACTGCACCTGGCTAATTTTTTGTATTTTTTGCATTTTTTTTTTTTTTGAGACGGAGTCTCGCTCTGTCGTCCAGGCTGGAGTGCAGTGGTGTGATCTCAGCTCACTGCAAGCTCCACCTCCCGAGTTCACACCATTCTCCTGCCTCAGCCTCCTGAGTAGCTGGGACTACAGGTGCCCGCCACCAGGCCCGACTAATTTTTTTTGTATTTTTAGTAGAGACAGGGTTTCACCGTGTTAGCCAGGATGGTCTCGATCTCCTGACCTCATGATCTGCCCGCCTTGGCCTCCCAAAGTGCTGGGATTACAGGCATGAGCCACTGCGCCCGGCCCTAATTTTTTGTATTTTTAGTAGAGATGGGCTTTCAACATGTTGGCCAGGCTGGTCTCGAACTCCTGACCTCAAGTGCTCCGCCTACCTCGGCCTTCCAAAATGCTGGGATTACACGTGTGAGCCACTGTTCCTGGCCTAGTTGTGTTTTAAAGTGGATGAAGGAGTAGGGAAGGTGGCAAGCAGGGGTTCGGTAGAGTCAGGGACATGAAAAATTGCAAAGGATTGGTCAATGTACAGCTCTGTCCACTAGCTGGCAATTATCAAAGTTAGGATTCTGTCCTCCCACAAAGAGGCCTTATCCTTCAGGATGACGACATTCAAGGAATGGCTTTCAGGTCCTTGAGAAAGACACTCTTGAGTTGTAGAAGATACTTACACATCTCAAAGGATCAGATAAGGAATTCACAATTGTGAGCCCTTTTTAGTAAATGCTCTGAGAAAGTGTAGTCAGAGCCTATGATTGGGTGTCGCCTGGAACAGTAAATTCTTTCGGCAGTGGTGCGCCTTCTCAGGCAGGCACTTTAAGGTGGGTTTGGGTCATCCCAGGATGTGACCTTGAGCTGTTAGAAACTATATTACTGTTTAAGTCTCTTTTTTTTTTTGAGACGGATTCTTGCTCTGTTGTCCAGGCTGGAGTGCAGTGGTGCAATCTCTGCTCACTGCAACCTCCACCTCCTGGGTTCAAGCAATTCTCTGCCTCAGCCTCCCCAGTAGCTAGGATTACAGGCGCCTGCCACCACGCCCCGCTAATTTTTTGTATTTTCAGTAGAGACGGAGTTTCACCATCTTGGCCAGGCTGGAAGAGTTCAGGCCACCCCTGAACTCCAGACCTTGTGATCCACCCGCCTCGGCCTCCCAAAGTGCTGGGATTACAGGCATGAGCCATGGCGCCCAGCCTTCTTTTCTTTTTTATAAAGAGAGACAGGGTTTTTCCACGTTGCCTAGGCTGGTCTCAAACTCCTAAGCTCAGACAATCTACATGCCTAGGCCTCCTAAAGTGCTGCGATTACAGGCGTGAGCCACTGTGACCCGCCTCTGTAGAAGCCTTTTAATGTGGAGGGAGGAGGGTGGGTAAAATCACTTGTGTTGAGAGTCTGCCGGTGTTTTGTTTGTTTGTTTGTTTGTTTGTTTGTTTTTGAGACGGAGTCTTGCTCTGCCGGCCAGGCTGGAGTGCAGTGGCGCGACGTTGGCTCACTGAAACCTCCATCCCCCCGGATTCAAGTGATTCTCCTGCCTCAGCCTCCTGAGTAGCTGGGATTACAGGCGCCTGCCACCATGCCCGGCTAATTTTTATATTTTTAGTAGAGACGGAGTTTCACCATCTTGGCCAGGCTGGTCTTGAACTCCTGACCTCATGATCCACCTGCCTCAGCCTCCCAAAGTGCTGGGATTACAGGTGTGAGCCACCACGCCTGGCCCTTTTTTGTTTAAGACAGAGTCTCACTCTGTTGCCCAGGCTGGAGTGCAATGGCATGATCTCAGCTCACTGTAACCTCCAACTCCCAGATTCAAGCAATTCTCGTGCCTCAGCCTCCCAAGTAGCTGGGATTACAGGCACGCACTACCACACCCAGCTAATTTTTGCATTTTTGGTAGAGACAGGGTTTTGCCATGTTGGTCAGGCTGGTCTTAACTCCTGGCCTCATGTGATCCACCTGCCTCAGCCTCCCAAAGTGCTGGGGTCGTGATGACATCACTGCACTCCAGCCTGGGCGACAGTGAGACCTTGAGCAAAAACAAAGAGCGTTCCTGTGCTAAAGGGGACTAGACTGGGACCCTGCCTTTCCGGGTTTGGCTCTTCAGGGCCATTATTAATTATCCCACACAAGGGCCATCCTTGAAAGAGGATACCGGTGTGTTAGCAGCAAACACCAACAGCAGAGGTTATCAGGTTATCAAGGTAGTAACCGGCAGCATGAGCAACACCTGGAGACGGGGTAGCAATGCCAATTCTGGGGCCTGCCCTAGAGCTAAAAGAACCAGAAGCTGAGGGTGGGGGCAGCAATCTGCGTTTAAACAAGCTGGCCAAGAGGATCCCATACACACCAAAAATTCAGAACCACTTCAGCCTCACTTCAGCCTGTTGGAGGGCGAAACTGCAGTCTACCTGGAGTTTCATAAAGGTTTTGAAATAGGTGCGGAAGTTAGGGAAAGGATGGGCTAATAAAAGACATGGCAAATATTTAAAATGCATTCACTTTACCCTCAACAGCAGGAAGCTACGGGCATCTAAGAGAGAGCCTGCAAGGGGGAGATGCCCCGGTGGATGAGGAACCAATAGACACTCTGCCCCCTTTTCCTCTTTTCCTAGGTGGGGAACACAAAGTCCAGCGAGGCCAAACCCCCGCTCGCACCGCTGATGGGGTCTCTCTCCCCTCAGGCCAGGGCGCAGCGGCCCCACCGCAGCTCGGGCTTTCAGAGCCCGGGCGTGAAGCCAAGCTGGCCTCAGGTCGCGGCTCTTTGAGAGCGCGAGTGGGAACAGTGCCCTCCGGCCGGGCTCGTCAGCAGCTGGCCACAGCAGCATCTGAGAGGCGTCCTCGGCTAGTGTGCACCTCCCTAGGAACCCACGTATCCAACCCGGCTCGGGGCCGTCTGCTCCAGCCGCTGGAGCCCGGCCTTCTGAGAATGAAGACTTCCCATCCCCCTCCGTCTCCCCTCCTGCACGGCGGACCCCCTGAGCCCTAGCGAAACTACAAAGCCCACAATCCCTGGGATGCGCGCGCTGTCTTCTGGGAGATGTAGTCCTGGATGCGGGGCGCCCCTAGCGACCCAGCGCCCGCTGGACTCCATATCCCAGCATGCCGGCGCGCGTGCGGGGGGCGGAGGGAGGGAGAGACGGGGAGGATGTGAATGGGGTGGGGGCAGTCGCCCCTGTCCCCCACCCTTCCCTTCAAGCCGGGCAGGGGTGGGGGGAGGGGCCGGGCTGAGGCGGCGGCGGCGGCGGCGCTCGGGGAGGGTTGGGCCAGGCAAGGGCGGGACTAGCCCACGGCGGGCGGACGAGAGAGCTGCGAGCTAACGGGTCCGGACGACGGCGGCGGCGGCGGCGGCGGCGGCGACGGCTTTCTGCGCGGGCGGCGGCGGCGGCCGGAGCGGCGAGCATGGCCCGCGCGGCGCCGGGCGCTGACTGAGGTGCGCGGGTGGGATGAGGGCGGGCGGGATGCAGAGCGCCCCGGGCCCCCGGCTGCCCAGACCTCCCCTGCGCGGGCAGCTGGCGCGGCCCAGCGGCCCAGACCGGCCCGTTCCAGCCCGGCAACTTCCCCCGGGTCGGGGCGCCGGGCTCCCTCGTGTGGGCGGGGGTCCGCGCGCGTTGGCCTCATTCCGGATCCCCGCCTTCTGCTTTGCACGTCCAGCCGCTCCCAGCCTCCCAGGGCTCCCGCTCCGCTCCTTTGCCGGCAGCCCCCAACCCCAACCCCAGCCCCAGCCCCAGCCCTCGGAAGAGCTCTCTGCCCTGGTCCCGACTTCCAGTCCACTCCCTAGTTCGTACCGCTAACCCTGGGTCTCCCGGCCTCTGCTCCACCTGGGAGACCCCGGCCCCACTCTTGGCCAGAGCCTGTCTGCCCCATCAGCTCCTCTTTCCTCTCTCCCCTGTGATCTTTCCCCTACCTGGCACTGCCCCCTAACCATCCTCAGTGGCCCAGTTCTCACGGCTCGACCTTCCTACTTTGGGGAAACTGAGGCACGGCTGAAGCCAGAAACTTGGCCAAAGCGCCAGTCCCGTGGAGGCTGGTCTGAACCTCGTCTCTCCTCTCTCCTGTTCCTTCTCTGCCTTGGAATGGAAGTCATTTCTTACCCCCAGTCATTCCCCTGTGACTGGACCAAACTTCCCACCCCCTGCTACAGCTCTGGGCTGAGCTCACTTGAGTCTCCCCTTAGCTTCCTGCCGCTCCTGTTGGCCTTCCCTCCTTCGCATAACCCACTCCGGGTTCCCTCTGCCTGTAGAGGAGTCAGCACCAATTGCTTGCTTGCTCAAGTTAGCCTTTCGATTTATCTTTTGCCAACTGCATCCATCTCCCGTCTCCCATCTTCCCTCTTGCTTTACAGCTGCGTAAAGGAGCGGAGGATTGAGTCAAAGGTGGTGTTGGAGAAAGGGGCTAGAGAGGTGCTGGGGGCAGGCAGGGACCTGGGGCCTCTTTTCAGTCAAAGCCTCCGGGGGAGTACAGGGCACTCTGGGACCTCTGGCCAGTAACACACTCCCGCCTCGTCTTTGGGACGGATGTTTGGAAGCTGGTTGGCCACCCCTTCCTTGCCTGGTGGGCTCTGAAGCCCTTCTCAGGTGGAAGGTATCGCTGGTTTTTAGAGAGATGGTGGCATAAGAGGAGTCTGGGAGACCACACCCCTAAGCTTCATCTTGCTTCTGCTGCTAACTTTGGAGGGGTTGCCCTTTCAGGGAGGGATGCCTGCTGGCTGCCCTGATCTCTCTGTGGAGGAAGGCACAGAGTATGTGGGCGGTGATCTCAAGTTTAGTCGTGGGACTCAGGATTTAGAGGGAACGAGGGCTCAGAGAGGTGGCACAGATTTGCCTGTATTATTCAGGTTTTTTGTTTTGTCCTCTTCAGATTTTTTTTTTTTTGCGGGGGGGGCAGAGGGGGATAGTCATCCATTCTACCCCAATCCCCAGTTTCCCAGTGGGTTGGGTGGAGGAAAGGAGGGACAGGAGGCTCTAGGAGTTATGTGGGTTCCTGAAGGAGCAATCTTGATCTGAACCAGATGGTTCACTGCTTCAGCAACCCCCTTCCCAGCCCTCCCCCTTGGCTGTGAATTGGATGCTTTTAACCTTGTAACTTGAGAATGGAGGAAGGGAGGCCAGGGGGCCAACTGTCTGTGTGGGTGTTTATGTCTGCCTCTGCACCCTTGCTTGCAAGTCTGGCAGGGGCCTGTGGGAGTGACCCTGCCTGGGAGCGCATTGTTGTGATGTGCTGTGGCACGCTGATGGCTCCTGGGAACTTTTGGAGTGCAAATCCCAGATAAAGCCAAGCTTCTGAGAGCCACTGGCTATGGCCTCAGGGGAGCATTTCTACTCCGGCCAAGCCTCAGGGTAAGGACCACTCTTCTCGAGAAGGCACCTGGGATTAAGGAGTCTGCAATACCAGGATTGGGGATTTGGGGAGGCTTGGTTTTTCCATGTCTTTTCATGGCAAAAGAAGACCTGAGGGGTAGGGCCTGGGGAGAGGGGTGGGAAATGGATTATTTTGCGTTGTCCTATACCACATCCTGCCTTATTTTGGCCATATTTGTATACTTCATTTTGGCTCTCATTAGACTGTGGATGCTCTTCAAATGTGTCCTCATTTTCTGAAATACCACCACCTGGCTTGGTCCTTAGCACCTAGTGGGTGTTCAGTAAATGAATTACAGCGGAAGGTCTCATGGTTACAGGTTTAGGGAAGGATTCTTCACATTTGACTGAGAGTCATAGTCTCCTGGAGAGCTGGTTAAGGCACAGATTGTGTGTGTGTGAGGGGACTCCAGAGTTTTATGGTTTAATCTTGGTGGAGCCTATATTTTGCATCTCTCTCCAGCTCCCTAGGGCTAACACTTTGAGAACCACTGGTTTGGGGTCATCACAATTTCTTGAGAGATTAATCCAAGCAGATGCGAAGTCTTTTTTTTTTTTTTTTTCTTTTTTTGAGACGAAGTCTCACTCTGTTGCCCAGGCTGGAGTGCAGTGGCATGATCTCGGCTCACTGCAGCCTCTGCCTCCAGGGTTCAAGCAATTCTCTTGTCTCGGCCTTGTTGGCCACCCCTTCCTGGGGTGACAGGAACCTAGGATTACAGGCATACGCCACGACACCCCGCTACTTTTTGTATTTTTAGTAGAGACGGGGTTTCACCATGTTTGCCAGACTGGTTTCGAACTCCTGACCTCAGGTGATCCGCCCGCCTTGGCCTCCCAAAGTGCTGGGATTACAGGCGTGAGTCACCGCTCCTGGCCAGATGTCTTTTTTTTTTTTTGAGATAGAGTCTTGCTCTGTCACCCAGGCTGGAGTGCAGTGGTGTGATCTCAGCTCACTGCAACCTCCGCCTCCCAGGTTCAGGCTATTCTCCTGCCTCAGCCTCCCAAGTAGCTGGGATTATAGGTATCTGCCACCATGCCCGGCTGATTTTTGTATTTGTAGTAGAGATGGGGTTTCTTCATGTTGGCCAGGCTGGTCTCGAACTCCTGACCTCAGGTGCTCCGCCCGCCTCAGCTTCCCACTGTTGGGATTAGAGGCGTGAGCTACTCCGCCCAGCTAGATGTAGTCTTTTTTATTTTATTTTATTTTATTTTATTTTATTTTATTTTGAGACGAGGTTTCCCTCTTGTTGCCCAGGCTGGAGTGCAATGGCGAGATCTCGGCTCACTGCAACCTCTGCCTCCCAGGTTCAAGCGATTCTCCTGTCTCAGCCTCTGGAATAGCTGGGATTACAGGCATGCACCACCATGCCCGGCTAATTTTTGTATTTTTTTAAAATTTATTTTATTTTTTATTTTATTTTTTGAGATAGAGTTTCACTCTTGTTGCCCAGGCTGGAATGCAATGGCACGATGTCGGCTCACCGCAACCTCCACCTCCCGGGTTCAAGTAATTCTCCTGACTCAGCCTCCCAAGTAGCTGGGATTACAGGCATGCGCCACCACGCCCATCTAATTTTTTTGTATTTTTAGTAGAGATGGAGTTTCTCCATGTTGGTCAGGCTGGTCTCAAACTCCTGACCTCAGGTGATCCGCCCGCTGGAGCCTCCGAAAGTGCTGGGATTACAGGCGTGAACCACTGCGCCCAGCCAGCTAGATGTAAAGTCTTAAGAGGGACTTTCTTCCACCTTACTTCCCCACCAGGCTGTTCTGGCAGCTGTACTGGTTTGGCTTTTCTTTCATTCTGATGTTGCCCAGGATTGGTAATGACTGGGGGGACACTGCCCCACGGTTATTTGAAGCAAGGCCCCACAACCAAGCAGGAAATTTAGGAGCCATGGCTTTGGAAAAGGGTGGCTGTGTGAAGATATCGAAGCAAATTGCTGAACCGGGCCCTCGTCTGGCCTGTGCCTGTTTCCCCAACCAAGTGGGTTGGGGTGCCTGCCAAGTAAAGTCCTGCCATGGCTGCACACTGGACAGGATACCTGGGAGTCTTTGAAATTTAGAAATGCAGGAGGCATCACTTACATTGTGCTTTGCAAAGCATTTTCCAACTGTTGTTTTACAGGTCAGTGGAACATTTATAAGGCAGATACAGACCCAGGTAGGGTTACTGAGGAACCCAGAGATACACTGTGGGTCACACAGTGGCCCTGGGACTCCTGATTCCAGTGCCAACGGAGTGGCTGCTAAACCAGTTGCTGCTAATAGCCTGAATTATGGCTGCTGTTCATTGAGTGCTTGCTGCCAGCCAGGCATGGTGCTAGATGCTCTCAGGTGTTAGTGAATCCTCACAGCAGCACTGCAAGGTGGGTGTTGTTGCCGCTGCTTTGTAGATGAAGAACTGAGACTTACAGAACTTACCAGATGTGCCCAAACAGACAGCAGGAGGATCTGGGGTTGAAACTCATGTCTTTCTGATGCACAGCCCCTGCTCTTAGTTCCTGCTCCTTGATGTGCTCAACAAACCTTAATTGTCCTTTGGGGTTGTCTGCCCCCAAAAGTCTGAATTTTTTTTTTTTTGTTTTTGAGATGGAGTCTCGTTCTGTTGCCAGGCTGGAGTACAGTGGTGTGATCTCGGCTCACTGCAACCTCTGACTCCTGGGTTCAAGCGACTCTCATGCCTCAGCCTCCCGAGTAGCTGGGATTACAGGCACGCACCACCACAGCCAGCTAATTTTTGTATTGTTACTAGAGACGGGGTTTTGCCATGTTGGCCAGGCTGGTCTCGAACTCCTGACCTCGTGATCCGCCTGCCTCGGCCTCCCAAACTGCTGGGACTATAGGTGTGAGACACTGTGCCTGGCCAAGTCTGAGTCTTTTTGAGCTGAGAACTGTGCTGAGTGTTGTGGAGGAGACAGTAATGTCCAAGTTGCTGTTCCTGGGAGGGGGATAAGACGAGTCCACCAATAGATCTACAGTGGAAATGTGGCCAGTTAAAGGAGGTCGAAGTCATCCCCATAGGGAGCTCAGAAAAGGCATTTGGGATGGGCCTCTAAGGGTAGGTTTCCAAGCAGTGCCTGTGGGCTGGAGGGGGTGTGCAGGCCAACAGGTACAAAGAAAGGCTATCACAAGGCACATTTAGGGAGTTGTCCCTTTTTTCTAGAGCATAGGGGATTTATTTAGAAAGTAGTAAGGAATCCTATTTGGTTGCAAGCAGCAACTTGGCTGCCTTTGGCAGGAAAGCATTTCCTTGGAAAGCTGTGGGAACTATAAAATCAGAGTGATGACTCAGGACCCAGGTCCCCTCCAGGGTCTTGGAGTGGGTGCAGCAGGAACCAAAGGCCAGTCTCTTCAGGGAACCGCTGTTGCCAGGATGCATCTGCTCCAGCTGTGCTCACTCATTTTGTCATCACTGCTTGGGATTCATATCTGAGGGAGGAAGTGTCTGGTTGGCCCAGCCTGGGCCGTGTTCCCTTGTTCCCTTCCTTGGCCAGGGAAGGGCTGGTGGCATGTTGGGCAGTTCCCTCGCAACCCTGCATCCAAAAGCAAAACTCTCCAGAAGGAGAGAAAATACACACTGCAAAAAATCTGTCCAGACAGGTGCTGGATAAGGACTTGAACTGACAGGTGGTGAAGCAGGGGGCTTTAGTCTGACTAGTTTCTGAGCAGACCGAGGGCAAACTGGCAGCAGGGTATGGCTGGGTCATAAGGGGACAGGGAGAGGAGGGAGGGAGGAGATGGAGAACTAGATAGAGTCCAATTGAGGTATGCAGGCCGGCACTTGGCAGTAGAAGTGGAAAAGAGGGGACGGAGTCTAGAGAGCTTGCAAAAGTAGCTGTCTTCAGAGCAGACACTGATGGGCTGGGGCTTGGAGTTTCAGTGCCTGGTGATGAGAGCTGGTTCCTTTACTGAAATGGGGCAGTCAGGAGGAGGAAGAGTTTAGGAGAAGGTGATGTGGCCTCGCTTTGGAGGAGCTGTGTGCTTATGCTGACCGCACACCCGGAATCCTGGTGAGCTTCCTGAGGTTGGGAGCCTTGCCCTGAGGCGGTGGGGCCGCCGAGCCCCAGAGGCTCTCTATGTGGTGGACACAGCTGGGGCTCTCTGCCAGCTGGGTGCTTTTGCATCTCTTCTGTTTCCACATGCAGCCCGGGATGGGCTTCTCCTCCTTCCCCTTCTGTGCTTTCAGTTCCTGTGTCCCAGCTTCCGTCCCACACACCTGAGTCCTTACCAACTAAAGGGCCTGGCCCTGCTTTCTGAGACCGAGTTTTCCTTCCTCTCTGCTCAGAGTGCTTGTTAATGATAAGTCCTCATTCAGCTATTAGGGTAGACATCTCCAAGTGACATGTCGCAAGAAGGGGGGTCTGAACTTTGCCTGCTATCTGGGGGAAATCAGGCTTTTTCCTCCAGTTATGCCATGCTCATCAGGGACCCCTGCCTATGTCCCTAACCAGCCATTTTAGCGTACTTCTTGTTGCTATTTATAAATCATTGTTGTAGTTACAACATATTGTCAGGCTTCCATGTTGCCGTTGTGGACCTTGTAGGGTTCCAGGGCACAGGCTGGGCTTTGGGCAATCCTAGCTTTCTAGCTGAGCCCTGGTGGTTTCCTGCTGCAGAAATGGGTGGGAGGGAGGGAACAGAGTTGTCTTGGGTGGAGGCAGGAGGAGCTATGCTGAAGGGTGCCTTATCCCTGCAGATTCTTAGAGCAGGTCATCTTCCTGGAGTGAAGAGGACTTTCCCTCAATTCAAATATGTTTGCTGTTTTACCAACTATTAATGCAGTGGATACTACCATGTACAATAAGGTGAACAAGGGCCAAGGTAAATCTAGAGGAAAAAATGTAATTTTTAAAAATTTTACCAATCATGCTAAATGGGGCCTCGCTGTGTCACCCAGGCTGGAATACAGTGGTGCTGTCATAGTTCACTGCAGCCTTGAACTCTTGGGCTCAAGTGGTCCTTCCACCTCAGCTTCCTGAGTAGCTGCAGCAACTACAGGTGTACACTACTTTGTGCCCAGCTAAGTTAAAAAAAAATATATATATATATATTTTTTTTAAGACGGAGTCTCGCTCTGTTGCCCAGGCTGGAGTGCAGTGGCGCCATCTCGGCTCACTGCAAGCTCTGCCTCCTGGGTTCATGCCATTCTCCTGCCTCAGCCTCCCGAGTAGCTGGGACTACAGGCACCCGCCACCACGCCTGGCTAATTTTCTTGTATTTTTAGTAGAGACGGGGTTTCACTGTATTAGCCAGGATGGTCTCGATCTCATGACCTCGTGATCTGCCCGCCTCGGCCTCCCAAAGTGCTGGGATTACAGAGGTGAGCCACTGCACCTGGCCAATTTTTTTTTTTTTTTTTAAAGAGATGGGAGTTTTGCTGTGTTTCCCAGGCTGGTCTTGAACTCCTGGCTTCAAGTGATCCTCCCACCTGGCTAAATTTTATTTGCATGTTGGTGATAATTAACACAACACACATAGTTCTGGTATCAGATGTTGAAAACAACCCAGCTTCTTCTTTCTGATGCTATTGGTTTCTAGGTGAAGGGGCCCGTCCTCCTGGGAGGTGGCATTGCGGGGCCCAGGGGCAGAGAGGGGACCCTGAGGTGTTGCGGCATGACCCAAGGACCTGCTCTGTCTTTTCTCTCTTGACTGAGCAGTCCTAGCCCTGCGGGCAGGCAGCAGCCCCCCAGCCTCAGCAGGTCAGCAGCCTTTGGAGGGAGAAAATTGGCAACAAATGTTAATAGCTAATTGGTCTACAGGGAACTACTTTGGTGTGGAAAAATCAACAAGATATTTGTGTGGCTAAAGGGAACTTAGAGGGACTAGGGCTGACAGTGAAGAGGGGAAGATGAGGAGAGGCACACGTCAGGAGATTGCCCCGCCCTGCCACCCCCACCTCTCCACCCCCTGCTGCCTGCCTCCCCCACGCCCCCTCCTTCCTGTCTTCTTTGCAGGCTTCCTTTTTGTTTGCAAGGGACATTAGTAGAATATGGAATCTCCCCTGCCCTGTAAGTCAGGTTTCCCCAACCTTTGTTCCTACCCAAGTTCAGTTAAACACAAAGCACCAGCGATTTGATGCAGGCAGTGAATTGGAACCTGAGTTTCAGGGGGAAGTGAAAGTTTCTGTGGGCCTGTGTGGAGTCCCTAGGCTACACAAGAAAAGATGGCAGCAACCAAAGGGAATGAGGCTGTGTGGGAAAGTAAAGGGAGAGGAGAGAACCCCGGCCTCCTCGGTTCCCACCTCTCTTGGGTGCTCTAGGGAGCAGTGTGAGTCCTGGGTTCGGGTTGCCAGACCACAAGGGAGTTTCTGGGGCCTGGCCCTCTCTCTGCTCCTTCCTGTCCCAAAGGGCTTAGTATTTCCCTGGATCCAGGCCTGTTTAGTGTTTGGCTGGTTTCTGGGGCCTCCAGCATGGCTCAGGGGAGACCCCAGGTCCATGGGTAGGAGGAGATGGTGAGGAGAGGAATGGGGATCCCATTCAGGCTCCCCTCGTGAAGGGGGCCAACACTGGTACTTCCTTAGACGGGAAGAGGCTGTGGCATGGGAAGCAGGTCAATAGTTTGTGTCAAGGAGGTGCAGCCCAAGATCACAGTGGTGGCTGTTTGATGAAGGATTTTCCTCAGTGCCTGAAAAGCAATTTACTCTTGTCCTTAAAGCAACAGTGGGTAGGCTTCTAGAATGAGTGTGAGTTTTCATCTCAAGTGGCAGTGCCCAGCTGTCTGCATACCTCAGCCCCTTCAGACCTGGCTGAGGTATTTTAGAGGGCATTGTCTTCCACCCATGCTGCCAGTCCTGGCAGTTCCTGCCCAGCCTGGATCCCTGGGCATACCCTGCCACTAATGCTGTGCAGACAAAGTGAGGCCTGCTGGCCCTCTGTTGGCAGCCCAGAGGCCCAGGTGGAGGCCTGGGCTGGCCGAGGGCCCAGGAGCATCAGGGCAGGTCTGTTTGGCTGTCCTCAAGGGAAAGCAGCTTGTTATTCTCAGGGGGCATGAGGGTGCAGCTGATTTTCACAGTCTAGGGCTTGGTCTGGTTGAATGCATATAGGATTCTTGCTGCCTTAGCTACCCACAGGGTTTTGGTGCTGTGTGACCCGGGGCAAGTCATTACCCCTCTCTAAGCCTGGGAGGCCAAGGCGGGCAGATCACCTGAGGTCAGGAGTTCAAGACCAGCCTGGCCAATATGGCAAAACCCTATCTCTACTAACAATACAAAAAATTAGCCGGGTGTGGTGGAGGGCGCCTGTAATCCCAGCTACTGGGGAGGCTGAGGCAGGAGAATCACTTGAACCTGGGAGGTGGAGGTTACAGTGAGCCGTGATCACCCCATTTCACTCCAGCCTGGGCAATAAGAGCGAAACTCTGTCTCAAAAAAAAAAAAAAAAAAAAGAATTTAAAGCCCTGCTCAGGGATTCACTCTTTTTTTTTTTTTTTTTTTTGAGACAGAGTCTTGCTCTGTTGCCCAGGCTGGAGTGCAGTGGCGCGATCTCGGCTCACTGCAAGCTCCGCCTCCCGGGTTCATGCCATTCTCCTGCCTCAGCCTGCTAGCTGGGACTACAGGCATCTGCCACTACGCCCGGCTAATTTTTTGTATTTTTAGTAGAGACGGTGTTTCACCGTGTTAGCCAGGATGGTCTCGATCTCCTGACCTCGTGATCTGCCCACCTCAGCCTCCCAAAGTGCTGGGATTACAGGCTTGAGCCACCTTACCCGGCCTCAGGGATTCATTCTTCAGCCATCTGGTCAACCTGATTGACAGAAGCCCGCCACAGCCTGAGTGGGGAGGTAGTACTGGGGGCCCAGGAGGCCATCATAAGGGCCAGATGTCTGTGGGAATTGGCTTGAACTTTCTCCTAACCTGTTTGGATGCGTTAAGCAGCAGCCAGCCTGCTCTGGCATCTCCCTGGACAACTCAGGCTCCTGCAGCTGAGGGGGCTGTGCTCAGTTCCCCTGCATCCAGTAGTTCCTCACCCCCACTTCCAACTCCTGCTCTGTCCTGGATTCAGGCAGAAAACTCCATCTGGTCTCTTTCCTCCCTTCTTACTCTGGCCACCATTTAGGCCCTGGGGTGACTGTTAATAGGATTCCCATTTTTTTATTTGCCAAGTTCTCCCCCACCCTTTTACATCCTGTGCTCTGCTCTAGCCAGGTTTTTCCCCAAAGCCAGGGTGGGAGGTGGAATCAGACTGATCTGGGAGGCGCTGGGTCAGCCGCACAGCCACGTGGCAGATCTGTGAGGAGTTGAGAACCCGCTTGGAAGGGGCTGGGTAGGATCTCACTGTAGAGAAGAGGAGGAAGGTAGTGAGGAAAAGGCCACACATACCAAGATACAAAGGCCTGAACTGAGAAGGCAGGGGACGTGTGGGGACCTTGAGAAGTCCAGTTTGAGCAGAGCATAAGGTTTCCTGGATTGTGTCCAAGAGGGAGGGATAGGATAGAGGGGTCTGGGGAGAGATGGGCCCCAAGCCCCACCCTAGCAGGGAGGAAGGGGCAGGCTTTCTGGCAGCCTCTGGCTGTCCTGGGCTGGTCACAAAGAATTGTGCTTACAGGAAGCGGGGGAGGGGTTGTTAATGGCAGTTTGTTCACAGGCTGCAAGGCTGCCAAAGGTCAGTCTGATAAGAGGGAAGAGATAGACTCCTTGAGTTTTGTAATCCCAGATAGCTGCCTTCTCTTAGCTGGCCCCACAGATACTGACAGTTGAGTTGGTGCTGCTGCCGCTCTGTCACCTCCTCCTGAAATACACAGCCCCTGGCTTCGGCCCAGCTGGGTTTCCCCTGCCTGGCCACCAGCTCCCTTTCCCATCTGCGGTCAGCTGTGCACTGGGGGAGGGGACAAACCTGGCAAGACTGAGCTCATTCTGAGCCTGACTCAGGAGTTTGAAGCCTCCCCAGGAGTGGTGCCAGGGCTGTGGACAGAGCAGTGACTTCCAGACCTTTCCGTTCCATTTTGGTGTCAGGGTTATCCTGCAGCCCAGCCAGCCAGACCTGGGGCCTTTGGGGAGTTCCGCCTTTACCCCAGAGCATTGGGAGGTCTGGCTGTTGTGATGAGAGGAATTAGAGATGGGGATCTAATGAGATTTGCTTATGTGAAGACCACTTTGGCTACCCTATGAAGAAGGAGTTGAAGGGGGTCCGTTTAGTAGATCTGGGGCTTAAGTGGTTAGGACTGCTGGAGGTGAAGAATGACATTTCCTTGGATGGAGTGATGGTTGTAGACAGAGCGAGAAATAGATCTGAGAGACATTTCAGTGGTAAAAATTAGTTGAGATTTGTAATAGATTGGCTGTGAGAGGTTGAGGAAGGAGGGCTCACATATGACTCTTACATTTCAGGCTTAGATGGATGGGGGTTCCTTTCCCAGAAATTGGGAATACAGAAAGAATACTGGGTTTGGCCAGGCGCAGTGGCTCACGCCTGTAATCCCAGCACTTTGGGAGGCTGAGGCGGGCGGATCACGAGGTCAGGAGATCGAGACCATCCTGGCTAACACGGTGAAACCCCATCTCTACTAAAAATACAAAAATTAGCCAGGCATGGTGGCGGGGGCCTGTAGTCCCAGCTACTTGGGAGGCTGAGGCAGGAGAATGGCTTGAACCCAGGAGGTGGAGGTTGCAGTGAGCCGAGATCGCACCACTGCACTCCAGCCTGGGCGACAGAGTGAGATTCAGTCTCAAAAAAAAAAAAAAAAAAGAAGACTGGGTTTGAGGGGCTTGAGGGGCTTGGATTATGCATGGGTTTGGTTTGGGGCAAGTTGAGTTTGAGATACTTTTTGGATACCTCTACTAAGGTATACTGTCTAAAGGATAGCATCCAGAAATTAGTGGGATAGATGGGTCTGGTGTTCAGGGGCGTGACTGTCACCATTTGAAAAGCCAGAGATGCTCAGGTATGGTGGCTTGTGTCTGTAATCTCAGCACTTTGGGATGCTGAGGTAAGAGGATTGCCTAAGCCCAGGAGTTCGAGACCAGCCTGGGAAACATAGGGAGACCATGTCGGTAAAAAGTATTTTAAAAAGTAGCTGGGAATGGTGGTACATACCTGTGGTCCCGGCTACTCGGGAGGCTGAGGTGGGAGGATTGCTGGAGCCTGGGAGGTCAAGACTGCAGTGAACCATTTTTGCGCCACTGCACTCCAGCCTGAGCGACAGAGCGAGACCCTTTGTCAAAAAAGAAAGAGAGAAAATCCAGAGATAATTCTTAAAGGTTGAAATACACTTTTGGGCCAGGCGCGGTGGCTCACGCCTATAATTCCAACACTTTGGGAGGCCGAGGTGGGTGGATCACCTGAGGTTGGGAGTTCAAGACCAGCCTGACCAACATGGAGAAACCCCGTCTCTACTAAAAATACAAAATTAGCCGGGATGGTGGTGCATGCCTGTAATCCCAGCTACTCAGGAGGCTGAGGCAGGAGAATCGCTTGAACCCGGGAGGCAGAGGTTGTGGTGAGCCGAGATTGCGCCATTGCACTCCAGTCTAGGCAACAAGAGTGAAACTCTGTCTCAAAAAAAAAAAAAGAAAAACACTTCTGAGGGCCGGGTGTGGTGGCTCACACCTGTAATCCCAGCACTTTGGGAGGCCGAGGCAGGCGGATTGCCTGAGGTCAGGAGTTCAAGACCAGCCTGGCCAATCTGGTGAAACCCCGTGTCTACGAAAAATATAAAGAATTAGCTGGGTGTGGTGGCATTCACCTCACCTGTGGTCCCAGCTACTCGGGAGGCTGAGGCAGGAGAATCGCTTGAACCTGGGAGGCGGAGGTTGCAGTGAGCCGAGATCGCGCCACTGCACTCCAGCCTGGGCGACAGAGTGAGATTCAGTCTCAAAAACAAAAAAAAAAAAAAAAAAAAAAAAGGCTTTGGCCCCCATAATGCATTGCAAGATGAGCAATGGAACGTAGGATCCTAACTTCCTGTTACGTTCTATATTGACGGTCATGTTCTTTTTTCCTGAGGACTTCAGCTGGTTCAAGGTATGGCTAGACAGCAAAAGGCATGGCACCCTCCCCTGCTGAGGCTTCCCTGTGGTTGGGGGACTCTGATGGTGGGCAGTGTTTACTCCAGGCCACCCCAGAAGGCCATGCAGTCAGGGCCTCCCTCACCATCCGCACGTCTGGGCAGTTCCCTGGCTGGAGAAGGACTTCAGTCCTGGCCAGAATTGAGCCACTGCCAGGAATCCCTGAACGTCAGTACCCGGACCACTTCTGCCCTTGTGGGCCTCTGAGCTGGGTCGATTTATCAAGGGTAGGGATTTTAGAGGCAGGTTCAGGGCAGCCCTTCTGCATCAGATGTCAAGTAAGTAGTTTTTTTTTTTGAGACAGAGTTTCGCTCTTGTTACCCACCCAGGCTGGAGTGAATGGAGCGGTCTCGGTTCACTGCAGCTTCCACCTCTCGGGTTCAAGCGATTCTCCTGTGTCAGCTTCCCGAGTAGCTGGATTACCATTTTACATTCTAACGTTCAATTTTTAACAAGGTAAATTAACAAATGGCAGTAGAACTATGGCAAAGCATGGTCTCCATGGGTCAAAATGGTACCTGGCACTACCTCAATATATCACTGTTTTTTTTTTGTCCTGAGACGGAGTCTCACTCTGTCACCCAGGCTGGAGTGCAGTGGCACGATCTCAGCTCACTGCAACCTCTGCCTCCTGGGTTCAAGCAATTCTCCTGCCTCAGCCTCCTGAGTAGCTGGAACTACAGGCGCACATCACCACGCCCAGCTAATTTTTGTATCTTTATCAGAGACAGGCTTTCACCATGGTGACCAGGCTGATCTTGAACTCCTGACCTCAGGTGATCTGTCCACCTCGGCCTCCTAAAGTGCTGGAATTACAGACGTGAGCTGCTGCGCCTGGCCTATCACTTTTTTTTTATGTTGCCCAGGCTGTACTTGAACTCTTGGGTTCAAGCAATCCTTCCACCTCAGCTTCCTAAGCAGTGGGGACTACAGGCGTGCATCACCATGCCCAGCTCAATACAAGACATCTTTATCATTAACAACAGGTCTTTGGGGAACCATCTCTCCCCAGCTGCCATCTCTGTGCCCTGTAACCCAGGCTTGGCCAATAAGGGCACCAAATGCACCCAGCCACAGTGCCTGGTCCAGGTTTGGACACAGACTCCATATCAGAGTGAACCCAGGACTCCAGCAGGCATCTTGAAAAGAGATGCTGAGACGAAGGAGGCCTGTGCCACGAGCAGGCACCTTCCATCATGTGGGAACCAAGAGTGGCATCATTTTCCCTGCATGTGGCCAGTCATACCCACAGGCATCTGAGTTAAAGGTTTCCCTTACATCAAAGGGCACTTCAAATTGGATTTTTAGCCACTGTAATTAAAGAAGTTCAAATGATACAGTCTTACACCATGTGCAACCATTTTCCATTTCATTGGCAAGAACTTTATTATTTATTTATTTATTTATTTAATTTTTTTGAGACAGAGTTTTGCTCTTATTGTCCAGGCTGGAGTGCCATGGCACAATCTCGGCTCACCGCGACCTCCACCTCCCGGGTTCAAGCAATTCTCCTGTCTCAGCCTCCCGAGTAGCTGGGATTACAGGCATGCACCACCACGCCTGGCTAATTTTGTATTTTTAGTAGAGACGGGGTTTCTCCATGTTGGTCAGGCTGGTCTCGAACTCCCAACCTCAGGTGATCCGCCTGCCTCGGCCTCCCAAAGTGCTGGGATTATAGGCATTAGCCATTGTGCCCAGCCAAGAACCTTATAAAGCTACTTACTTGGCAGGGCGCAGTGGCTCACACCTGTAATCCCAGCACTTTGGGAGGCCGAGGCAGGTGGATCACCTGAGGTCGGGAGTTCGAGACCAGTCTGACCAACATGGAGAAACCCCGTCTCTACTAAAAGTACAAAAAAAAAAAAATTAGCTGGGCGTCATGGCGCATGCCTGTGATCCCAGCTACTCAGGAGGCTGAGGCAGGAGAATGGCTTTTTTTGTTTTGTTTTGTTTTGTTTTTTTGAGACGAAGTCTCACTCTGTCACCCAGGCTGGAGTGCAGTGGCACGATCTTGGCTCACTGCCAGCTCTGCCTCCCGAGTTCATGCCATTTTCCCGCCTCAGCCTCCTGAGTAGCTGGGACTACAGGCGCTTGCCACCACGCCCGGCTAATTTTTTGTACTTTTAGTAGAGACGGGGTTTCACTGTGGTCTCTGTCTCCTGACCTCGTGATCTGCCCGCCTCAGCCTCCTAAAGTGCTGGGATTACAAGCGTGAGCCACTGCACCCGGCCAGGAGAATCGCTTTAACCCAGGAGGTGGAGGTTGTGGTGAGCCGAGATCACACCATTGCACTCCAGCCTGGGCAAAAAGAGCGAAACTCCATCTCAAAAAAAAAAAAAAAAAAATCATTGAGTCATTCCATTTACAGATCAGGAAGTGGAAGTTGAGAAATTTGCCCAAGATCCCCAAGCCAGGAGGTAGAAGAACTGAGGCAAGAACCCAGGTTGTCTGAATTGCAGGCAGGGGGCTTTTTCCAGTATGGAGTACTGACTTTTTTGTTTGTTTGTTTTGAGATGGAGTCTTTCTCTGTCACCCAGGTTGGAGTGCAGTAACTTGGTCTTGGCTCATTGCAGCCTCCGCCTCCCAGGTTCAAGCGATTCCCCTGCCTCAGCCTCCCCAGTAGCAGGGATGACAGGCATGTGCCACCACGCCCAGCTAATTTTTTGTATTTTTAGTAGAGACGGGATTTCACCATGTTGGCCAGGCTGGATTCAAACTCCTGACCTCAGGTGATCTTCCGGACGCAGCCTCCCAAAGTGCTGGGATTACAGGCGTGAGCCACCGCGCCCAGCCTAAAGTGTTGATTTTTATGGCAAATGGTCCCTTCCTCTTAATGGCCCGGGGGGAGATCTGTGTGATAGCTGGTGTTAGGAAAGGTCTGAGATGGAGACATTCAGTGACGTCAGCTTCCTGAATGCCCACCCTCCTGTGCTGTTTCTTGCTGGCACTGGGATGAGGACATGGCTCTGGTGTGGCTGTGTTTTCTCAATTCTGTTGAGGGATTTGGGGTGAGTCGTGCTCCCCCTCTGTCTCCTCCTTTGGAAGAGAATGCCCAGGACAGTGGTGCCAGTTTCAGGTACAGAAAAACAAAAATAGCGCTCTTTTGGACTCAGTTCTCTGTCACTTCCAGTTTGTGAGGGGACAGGTATTTGACTCAGCTTGGCAAAGCCAGGAATGGAGTGTTGTAGTAAGAGCTTAGCAGCGTGCTTTGGGCTTTGAGCCTCTGACTTAAGAGGAGACCTCAGTTCAGTCTTACACAGGCTTCTTACCTCAGGTGAGTCACTTTGCTGGGGTCTCTGGGCCAGAGGTCAAGGCTGCCCCTATGAGGGCTTTGGACTCTGAGGGTGTGGCGTTATGTGTGTATTAGCAAAATGCTGGTGTGCCTGGGAGCTTTGGGGCAATGCTCACCAGCTCCTGAGTTCTCGGGAGTGAAGTTTGGGACTGGATGCCTCTTGCATTCTGAGCCTCTCACTCCTGTGTCTTTCCTCTTGCCCTTCAGATGTTTGCTGACAGCCATTTCTCTCCCGAACTGTCTGCCAGCCCAGACTGACCTGTCTGCTTCTCCTGCTCAGCGCCCAGAGCACCCTGTCTGTTTATGCCTGGGGCCGGTTTTAACTGGTCCCCCAGTCCCATGTCACACACACCTGTTCCCTTTGGCTTAGCTGCAGTGTCACCTCTCGTCCCTGTTTCCTTCCTCTCTATGAGGCTGAAAGTCAATGTTACTTGGAGATACAGCACTCCACAGCCTACAGTCATTGCTCATTTAATCTTTGCAGGGAGTGCGTGAGGTCAGTAGGTAGGCATTATCGTGCTCATTTTACAAATGGAGGACCTGCAGCCCAGAGAGGTGTGATTTGCCCAAAGACACACAGCTGCTCTGCTATTGAGCACAGCCAGTCCTGGAATCAAGGTCCTCCAGCATTGGTCCATCATTCCCTGTGAAATGTTAGTGCAGGCTGGGCTTGGTGGCTCAGGCCCGTAATTCCAGCACTTTCGGGGGCTGAGACGGGAGGATTGGGGTCAGGAGTTCAAGACCAGCCTGGGCAGCATAGCAAGATCCTAGCTTTACAAAAACAAACAATAACAACAAACAAAATGGTAATTCATAGGCATGAGTTAACCACATATGGGGTGGGGATGCCCTAGCCTCACAATGGCCCTATGAGGGCTTTGGACTCTGAAAGCGAAGTCAGGTGCGGTGTTGTGTGTACCTGTGGTCCCAGCTGCTCAGGATGCTGAGGCTGAGGCAGGAGGCCAAGACTGCAGTGAGCCATGATCCTAGCACTGCACTCCAGCCTGGGCTGGAGTAAGACCTTGTCTCAAGGAGGGGTGGGGCTTGAAAGCGGGCCCTGGGCCCCACCTCCTCACATCCCCAGTCCCTGATAGCACCATCATGTGGGCGATGCCTGTGTAACCCCAAGCTGTATCATAAAGCTGGACAACAAAGACAGCTCCCTGGGGTCCACTGTAATGGACCAAGGTCTGTGCGTCCTTCCTTTCCACATCCCCCTAAAGTTGACAACAGTAGTACATGGCACGATGGATGTTGTCTTGGCAGGGAGCTTATAACTCAGCTTAGGCCAGATCCAGGAGGGCAGGTCAGTCCTTGAGGATGGGCAGCAGGGACCGAGGAGGGCCCTTGGCGTCCCCCAACCTTCGTTTTTCTCACCCCGGGGATAAGGCTCAGAGGCGGTGCCAGGGAAAGGCCCACTTTGGGCCTACTCACAGCAGCGATATTGCCACTTTCCAGAGGTGGTGAACTGATTCCCTAGCAACCAGGGGCCCTGCCTGAGTAGGTCACAGCATGTCATCGGCTCCTCAGGAAAGAGGAAGACTGCTCAGCTGGAGCTCGGGACCATGAAGGCAGGTGTGTGCTGGGCTCTCAGGCACTGTCCTCCCCAGCCCACCTCCCAGGGCTGAACCTTAGTGACAGGGAAAAGCAGGGTGCAGGACAGCGATGCTTCCCAAAGCCACCTGCAGGGTTGGTGCTGGAAGTTACCAGATGGCACCAGGCTGGCCGTGGGCTCACAATGACCTCTCTTCCTAGCTGGAACTTCCAGGGTCCCTGTTGGAAAGGAAGTGTCCAGAGGACACAGCAGCTGAGCAAGGGGCCCACCTCTGGTTCCCTCCATCTTTTACTCTGCATTTCTATACCTTCACTCTGGAGGGCTGGGTGGGAGGACATGGCTTCCTTTTAGTCTTCTGGTAGAAGCATGGATGCAAACACCTTCCTTGAGTTTCCATGAGCATAGCTGCCACAGGCTGACCTTTCCAAAAGACATTACTAAATATAAAAGGAGAACAAAAGAAAGCTAAAGATAGGGCGTGCAAAGAATAAAAACAGCCTGGCTCACAAAGAACAAGTTACTGGTTTGTTTCCAAAGCTTTCGGACCCTGCCCTGTTATTCCCCTTCCAGGAGATAACCACCTCCAAGGCCAGCAGACGTCTGCAGGCCCTTTCGCCAGGCTCTCTGGCCTCCTAGTGCTGGCTTGTCCACTGTCTAGGTTGTCTTGTAGGACCCATGCCACCAGGAATCCTCTCCAGACTACTTGACCACCCTGCAGTCAGATCTCTGTTCTGCCCTCTTCTCTACCCAGGGCTCTTGGCTGTGGTGGCGGAGGGAGGGATGCCTGTTTCCCTAGGTCTCCCAGGTGATTGGCACCTATGTGACTGGACCTTTTAGGAGTGCAGCCTTGTTCCATGTAGGCCTTGTAATATGACCTACCTCTTGCCATGCTGCTCAGGCCAGTTTAGCCCACGAACTGCCATACAAAAGGCTTTCTCCAACATTTGATCTTGGCAGAAACTATAGAAGTCTCCCCACCTGGTTCCATCCTCCCACTGGGCCACAAGAATAGAAACTGATAAGAAGTTGGCCTAGTTGATGGAAGTTTGAACCCGGGGACAGAGGTTGCAGTGAACCGAGATCATGCCATTTCACTCTAGCTTGGGTGAAAGAGCAAAACTTCATCTCAAAAAAAAAAAAAAAAAAAAGGGAAGGGGGGGGTCAAATGGTCAGTTGTGGTGTCCCTACCCCACTGATAACATAGGAGCCCTTTGGAGGGATTTGCCTGGTACAAAGTAGGCCTCCATACCTGCAGCCTGGACTGTTGCTGTCATCATATTGCCTGGCCCCAGTGGTTCTGGCGGACACCCCACCTTGGTAGCTTGGCTGGGCAGGAGGACTGAAAGATTACAGGCAGAGGTCATACCAGCCCGGTGGAGGAGGCGAGGTCCATGACTGGGGCTGATGATGAGAAAGAACCATGTTTTCACCTGTACCTTTGAGTGTGATGCCAGCACTAGCGAGGCGAGCGAGCTGCTCTGACCTCTGGCCGCCAGGCTGGGACAGGGAAGCCTCTGAGACCCGAGGCTGCTGCACCCAGGGCCTCATGTCCCAGAAGCTCTCACAGCATTCTCAGGGGCTTAGCTTGTCTTGTGTGTTGGAGCTTTGGGCTGAGCCTGTTTCAGTATGCCAGCCAGGTCACTGTGCCGCTGCCCTCTGGTTTGCAGAGGGCCTTTGTGCCTATGCAGTGACTCCACAGACTGTCTTGCAGCTTTCCTTTCCACTGAAGCAGTCACTTCCCCTGCTGCCGGGGCCCCTGTCTTATGGATTTGCAGTGCTCGTGGTTGGATTGTGACCTCTTTCCTGGTATTCTCTCCCCTATTCTCACATCCCTAACAGGATCTGGGGATAGATGGTGGATTTTTAAGTCCAGTCCTTCAACTCTGGGCCGCAAAGACTGTGGCCTGAAGTTCTGGAGCATATCTCCTCTTTCCTTTGGTATGCATGGGTGGGACTTGCAGGCACCCTAGCTTAGCCCCTTGCCATCAGCCCCTGCTGGGGTCTAGCAGGCCTGAGCCTTTTCCAGGGTGGCCAGCCTGCTGGAGCTTACAGTGGGGGAGGGTAGGACCCAGACCAGAGTCCCTCGCCATGGTCCAGCCTTGATGTTGACATCCAAGAGTTGGGAGAGGGGGAGGGAATGCCCTGCCCTCCCTGCCACTTTGTGCGACTCGCCCGGGTTGGGCCCTTTAGGAGAGCATTTGTGTCCCTGCCCTGGAGTCTCCTCTTCCTGCTGTGTGCCCTTGCTCGGGGTTGTTCCAGGAAGCCTCTGGTGTGGGGGGCTCTGTTGCCACCAGCTGATTTCCTGCCCCAGGTGCGTGGGTGGGGGAGGAGAGGGTTGAAGATTACCTGGAGAAATCGCCCGCTTTGCTTCCGTTTCACCCCTCTTCTAGGGAGGACAGCAGAGTGCACAGAGGTTCTCTTCTAATCCTCTCACCCCCAACCTGGTCCTCCACAACCAGGCTAGAGCGTATCTATGTATCTGGGGAAGCCAGGGCTTGGGGAGGAGTGGACTGACCCGTGTTCTGTGAAGGTCAAGGAGGGCCCACTTCGATGAGGATGAGTTTGGCAGGGAGCGTGGTCCTGCTCGCCGAGCGGGGCTGTAAGTGGAGGACTGCACCTGCCTTTTCCTCCTTGAAGCCCCAGCTCTGGCCTCAGCAGTAGTGCCCTGCTGGTGGTTAGTATTCCTGTCACCAGCTCCGCCTCCTTACAGAGGGAAAAGCCTCCAGTTGGGACCCTGGGATGCCAGTCTCTGAGGTCAGCTGCCCCTGATACCTTTGGAAGGGACAGCCCTCCTGGAGGAAGGATAGCTGTCAAAGCCAAGGAGCCCTGACTTTGTGGTAGGCTGGAGGGCTTGCAGGAAGTCCTCAAAACAGAGGAGCCCCATTGCTGTGCTCCTTGACAGAGCAGGAAGCTGGCCTGATTGTTTCCAGAGAGGACCCACCAGGCCGTAGGAAAAAGGGCTTGGCTAAGGGGTCAGTGAGGGCTCTTCCCAGTCTGGCTGCCACTGCCTGGTGTCGATCAATAACTGTGCAGAACACACGCATCTTGTGTTTTTCTCTTGTGATTCAAAGCATTCTCCAGACATGCAGACGAGTACAGAAGGAAAAAGAGGACCCTGACAGCTCCTCAGTGGCTCCTTATTATACATCTACGGTGTGACCAAGATCAGAATCATAAGCAGTGATGAGCAGCCAAGCTACCTGGCATTCTGAATCCTATCTTTAAAAGAAATCAGAGCGGACTGTCAGCACCTTAGTCCCTTCACCCCGGGAGGTAGTGTGGTCCAGTTTAATGGCCCCCTGGAGGCAGTCAGAGGGCAGCGTTGGGAGATGAACTTCTAACATTCCCCCCGCCCCCCCAGCCACGCCATGCCACCCCATACACTCCAGACCCTCTCTGGCTTCCCCTGGTCCACCGTTTATTCATCCCACTTCCCACTTCCTCCAGAAGTCTCCCCTGGAGACTTGGGTTCATCCCCCTCTCTCCTACCTTCAGGGTCTGCAACTCATCTTCTGCCTCTATTAATGTCTGAGGCTTTTGGCCTTGCAGAGAAACTCCTTATTATAATAGCTTTGTATTCTAGAATCTTGCTCCTGGCTTGTGGCTGTCTGGCCTCCAGCCTCAGGGAGCTGTTTAGAGCCAGCTCAGGTCAGGCCTCTGCTCTGCAGGGTGTGCTAAAGTGGGGGCTGGGGAAGGGGTTACGGCCGTGTCCCATAGGATGGACGCGCACCGTCCTCTGCTGGGTCTAGGGGCAAGGATCAACCAAGGTAGGGCTGGCCCTGAAACCGCAACCTTCCTGGAGGCCGGTGCCTGCTGGGAGTGGGGCCCCAGGGAGGAGAGTTCCTGTGGGAAGTGGGGGCTGGGAAGGTGGGGTGGGGCTGGGGCGCTGTGGAGCCAGAGTCAGTGCTGTGTGGGAGGGGTTTGTGCCTTCCTTGTGATGCCATGGGGCTCCTGCAGAGCTGTGACCCTCAATCTGCCCAACCCATGACCATAGCCATGGAGGTAGAGCTTTATGTGTGCCTTTATATAATCCTCATGGAACCCCTTCGAGATGGGTGCTATTCCCATTGCACAGATCAGGACCATGAGAGAAGTTACATGGTCAATAGCTGACAAGTGGCAAACCCACAATGTGAATCCAAGTTTTTCTACGCACTTTGTTCATCTGGAGATGCTTTGAGCCGAGGTGAACGGGTGAGTGATCTGGAAAGCCCCAGCTGGGAGGACTGCAGCTTGCGGTGCTTAGGGGAGTGAGCTGCAGGAGTTCCAGGTCAGCAGCCGTGCCAGGTGTTTGTTGCTGGGCCCTTAAGAGTAGCACACTCCCACTGTCCCTGCCGTCGTCCAGGCACCTGCTTCAGCTTTACACGCACACCCCTTTCCCACAGGCTCAGATTTGCTCAATTTGGTTTGTACCTGAGGTCTCATGTTTCTGGGTGGTCCAAGAGAAGTTAGAGAAAGCTCTCACTTCTAGAATGTCAGAGATGGAAAAGTGGGGGCAGAATATAATTATCACTTTCATATGCATACTTATATAATTCATAATAATGGTTTCAAAGCATTTTTTATAACCATCATTTCTTTTGATTTTTATAGCCCTGGGCTTATGTAGAGAGATGATACTCAGTTGGGCAAACATTTATTGATGCCTCCTATATGCAGGACAGTGCTAGGCGCTACAGTGGTACAGAGATGAGGAATTAAATAGCATTGTCTCTGTACCCTGAGAGTTCTTAGGGTTCTTTTAAGTGAGAGACACATACATGTCTTTTTAGTTTCAGTGTAGAATCTTAATAAATGTGGGCCAGTTCTGGCTTGGGATCCAAATTAGTTTGTAAACCTTAGAGAATAGGGTCTGATAAGAGATGAGGCTGGGGAGGCCTGGTTTGGGCATCTCTGAATGCTATTTATGTTAAGATCTTGACCTCGCTGCATGAATAAGGGCACCCCATCTCATGCTTTTGAAATACATTAGCAGCTGAAAGAAATAGGTAAAACTGGAAATCACAGTGGTGGTCAGCAGTAACCAACACTGCGATCATCCGGGAGGAAGAGAGTGGAGGTAGGATTGCTTCCTTTTGATTGTTAAAGAATCTTGGAAGCTGGGCTCGGTGGCTCACTCCTGTAATCACAGCACTTTGGGAGGCCGAGGTGGGTGGATCACTTGAAGTCAGGAATTGAAGACCAGCCTAGGCAACATGGTGAAACCCCATCTCTACTAAAAATACAAAAATTAGCTGGGCGTGGTGGCGCGTGCCTGTAGTCCCAGCTACTCAGGAGGCTGAGGCAGGAGAATCGCTTGAACCCGGGAGGCGGAGGTTGCGGTGAGCCAAGATCCCAAGATTGTGCCACTGCACTCCAGGCTGGGTGACTGAGACTCTGTTTCAGAAAAGAAAAAAAAAAAAAAAAAAAAGAATCTTGGAAGCTGGGCACGGTGGATCAACGCCTGTAATCCTAGCACTTTGGGAGGCCGAGGTGGGTAGATCACTTGAAGTCAGGAATTTGAGACCAGCCTAGCCAACATGGTGAAACCCCATCTCTACTAAAAATAGAAAAGTTAGCCAGGTGTGGTGGCACACTCCGGTAGTCCCAGCTACTCAGGAGGCTGAGGCAGGAGAATCGCTTGAACCCGGGAGATGGAGAGAGAGAGAAACACCCTGGGGTTGTTTGTCCGTTAACTTTACGAATATCTTCTCCTGACTGGCTTGCAATATATTATCTTGTGAAAATAGGAATTTACAAGAGGGTGTATCCCTCTTAGGTTTATCCGTTTCTTGTGACCTTCCCCGTGCCGCCCGGAGGGCTGTAATCTAGTAAGTTTGATGACTTGCTGTGGTGCCTAGATAAGGGTTCAGGAATGCAGCTGCAGAGTATTCACGGTAAGGGTCAGCTGCATTGTGGCGGGGGGGTGGTCCTGGGGCAGCTCATCCCTAACAGTCAGGAGTTTGAGACCAGCCTGACCAACATGGCGAAAGCCCATCTCTGCTAATAATAGAAAAATTGGCTGGGCGTGATGGCTCATGCCTGTAATCCCAGCACTTTGGGAGGCCGAGGCAGGTGGATCACGAGGTAAGGAGATCGAGACCATCCTGGCTAACACGGTGAAACCCCGTCTCTACTAAAAAATACAAAAAGTTAGCCAGGTTTGGTGGCGGACGCCTGTAGTCCCAGATACTCGGGAGGCTGACGCAGGAGAATGGCATGAACCCGGGAGGTGGAGCTTGCAGTGAGCCGAGATCGTGCCACTGCACTCCAGCCTGGGTGACAGAGTGAGACTCCGTCTCAAAAAAATAAATAAATAATAAATAAATAAATAAATAAATAATAATAGAAAAATTATCTGGGCGTGGTGGCAGGCGCCTGTAGTCCCAGCTACTTGGGAGGCTGAGTCAGGAGTATCACTTGAACCCAGGAGGCGGAGGTTGCAGTGAGCTGAGATCACACTACCGCACTACAGCCTGGATGACAGAGTGAGACTCTATCTCAAAAATAAACAAACAGAATCTTGGCCTGGAAATGAAAAGTAACCTGCTTGGCTGCTTGGTAACAGTCTAGACTAGAATTTGGCTCCTGAATCAATTGTTCCGATTTTCAGTGGAACTTCAGGCTGGGCCTGTGCTGGCAGACTGGGGACTTGAAGAGAGTCAGATGGGCCTTCCATCAGGGGTGTTTGTATGGCCAGTGTGCAGTTTTCACTAGTCAGGTGAAAGACTGAAATGGGCAAATGGTGTGGAAGAGACTGAAGGCCCGTGTTACCTGGGTCAGTGAAGGCCTGCCCAGGCCACATCTGAAAGATCCCGTTTGCATGTCTGCACGCCCTGCCCTATCCCTCTGTGGACTGGAATGAAGGTGGCAGTGGGAATGGGAGAGCAGTTTCAATTGGGCCTTTCTTCAGTTGACCCCAGGGTATCTCAGTCTCCTGCCCTCATTGTGTTGGCTAGAGTTCTATGAATCTTGTTAGAGATGGTTTGATACCTGTTCCCAAGAGATTAGTATTGGCAGGGATGCCCAGTTTCCTGGTATGAATAGTTAAATCCAATTCATCCAGTCAGGATGGCACTGTAAATTTATACTCTAAACACATAGCAGTAATACATAAAAAGATAAAATTCTAAAAATATATTCATGTACGCCTCCACTTTTCTACCCCCCACCACACTCAACATGATAAATATCCCTGTGGATGAGAAATAGACAAGAACACAAGGAAGAAAGCCAGGCTGAAGCTGCAGGCCTGCTGGTCTCTGAGTCTGGAAGCAGAAATTTGGGATAACAGAGCCATAAAGTGTTCCATTTGGAGCATGGAATTGAGCTAGGAAATTGCTTGAATCCACAGCTGGACAGTAGCCTGAGAAAAGTTGTTACCATTTCCTGGGGCTAAAGCTTTTATTTATTTATTTATTTATTTATTTATTTATTTATTTATTATTTTCTTTTTTGAGATGGAGTTTCGCTTTTGTTGCCCAGGCTGGAGTGCAATGGCATGATCTCTACTCACTGCAACCTCCGCTTCCTGGGCTCAAGCAATTCTCCTGCCTCAGCCTCCGGAGTAGCTGGGATCACAGGCATGCGCAACCACGCCTGGCTAATTTTTTTTTTTTTTTTTTTTTTTTTTGTATTTTTGATAGAGACGGGTTTCTCCATGTTGGTCAGGCTGGTCTCGAACTCCTGACCTCAGGTGATCTGGCTGCTTCGGCCTCCCAAAGTGCTGGGATTATAGGCGCGAGCCACCGCGCCCGGCCAGCTTTTTATTTTTTATAGAGACAGAGTCTCACTCTGTTGCCCAGGCTGGTGTGCAGTGGCATGATCATGGCTCAATGCAGCCTTGACTTCCCTGGTTCAAATGATCCTGCCCCCTCAGCTTCCCGAGTAGCTAGGGCTGTAGGCACTTGCCACCATGCCCAGCTAACTTTTTTTTTTTTTTTGAGACAGAGTTTCACTCTTGTTGCCCAGGCTGGAGTGCAGTGGCCCGATCTTAGCTCACTGCAACCTCCGCCTTCCAGGTTCAAGTGAGTCTCCTGTCTCAGCCTCCCGAGTAGCTAGGATTACAGGCATCCGCCACCATGCCCGGCTTATTTTTTGTATTATTAGTAGATACGGGGTTTCACCATGTTGGCCAGGCTGGTCGTGAACTCCTGACCTCAGCTGATCCACCTGCCTCCGCCTCCCAAAGTACTGGGATTACAGGTGTGTGCCACCGTGCCCAGCCTCAAGCCAACCTTTCGCCTTAGCGTCTTGACTTTCTGGGACCACAGGCATGCGCTACCACGCTTAATTTTTTTATTTTTTATTATAGAGACGCGGTTTTGCCATGTTGCCTAAGCTGGTCTCGAACTCCTGAGCTCAAGTGATCCGCCTGCTTAGGCCTCCAAAAATGCTGGGATTACAGGTATGAGCCACCATGCCCAGCCTAGAAATAATATTTAAAGAGATAATGGCTTGAAATTTCAGATTCGAAAAAACAGCATGAACATCAAACAGGATAAATAATATGTCACTAGATATAATACAGCCAAACTGCAGATAATAATATAACTTTATTTTGCTTTTTGAGGCCAGGTTGGGCGGCAGTGGCGTAATCACGGTTCACTGTGGCCTTGACCTGCCAGGCTCAGGTGATCCTCCCACCTCAGCCTCCTGAGTAGCTGGGCCTACAGAAACATGCCACCACGCCCGGCTAATTTTTGTATTTTTTGTAGAGATAGGGTGTTGTCGTGTTGCCCAGGTTGGTCTCAAACTCCTGGGCTCAAGCAACCTGCCCACCGTGGTCTCCCAAAGTGCTGGGATTACAGGCATGAGCTGCCATACCTGACCAGACCAAGAGAGTTAAAAACTACTGGAGGTAAGAAAGAATTCAAAGAATTGACAATTAGATCACAAATAATATCTTATCAACATTGGATGCCAGAAAACAACAGAAGAATGTCTTAGAGAAGCTCCTTGTCAACCTGGAATTCCATAGCCAGCTATCATTCAAGAATGAGGTAAAATAAAGGTATTTTTGGACAGGCTAAGACAGTTTTATCACCTACAGACCTTTGCTGAAAGAATGGTTACAGATGTACTTCAGTAAGAAGAAAAGTAAACCCCTGAAGAAAGAGCAGGTTGTTGGTGCCAACAGTGAGCACAGAAGTGGATGCATTATGTTGGTAAATTGAATTAACTATTTTTTTTTTTTTTTGAGACGGAGTTTCGCTCTTGTTGCCCAGGCTGGAGTGCAATGGGGTGATCTCGGCTCACCGCAACCTCTGCCTCCCGGGTTCAAGCGATTCTCCCACCTCACCCTCCTGAGTAGCTGGGATTACAGACATCCGCCACCACACCCAGCTAATTTTGTATTTTCAGTAGAGACGGGGTTTCTCCATGTTGGTCAGGCTGCTCTCGAACTCCCAACCTCAGGTGATCCGCCTGCCTCAGCCTCCTGAAGTGCTGGGATTACAGGTGTGAGCCACCGTGCCTGGCCTGAATTAACTATTAACAATATATTAGGATGCAAGTAGCAGAGTAACCCACAATGACTTAAACTGGAAAACACTGGATTAGTTTATAACAAGAAGTGTGGAGGTCAGTAGTTCCAGGGTTGGGGCAGTAGGTCACATAGGAACATGAAGGACCCTCGATCTTTCTACTCTGCCATACGAGGGTGCAAGATGTCTCTCATGGTCGTGAGATGGCTGCCATAGCTCCAGACATTATATCATCACCCTGTAACATCCCAGGCAGGAAGGCACAGAGATCCTAGGAGAAAGGAAGCTTTTTCTTCATGTGCTGCTGCTGCTTTTTTTTTTTTTATTTTTTATTGCAATCACTGTCATCCAGGCTGGAAGGTGTGATCTCCGCTCCGCCCACTTCAACTTCCACCTCGTGGGTTCAAGTGATTCTTGTGCCTTAGCCTCCTGAGTAGCTGGAAATACAAGCACTTGACCCCACGCCCAGCTAATTTTTGTATTTTTAGTAGAGATGGGGTTTCACCATGTTGCCCAGGCTGGTCTCGAACTCCTGACCTCAGGTGATCTGCCTGCCTCAGTCTCCCAAAGCGCTGGGATTACAGTTGTGAGCCACTGCGCCCGGCTGCTTATTTGGAAAGGAAAATCTTTCCAAGATGGCCCTAACACATACTCCCTTGGGTCTCATTGACCTGAGCTGGTCCATCCTCAAACCAATTCCTGGTGAAAAAGGGACAGGCTTGCTGTGGTTGGCGCTGGTTGGCTTTGGCCAGTCTTGCATCATCTGCCAGGACTGGGTCCTTAGCTGCCCAAACAAATCAGGATTCTGTTGGCAAGCGAAAAAGAGAGTGGCCGCTGGTAGACAGCCAACAGTGTCTGCTACAGACGGCAAAACACAGAGACAAAAAAAAAAAAAAAAAACAGGATCTAAATGGGCTTTTAATTTTTTTTTTTAAGAGAAAACTAGAATTGTTGACCACATTACCAAGGAAGAATAAGAATAGAGAATTTTATTGTTAAGCCACACCAAATTTCTGCCTTGTTAAGAGAATGGCATTACTGAAAAACTGAAGACTTCATCAAGAAAATGTACATAAGCTAACAATATAAGATTAATCACTAAAAAAAAAGTAATATAATTTCCAGACCAGGAGGGGGAAAAAAAGTGGTGAGGGTTGGCCGGGCGTGTTGGCTCTCGCCTGTAATCCCAGCACTTTGGGAGGCCGACGCAGGCAGATCACGAGGTCAGGAGATCAAGACCATCCTGGCTAACATGGTGAAGCCCTGTCTCTACTAAAAATACAAAAAAAAATTAGCCGGGCATGGTGGTGGGCACCTGTGGTCCCAGCTACGGGGGAGGCTGAGGCAGGAGAATGGCATAAACCTGGGAGGCAGAGCTTGCAGTGAGCCGAGATCAAGCCACTGCACTCCAGCCTGGGTGACAGGGTGAGACTCCGTCTCAAAAAAAAAAAAAAAAAAAAAAAAAAAAGGTGAGGGTGGAGATAATATGTCAACCCAAGTCAGGAAAAGAAAAAAAATACAGAAAAAATAGTAGACAAAATACTGAATAAGATAGTAACATAACTCCAAGTGAAATGGATTAAACTCATCTATTTGAAAACAACAACAGCATCAGGTGAAATAAAAAGCAAAGAAGTCTGAGGACTGAGCAAGGTGGCTCATATCTGCAATCTCAGCTCTTTGGGAGGCCACGTTGGGAGGATCATTTGAGAACAGGAGTTGGAGATCAGCCTGGGCAACATAGCAAGACATCATCTCTACAACAACAAAAAAAACAACAAAAGTAGTGCACACCTGTAGTCCCAGCTACTTGGGAGGCTGAGGCAGGAGTCTGAGAGTTCAAGTCCAGCCTGGGGAACATAGCAAGACCCTGTCTTTATGAAAAAAAAAAAAAAAAAAAAAATTTAGCCAGGTCTGGTGGCGTATGCCTATGGTCCTAGCTACTCGGGGGCCTGAGGTAGGATCATTTGAGCCCAGGTGGTCGAGTCTACAGTCAACTGTGATTGCGCCACCGGCATTCCAGTCTGGGCAGCAGAGTGAGATCCTGTCTCAAAAAGGGGGAAAAAGCCTGGGCGCAGTGGCTGACACCTGTAATCCCAACACTTTGGGAGGCGGAGGTGGGCGGAACACCTGAGGCTGGGAGTTCGAGACCAGCCTGGCCAACACGGTTAAACCCCATCTCGACTAAAAATACAAAATTAGCCAGGCATGGTGGCGCATGCCTGTAATCCCAGCTACTCAGGAGACCGAGGCAGGAAAATTGCTTGAACCTGGGAAGTGGAGGTTGCGGTGAGCCAAGATCACGCCATTGTACTCCAGTCTGGGCAATAAGAGCAAAACTCCGTCTCAAAAAAAAAAAGCCGCCAGAGGCGGGAAGCTAGCTAGAATGTGGAGAGACCTGGTCTTCCCCACACAGGTGGTTTGAACTTTTTTCATAAAATAGAGATGAGGTCTCACTCTGTTGCCCAGGCTCCAACCCCTGGACTGAAGCGATCATCCAGCCTCAGTCTCCCAAAGTGCTGGGATTATAGGTGTGAGCCACCACAACCAGCCGAGAACTGTTTTTCTAGACGTTACTTCATGCCTTAGTGTAGATAGGTACAGCAAGATACTGGATTTCCCCCTGCCCACTCCGACTCAAAACACAGTGGGGCTCCCTCCTGAGGTAGCAGGTGGTGGATCTGAAGGGACCCTTCACCCCAACTCCCCTGCCGCACCCTCTCCCCGTGCCTCAGGGCCCAGCTTCCTCCTCTTAGAGGCCGTTTCTTTATTTTTTCTTTCTTTTTTTTTTTTTTTTTTTTTTTTTTTTTTTTTTTTTGTTTCTTTGAGCTGTCTCCTACAGGAAGAGGCTGTTAGGGTGCAGCCTCGATCTTTGTCCAGAGAAGACTGACAGTTTATTTCTCTAGGACTTCATTGAAAGCCAAAGTTATGCTCTTGGTTTGAAGAAGTGTGTTAGCTCTTGCCTTCTGGGTTTCTGGCTACAAACTCTGGGCGGCATCAAGAGGTACCAGAGCTGAGATTTCAGATGGATATAAAGTCAAAGTTGGATGTCCTGCAGGAAGGGAGGGGCTGCCCGAGGGTTTGGTGCTGCGGAGTGGAAAGGGCCTGAGTCCCTAGGGTAGCACTGAGGGGTCTGTGCCAGAGGCTGATACCAGGGTGTTGCAGTGCGGGTGACTTCAGTTAACCAAGCAGGGTGGTGAAGCGGCCCATTCTCAGACAGGTCAAGGACAGGCCTCGCTGCTTTTGAGTTGTTGGGGAGGGAGGGGCTTTCGGTAACTGGCCACCTGCGCCCACCCCCACCCCTCCGCCCCAGCTCCTTCTGCCTGGTTTGGGTGCTGCCCCCCACCCAGGAGGCAGGGAGTGTTCTGGGTTGCTAGGCTGGCAGGGATCTGGGGCACAGCGAATGTTTTGATGGTTGTACCCCAGTTAGTGGAAGAGTGCTTTGGGAAGGCAGTGGGGGCTGTGGAAGGAGCTCTGGGCTTGAAGTCATCAGACCTGGCATGGCGTTAAAGCATCTTCACTTCCGCCTGGCTGACCTTGTTCAGCTGGTCCTGGGACTCCTGCGCATACTAAATGAGAGGCTATCCCCCGAAAATGCTCAGAGGTTCATAAAGCATCGGTCCATTGGAGCAGTAGGCTGTGGCTTCATGCCTTTAGAATGAGCTTTGGGACACGTCCTCAGGCTGTGTGTAAGTGGGTGGAGAGGGGCTTTATCTTTCGTCTTTCTCCTCTCCCTCCCAGAGGCAAGCAGCACCCATCCCCCCAGGCTCCGTGCCTTATTTTGACGTTTCTTTTCTCTGCATGCCAAGAAGGTTGTATTCAGCTGTGCTGGTCTGAGGTGGTGCTTATCCTGTGCTTCATTAGGTTAAGTCGTTGATGGCTGTCTCCTGGGATCTGACCGAGAATTGGCTCTAAAGCTGCTACAGCCTCCAAAACAGTCCCTGCTGTTCTCGTTTTGGGGCACTCTTTGCTTTGCTCCTCAATCAGGTGCTTTTGTTTTTTCCTTCCATTTACCTGCGTGCTGGTGAGGGTCTCCTTTGAGGTTCCTTGTACTGGGAGGTGGAAGTAGCCCTTCGGCTGCATCTCCTGAGGATGGAAGGCGGGGTCTTCAAGGCCCTTGCTGCCCCTGACCTCTGGATCCTGGCTGCCAGTTCCTCTGGACAGCCTCAGCAACTTGGACATGGACCAGCCATTCAGGGGACATTTATTGATAAATGGTCTCCCCAAATTTGCCAAATTTGTGACCACAAACTTCTTAGAAGACTGTAGTATTGGCACAGTGGCTCACACCTGTAATTCCAGCACCTGGGGAGGCCGAGGCAGGCGGATCACTTGAGGTCAGGAGTTTGAGACCAGCCTAGCCAACATGGCGAAACCTCATCTCTGTTGAAAATACAAAAATTAGCTGGGCGTGGTGGCACGGGCCTATAGTGCCAGCTGCTTGGGAGGCTGGGGCAGGAGAATTGCTTGAACCCAGGAGGTGGAGGTTGCAGTGAGCCAATATTGCGCCACTGCACTCCAGCCTGGGCAACCGAGTGAGACTCCATAAAAAAAAAAAAAAAGGCCATAGTGTTGTCTTGCCACCTCCTAAATTTCCCTAGTTACTCCCTTTCTCTTTTAGAAGACTATTTCACATCTGGTCTCTCTGTAAATCTCCAACCCCAACAATAAAGGGACACTCCTCACTGTCTGTGCCGCTTGCTCGGCTTTGCCACCTGTCCCACAGGTAGCCCCCCTCCAGGACGACACTCGATGCCATCATCTCGTGCTGCTCCCGGCCTTTGTTCCTCTGTTCACTTCTTTTTCCTGGATCATAAATTTCCCCTCTAATAATTCATTCCCATCAGTGTACACACATTCTAGACCATCTCTCAGCTGAATCCCATTCCACATTCCACTCTCTTACATCCCATTCCTTTTTTTTTTTTGAGACAGAGTCTCACTCTGTCACCCAGGCTGGAGTGCGGTGGCACGATCTTGGCTCACCGCAACCTCCACCTCCCAGGTTCAAGCGAGTCTCCTGCCTCAGCCTCCGAAGTAGCGGGATTACAGGCGCATGCCACCACACCCAGCTAATTTTTGTATTTTTAGTAGAGATGGGGTTTTGCCATGTTGGCCAAGCTGGTCTCAAACTCCTAACCTCAGGAGATCCGCCACCCTCGGCATCCCAAAGTGCTGGGATCACAGCTGTGAGCCACTGTGCCTGGCCCCCCACTCCAGCCCAGGCTGGAGTGCAGTGGCATAATCTCGGCTCATTGCAACCTCCACCTCCTGGGTTCAAGCATTTCTCCTGCCTCAGCCTCCCTAGTAGCTGGGACTACAGGTGCCTCTGCCACCACCCCCCGGCTAATTTTTGTTATTTTTAGTAGAGATGGGGTTTCACCATGTTGGCCCTGCCACCACCCACAGCTAAGTTTTGTTATTTTTAGTAGAGATGGGGTTTCACCATGTTGGCCAGGCCGATCTTGAACTCCTGACCCCAGGTGATCTGCCCACCTCGGCCTGCCAGAGTGCTGGGATTACAGGGGTGAGCCACCACGCCCAGCACCATTCTCTCTTTTTGTTGTAACACCTTTATTGAGCTATAATTCACACACCATGCAGTTCATCTCTTTGAAACATACAAGTCAGTGGCTTTTTTTTTTTTTGAGACGGAGTCCTGCTCTGTTGCCCAGGCCGGAGTGCAGTGGCATGATCTCGGCTCACTGCAAGCTCTGCCTCCCGGGTTCACGCCATTCTCCTGCCTCAGCCTCCTGAGTAGCTGGGACCACAGGCGCCCGCCACCATGCCTGGCTAATTTTTTTGTGTTTTTAGTAGAGACGGGGTTTCACCATGTTAGCCAGGATGGTCTTGATCTCCTGACCTCGTGATCCACCTGCCTCGGCCTCCCAAAGTGCTGGGATTACAGGCGTGAGCCACCGCGCCTGGCTGTCAGTGGCTTTTAACCTATTCACCACAAACAATTTTGGAACATCACCCCAGAAGAAAACTCCAACCCACTGGCAGTCATTCCCCATTCTTCTCTATCCTCCAGCCCCTGGCAACTGGTAATCTACTGTCTGTCTCTATGGATTTGCCTATTCTGTACATTTTACATAAATCATCTGGCATGGGGCCTTTTGTGCCTTATTCCTTTTTTTCCTTTTTTTTTTTTTTTTTTTTTTTTTTAAGACGGAGTCTCACTGTGTCACCCAGGCTGGAGTGCAGTGGCGCAATCTCGGCTCACTGCAAGCTCCGCCTCCCGGGTTCATGCCATTCTCCTGCCTCAGCCTTCCGAGTATCTGGTACTACAGGCTCCCGCCACCATGCCCGGCTAATTTTTTGTGTTTTTAGTAGAGATGGGGTTTCACCATGTTAACCAGGATGGTCTCGATCTCCTGACCTCGTGATCCGTCTGCCTCGGCCTCCCAAAGTGCTGGGATTACAGGCGTGAGCCACCGCACCAGGCTGTGCCTGGCTCCTTTCACTTAGCACAGGGTTTTCAAGTTCATCCATGCTGTAGCAGTGCCAGAACTTGATTCCTTTTTATATCTGAATAATACTCCCTTGTATGGATATACCACATTTTGTTTATTTATGTATTGGTTGATGGAACTTTGAGTTGTTTCCATGTTGGCACTCTTATGAATAATGCTGCTATAAATCATTTGTGTATGAGGTGTTTTTTTTTTTTTTTTGAGATGGAGTCTCACTCTGTCGCCAGGCTGGAGTGCAGTGGTGCGATCTCGGCTCACTGCAACCTCTGCCTCCCAAGTTCAAGCGATTCTCCTGCCTCAGCCTCCTGAGTAGCTGGGACTACAGGCGCACGCCAGCCATGCCCAGCTAATTTTTGTATTTTTAACAGAGATGGGGTTTCACCAAGTTGGCCAGATGGTCTTGATCTCTTGACCTCGTGATCTGCCCATCTTGGCCTCCCAAAGTGCTGGGATTACAGGTGTGAGCCACCGTGCCCGGCCATGTGTACAAGTTTTTATGTGAACCTAAGTTTTCATTTCTCTTGAGTATATACCTAGAAGTGGAATTGCTGAGTCATATATTATGGTGACTGTATATTTAATCTTTTGAGGAACTGCCAGACTGTTGCCCAAAGCGACTGCACCATTTCACATTCCCAATAGCAAAGTCTGAGGGTTCCAATGTCTCTGCGTCCTCACTAACACTGGTTATTATCTGTCTTGTTGGTTACAGCCACCCTGATGGGCAGGAAGTGGTATCTGATTGTGGTTTTGATTTGCATTTCCCTGATGATTAATGACGTTGAGCATCTTTTCCTGTGCTTGAGCCTCGCAATACCCCTGGATCAGTCATTGTGAAGGTCACCACTGCCCTCCATCCAGTGGTCAGTTCTCAGTCCTCGCCTTACTTTTTCAAACACTTGACACTGTTAATTCCTCCTTCATTCTCGAAACTTTCTTCTCTTGGCTTCCCAGATGCAGGGCTGTTTTTCCCCCTGCCTCATTGGCTGTTTCTTTCCTGGCTTCTCTTTCAGACAGCAGAGTACCCCAGGCTTTGTCCTGAGCCGCCTACTCTTGTCTGTGGTAGACCCTCCCTAGATCTTTTCTTCTGGTCCTGTAGTTTTAAGAATGAACTGTACTCTGATGACTCTCAGATATATCCCTCTAACTCTGACCTCACCCATGAGCTTCAAACAGGTGTGTTCAACTGCCTGTTTCCAACTGCATGTGGATGTCTAAAAAACTTTCTTTTTTTTTTCGAGTTGTGGTATCACTCTGTCACCCATCCTGGAGTGCCATGGCATGATCACGGCTCACTGCAACCTTGAACTCCTGGGCTCAAGTGATCCTTATGCCTAAGCCTCCTGAGTAGGTAGGACTGACTACAGGCACCTGCCACCATGCCCAGCTAATGTTTTTACTTTTTTGTTTGTTTGTTTGCTTGAGACAGTGTCTCACTCTGTCACCAGGCTGGAGTGCTGTGGTGCAATCTCAGCTCACACAACCTCTGACTCCCTGGTTCAAGCAATTCTCCTGCCTCAGCCTCCCGAGTAGCTGGGATTACAGGCACCCACCACCACGCCCAGCTAATATTTTGTATTTTTAGTAGAGATGGGGTTTCGCCATGTTGGCCAGGAAGGTCTCAATCTCCCGACCTCATGATCCGCCCGCCTCGGCCTCCCAAAGTGTTGGGATTACAGGCATGAGCCTTCATGCCCAACGTTTTTACTTTTTTGTGGAGATGGGGTCTTGCTGTGTTGCCCAGGCTGGTCTCAAACTCCTGACCTCAAGTGATCCTCCCGCCTTGGCCTCCCAAAATGTTGGGATTACAGACATGAGCCACCACAGCTGGCCTAAAAGACATCTTAAATTTAACCAGAACTTTTGTTTTTTCTCAGCCAAACCCATTAATTTTCTGTCTTTTCTGTATAGTGAATGACAGCCCCATCCACAAGGTTGCTCAGGCCACAGCCTCCATATCTCCCTGATTCCTGTCTTCCTCTTCCCACCCTGCTCCCCTCTTCCCTTCCCCATGGGCCCCCTCCTTGTACCCTCCAACTACCCTACTAGTTAAGCCCTTCAGAGTACATCCAGCCATTTCTCACCACCTCCACCACCTGGGATATTGCAACAGTTCCTTTCTGGTCTCCCTGCTAGTCTTACGCAACAGCCAGAGTAGTGCTTTAATAAAACATGTTTTAACCTAAAAGCATTTTAGATTTTACTACGAAATGCATCATAGACTCAAAGTAGTATATATCGTATTTGTGCTCTTTACAGAATAAACATAAGAAATACTCCATGGCTAGGCGCAGTGGCTCATGCCTGTAATCCCAGCACTTTGGGAGGCTGAGGCGGGTGGATCACCTGAGGTCAGGAGTTAAAGACCAGCCTGGCCAACATGGTGAAACCCCATCTCTACTAAAAATACAAAAAATTAGCTGGGTGTGGTGGCACATGCCTGTAATCCCAGCTACTCAGGAGGCTGAGACAGGAGAATCGTTTGAACCCAGGAGGCGGAGGCTGCAGTGAGCCAAGATCACGCCACTGCACTCCAGCCTGGTGACAGAGCAAGACTCCGTCTCAAAAGAAAAAAAAATACTTCTGTACCCACCACCTGGATTACAAGGTACCCAGTACTCCTGAAGCCTCTTCAGCCCTCCTTATTTCATCTACCTCTCTTCCCCCTCCAGAGGAATTCCCTGAATTTTGTGTTGTTTCCTTGATTTTCTCTATTATTATCTTTATAGAGAGGCATAGAAAATGTCTTGCTTAGCTTTGCGTATTTTTTAGCTTTTCATGGATTCATGCTGTGATCATTTATCCATGACTACTCTTTTTGCTCGATATAATGTTTTTTGGCCATATTCATCCCTGTTAATGTCTGAAACCGGAGTTCATTCATTTTACTATATGGTACAAAATGCACCACAATTTATCCATTCTTTTTTTTTTTTTTTTTTTTTTTTTGAGAAATAGTTTCGCTCTTGTTGCCCAGGCTAGAGTGCATTGGCACGATCTCCCACTCCTGGGTTCAAGCGATTCTCCTGCCTCAGCCTCCCAAGTAGGTGGGATTACAGGCATGTGCCACCATGCCCGGCTAATTTTGTATTTTTAGTAGAGATGGGGTTTCTTCACGTTGGTCAGGCTGGTCTCGAACTCCCAACCTCAGGTGATCCACCCGCCTCGGCCTCCGAAAGTGCTGGGATTACAGGTGTAAGCCACCATGCCTGGTCTTTTTTTTTTTTTTTTTTTTTTTGAGGCAGAGTTTTGCTCTTGTCGCCCAGGCTGGAGTACAATGGCGTGATCTTGGCGCACTGCAACCTCCGCCTCCTGGGTTCAAGTGATTCTCCTGCCTAAGCCTCCTGCATAGCTGGAATTATAGGTGGCCACCACAACGCCTGGCTGATTTTTTGTATTTTTAGTAGAGATGGGGTTTCACCATGTTGGCCAGGCTGGTCTTGAAATCCTGACCTCAGGTGATACACCCACCTCAGGCTCCCAAAGTGGTGGGATTATAGGCATGAGCCATTGGGCCTGCCTCCTCCGAGCTCTTTATATTGAGGTGTGCATGGGCTTAACAAAATGATCTGAGTAGCTGTGAAGGGGAGCAAGCCCATGACGTGGTGGGCAGCTGAGGGGCACAGGTAGAAATGAACTGTGAGAGGGTCATTGCCAGGTCATTTTTGGGATTTTTAGTGCATGTTTGGGGGCCTTTGATTTTTTTTTTAGCTCCTCCCCATGGCTCCATTTGCCCTCACCACAACAAGCTGAGCATCCTGTATTTGCAGTAACACCTGGACCTGGGGTTCCCAAAGCAAGGGCCTTTGCCAGATGCTCTACTTCTCTGCTCTTTCCTCTACTTCTCTGCTCTTTCCAGACATGTCAAAACCAGGGATTTTCCCCTCCCTAACAGGCAGTGCAGTTCCTTCGCGTGCCCCCTGCGTTGATCTAGAATCCCAAGGAGTTAATGACTTCCCTGATTGAGTTGCTTCCTTTGGAAGCCTCCTGTGCCAGCTCTGCCCAGCCCCCGCCTTCAGTGGCCACTGCGGGGCTGCCCAGCCAGAAACCAGGTCTCCCCAGGCAGGACCTCTCGCTCCCATCAGCTGCAAAGTCACTGTCTTCCAGGGCCACCTGCCTCATGACTGGCTCTCCTCAGGTCACAGGAAGCTGGGAGCGGGACCCTGAAAGAACTCGAGTTCTGTCCTTAGATGTTGGGCATGCAGCAGGCAAAGGGAGAATGAGAGGAGACAAGGACCTGGCTTCCCATCTACAGACTGTTCAGCCAAGGCCATGCCTAGAGTGGGATCTGCTAAATGGGCACAGCAGAACATTGGAAGAAGCACCTTTGAGCCAGTGCTGCTGGGGTCTCCGTGGATTAGAGCCAGGAGCCCTGATGAGGCCTGTGGGCGGGGCTTCACTTTCGACCCTGAGAAGCCAACTCCACATCTCCTTCCCTCTCACCCTTGAGCCGTGGGTAGTTCAGGGAGGCCACAGCCTTCTTTCTGTGCCATGGCCTATCCCAAAGTCACCTCCACTCACAACGTCGTGACCTTAGGTAAGTTCTTGTACTTTTGTGAACATCATTTCTCACCCAGAATAATGTCCTTACTGCAATATGCTCGTTCCATTCCCTGCTGGCTTTGTGGCCACAAATGGAGGGGCAGCTACGTTTCTTGAACACAGAGCCTGAGAGGCCTTGTATGCAGCTGCTGGAAGCAGCCAGGAGACCCCAAAAGTGGGCTGGAGACTTCAACAAGGACAGGGAACAGGGCTGCACTGAGAGGCCCAGGGGCTAGGTCAGCAGCACCGCTAGGCAGATTTGGAGGGGAGCTGGGGAGAGGCGAGGCAGCCAGCTTTGCAAGATTCCCACGGCACACAGCCAGTGCTCAGGGGTTCCCTTCTCAGCGTTCCTCTCACCTGGTGTGGCTCCCTCACGCTTGGCATGGATCTGAGCTCCTTTCCTTATGGCTGAGACCCAAACTGCCTACAAGTGGCCTTTTCTCCCTGTTCTTGCCTGCAAGGGCAGCATGGGGCCTCAGGCTGTCAGTGCTACCAGGGACGCTGGCATTCACTTTGTCCATAATGTACAGATGGATGTAGACAACTGCCCTCAGGGCTGTCCGGGGGCAGGACCAAGCCCAGCAACCACACCTCCTGACACAGCCAGGTTCTCCCCCAACGGCGGAGCTGACAGGACTGTTCATGGTTCATTGAGTGGACCCAGCAATACCTCATCGATAATCCACAGTCGAGAGAAGAGGGGCGGTCAGAGACCGGCCAGCCCTCCCTTCTGATTGGGAGAGGCCTCTGCAGGCACTGACAGGCTCCAGAGAGTGCTGTGGGGGGCAGTCAGTGTCCATAGTCCCCTGGAATCTTCTCTGGGCTGTTTTCTCTGACTTTTCACCTGAAATTAACTGTACATAGCTGGGCTAGGAACTCTCTAAATCTGAAAGCATGTGGCTTAGGGAAAATCACTTGACTCGTTTACCTTCTGGCTAAGAAGTGAAGACTCTGGGCTAATCTAGTCCTCCAGGCCCTGGAGTCCCACACAGTGATGCTATCTGTGCAGCTAGAGGGCAGAGCCCTTGGTCATGTCCACCCTCTGATTAAGTGGGCATCTCCTCTCCTGCTAGCTTTGGGGCTTGGGGTGGGGCTGGGACAAAGCCTGGTGCCCGTGTGATTCATCCGCACATTATTTCTCCTCTCTGCCATTCTAGGGTCGTGCTGCGGCAGCCTGGCGCCCGACATGTGAAGGGGAACCTGCCAGGGGATTACTGTGAGCTCACAGCAGGATAGGCTGGCCCCGGGGGAGTGGGGATGGGCAGAACCTGGGCCAGGAGTATTAGGAAGGAGACCTGGACCCTGGTAGGGAGCTCAGCACAAGCTCGCCTGACCCAGATGGTATTGGACACAGTGCCCCGCTGAACAGCAGCTGTTCCCAGCGCCAGAGGACCCCACAGCCACAGTAGGAGCTTTGCGACCCCTACGCAACTGCAGCTGGGGCTGGGGCCACCAGGAGAAGGGACCAGCACCTCAGATGGGAAGCAGAAGGGCAAGACCTACTGCGGAAAGGATCTCGATCTCTGCAGCGGAGTTTTCCCACACTCACAGAGCTTCCTGTTTTTGTCCTCTCAGGGTTGGGGTCTGGCTCCCCTCCTCTGGCAGAGGTTTTGGGCCAGGAGGTGGGACAACACTTGCATGGAACCCAAGTCCCCTGAAGCCCCTGTGCTCTCTGTTGTGATTGGAGTTCTAGGGCTTCCCCGCTGCCGGGAACGAGGGGCCGCCTCATTGTCTGCTCATGAACCACAAGGACCCCGACTGCTCCAGACTGGATTATTTCAAGCCGCCAAAGAGGGGGACCCCTAGAGCTGGCAGCCAGCAATCCCAAGGGACTAGAGGGCTGCAATGGACTGACCTCCCCCTCACCAGGGTGGCAGGAGAGGCAGAGCCTCTGTGGCCTAGCTAGTGACGGAGAGACCCGATGAAGCCCTAAGCAGGGGCCCCGCCTGACTCAGGGACAGGACAGCCACTCCTGCCAACGTGTGTTCTCCCTACATGAGGGAGGGCGTGGCAAGGGACCCCTGCCACTGTCCCCTGCTGCAGCACGTGCCCCTATGCCCTTTGCATGTGGTGCCAGAATAGGCAGGCTACGCCGTGGCTGGCCCCTCAGCGGGCTGGGAAAAGAGTGGCCACGGTGACCGTCACCCGCCTGCCGGCACCATGAAGTGCTCCCTGCGGGTGTGGTTCCTCTCCGTGGCCTTCCTGCTGGTGTTCATCATGTCCCTGCTCTTCACCTACTCGCACCACAGCATGGCCACGCTCCCCTACCTGGACTCAGGGGCCCTGGATGGGACGCACCGGGTGAAGCTGGTGCCCGGCTATGCCGGCCTGCAGCGCCTCAGCAAGGAGAGGCTCTCGGGCAAGAGCTGTGCCTGTCGCCGCTGCATGGGCGATGCCGGTGCCTCCGACTGGTTTGACAGCCACTTTGACGGTAACATTTCCCCCGTCTGGACCCGAGAGAACATGGATCTTCCACCGGACGTCCAGAGGTGGTGGATGGTAAGAGCTGCTGCTCCCTTCCAGGGATCTGTCCCCCAGTTTTAGAGCCACTCAGAGCCCCCTCTTGGATTTCTGGCCCCCAGAGCCTTGACAAAATGCCTGTTTGACCAAGCCATTTATAGGATCACAGATTACTGAAGGGCAGAGCAAGCACTGACCTGATGGAGGGGGCTAGTATTTTCTAGTGCCTGTAGGACCCGAGCATAGGCCAGAAATGCCTCCTGGACCAGGCAGGCAGCAGGGACACAGGGAGCAGGTGGCAGTGAGGAGTACAGCCATGGGGGGCCTGCCCCAGAGGAAGGAGGCAGCCGCCCCTCGGCCCCAGCAGTTGTTGCTGCACAAGGCTGGATCTGGGTTTTTTGTTTTTTTTTTAAGAAAACCTAGAAATCCAGATTTTAAAACTAAATATCCTAATTTATGAACATTGGCTCAAAATAATTGTTTTTTATTTGTTTGTTTGTTTTTTGAGATGGAGTCTCATTCTGTCGCCCAGGCTGGAGTGCAGTGGCACAGTGATGGCTCACTGTAACTTCTGCCTCCCAGGTTCAAGTGATTCTCCTGCCTCAGCCTCCCAAGTAGCTGGAATTATAGGCATGCACCACCCCTCTCAGCTAATTTTTTTGTATTTTTAGTACAGACGGGGTTTCACCATGTTGGCCAGGCTGATCTCAAACTCCTGACCTCAGATGATCTGCCCGCCTCAGCTTCCCAAAGTGCTGGGATTACAGGCGTGAGCCACCATGCCCAGCCAAAATAATTGTAAATACCATGAGAACAGAGCCCCTTTCTTGGTTCTTTACAACTGCTAGAAGACTTTTTACTGGGCTGGGATAAGAAAGCCTTGTAGGGAAGGCCGGTCATGGTGGCTCACGCCTGTAATCTCAGCACTTTGAGAGCACAGGGCGGACGGATCATGAGGTCAGGAGTTCGAGACCAGCCTGACCAACGTGGTGAAACCCCGTCTCTACTAAAAATGAAAAAAAATTAGCCAGGCATGGTGGTGCGTGCCTGTAATCCCAGCTACTCAGGAGGCTGAGGCAGGAGAATCGCTTGAACCTGGGAGGCGGAGGTTGCAGTGAGCCGAGATTGCACCATTGCACTCCAGCTGGGCAACAAAGTGAGACTCCGTCTCAAAAAAAAAAAAAAAAGAAAGAAAAGAAAGCCGTGCAGGGACTACTTAATCTATTTTATGAAATAATGTGTTGTCTGATTCTAGAGTTAAAAAAAAACAAGCAATGAAAAGAACCCTCAGGGGCTAAGGGAGGTGAAGGGGTGGGGCTGGGGGGGTCCTCCCTGTCTTTCCAGTCATCACTTTTCTGCTACTTTTAATTCCTTCTACCTTGCCCCAAGGCTCTGGAGTGTCACTCCCCAGGCTCTGCAGGCCATCTGGTTGCCACACATGTCATGGGTGGAGCCATGTCAGCACTGAGTCCCTGCAGGCTCCCAAGCTGCAAGGGATGAGCTCATGTGATCAGGCTTATCAGAATGATGTCACAGAACCTGCCTTCCAGCCTAGACTGTCAAGAGTGCCCGAGGACCAGGGTCTGCAGAGCTGGGGCCACTAGGAGCCCCGTGGGCTCTTACTGTGACAGCTTTTTTTTGATACAGGTTCTCACTGTCTTTGCAGTGGCACAGTCTTGGCTCACTGCATCCTTGATCCCCAAGGCTCGAGCGATCCTCCCACCTCAGCTTCAGAGTAGCTGGGACTACAGGCACGTGCCACCACGCCTGGCTAATTTTTATATAGGAATTCTCATCTTGGAGCCAAGCTCCCTCTACAGATCAATCTCCCATCCCCTGAGCAGGCCCTGCTCACCCACAAACCCATCAAGTTATGGCTCCATCCACATAATGTTTTATTTTATTTTTATGTGGGTTTTTTTTTTTTTTTTTGAGTAAAAATAATTCCAGCACTTTGAGTAAAAGTAATTTACTTTTGAGTAAAAGTAATCCCACCACCTTGGGAGGCCAAGGCGGTAGATCACCTGAGGTTGGGAGTTCGAGACCAGCCTGACCAACATGAAGAAACCCCATATCTACTAAAAATACAAAATTAGTAGGGTATGGTGAAGCATGCCTGTAATTGCAGCTACTCGGGAGGCTGAGGCAGGAGAATCCCTTGAACCCGGGAGGCGGAGGTTGCGGTGAGCCAAGATCGCGCCATTGCACTCCAGCCTGGGCGACAAGAGTGAAACTCTATCTCAAAAAAAAAAAAAAAAGAGTATTTCATTTTTCTTGTTTCATATGAAATCCTTATTTTCAGTGTGTCTTGAAAAATGGGAAACTTTGGCCCTTCTGGGCTCATGATCCCACGTGGCAGCAATTGGCTGAAGTTGCCTCTCTTTGCCGGGGCTCAGATCTGTTGGCTGTGGACCTTACCTGCCATGTCACTCCTGTGTGGCACTTGCTGGGCCTGTAAGCATCTGGTTGGTGCTGCCTCGTTTCATGGTCTTTGACCATTAGTTGGTTGGTACAGGTCTCGCTGGTAGGAGGGGACACCAGTTTTATTCCAGCCATTCTGGCTCTGAAAGAATTTATCAGCCTCTCTGCCCTTCCCTGGGGCTCAGGGAGTGGCTGGACTGTCACCCTGGACGTGGCTTCTGCAACCCCAGTCCTCAGCCTGAGTGCCAGGGGCGCCCCCTGTAGGCTGACCAGGAAGGATCCCCTGAAGGAGGCTGCTCTGCTCCGTGGCCCAGGCCTGCAGGTTCCCAGAGAATGTGTGAAAGGCACCTTGATCCCTGAGCCCCTTCTAGTGCATCAGAGCTAACTGTGACTAGCAGGGCACCCAATCTCTGGACATTGAGACTCACTCACAACCGGGGACTTTGCTGTTGTTGAGAGAGGGAGAGACCCTCACTGCCCAGAGGAAAGAACCCCTGTTCCCTGGCAGAGCCCTGGATAAAGAGGCCTGTGCCCAGACACAGGATAGTGAGGGCAGAGGAGGGGAGGCCGGGGCCCCTCCTTCTTCACACACCTCTCCCCTTCCTCGTTTCCCATCTTCCCCTCCCTTCCACAGATGCTGCAGCCCCAGTTCAAGTCACACAACACCAATGAGGTGCTGGAGAAGCTGTTCCAGATAGTGCCTGGCGAGAACCCCTACCGCTTCCGGGACCCCCACCAGTGCCGGCGCTGTGCCGTGGTGGGGAACTCGGGCAACCTGCGGGGCTCTGGCTATGGGCAGGACGTGGACGGGCACAACTTCATCATGAGGTGAGCCCCTGTGGAGCCCAAGGGTGGGCTCAGGATGGGCCTCCGGGAAGGGGACTGCCCTCCTCTGCCTTGTCTGGCAGGGTGCATGCTGCCAGCTACCGGTGTGCTGTGGGGCCCTGCCTCCCAGAGTCTTTCACAGCAGGCTTGGAGCTCTCTCCTTTACCTGTTTGGGGTGGATGGGGAGACAGAATCCCAAATCTAAGCTTTGCTTGAGGCCTGCACTCTGTTTCCAAGGCTCTGAATTCCTCTGGAAAGAGCTGACATTAGATTCCTGGCTGATTGTTTGGTGAAAAATCCCATCAGAGGCAGGGCATGGTGGTTCACACCTGTAATTCCAGCGCTTTGAGAGGCTGAGGTGGGAGGATCGCTTGAGCCCAGGAGTTAGAGACCAGCCTAGGTAACATGGCGAAACCCTGTGTCTACAAAAAATTTTTAAAGATTAGCTGGGCATTGTGGCGTGTCTGTATTTCCAGCTACTGGGGTGGCTGAGGCAGGAGGATTGCTTGAACCCAGGAGTTTGAGGCTACAGTGAGCTATGATTGCACCAGTTCACTCCAGCCTGGGCAATAGACTGAGACCCTGTCTCAAAAACAAAAATTCCCATCAGAAGCCGGCCCTGTCCTCCTCATCCCCTCAGCAGCTGGGCAAGGAGTGAGGGCCCCAAGCCCAGCTAGCATCCTGCTTCATAGCAGCAGGTGATTCTCGCTGGCAGATGCATAGAAGGCAGATGTTGTGGGTGCTGAAAGGAGCTGTTCGGTATTTGCTCTAGGGCTCATTCATTCCCAAGACCTCTATGCCCAGCCGTGAGGAAGGGAGAAGAGTTGGGAGGGCGTTCAGTCTTGACCGAGACTCTGCAATGAAGGCCTGGGCGTGAACAGGGAATAGGGGGCAGGCTCACGACCTGAACGTGGGCTGCTTGCTCTGCTCCAGAGCCTGCGTTTTCTGACATCCCCCCTTGACTTGGCTGGGGACAAGAAATGCCTCCTACCCGACTCCTTGGTAGAGGAAGAGCCTGAAGAACAGAGCTCCTGCCAATGCCCAGTTTTCACGCATCTCTTAGGATGAGCATTGCAGTTAAGACCAGGTTTCCCAGGAGGCAGAAGGAAGGGCTTTGTCTTAGAAACTGTTGCTGTCTCCATAGCAACACGAAGGCAGCAATATGTCTCGGAGGCATTCAGCATTCCATGTAAGACCTTCCTCATGTTGGGAAATGGTGCAAGTGGGAGGGTGAGCAGGTTGGAGTGGACCCTGTCCAGGACCCCGGAGCCACCTGAGGGTATCCATATCCTCCAACTGCTGATACCCCAATGGGAGGGAGATGGGATGGGAGCTGGTCTTAGAGGGGCCTCTCCCCTCCCCAGACACCATGGCCAGGTTGGGAATTGAGGCATCTGTCACTTCCATGCAGCTCTGCGCACTCGGGAAGCCCAGGACAATGCTCTTAGGTGCCCAAAGCACCTGCATCAAGTTTGAGCTTTCACTGGTCAGGCACCTCAGTGATGGTCAGGAAGCTCCTGGGTGGAAGCCCTGCAGGTCCAAAAGGACTGCCTCTAAGTCATCTGGCCGGTACTGTCAGGTGGGGCTGCAGAAAGAAATTTATAAGGCTGCACATGCTGTGGCTCATGCCTGTAATCCCAGCACTTTAGGAGGCTGAGGCAGGCAGATTACCTGAGGTCGGGAGTTCGAGACTAGCCTGGACAACATTGTGAAACCCTGTCTCTACTAAAAATACAAAAATTAGCTGGGCGTGGTGGTGGGTAACTATAATCCCAGCTACTCGGGAGGCTGAGGTTGCCTGAACCCAGGAGGCGGAGGTTGCAGTGAGCCAAGATCATGCCATTGCACTTCAGCCTGGGCAACAAGAGAGAAACTCTGTCTCAAAAAAAAAAAAAAAATTTATAGATGCTTCCTCACAGGGGCCAGGTAAGGAAGGGGGGTGGTATAGAGTGGACCCCAGAATCACTTTCTGGAAGGGGTGACCTGGGTAGTAATTGGCCGTCTGCTGGTCTGAGGAACTGGATGGCAGTGGATAAGCTGGGCTTGTTGGTGTGAGCCTGTAGTCCTAGCTAATTGGGAGGCTAAGGCAGGAGGATCGTTTGAGCCCAAGAGTTTGAGGCTGTGGTGAGCTATGATGGCACCACTGCACTCCAGCCTGGGCAACAGAGCAAGACCCTATCTCAAAAACAAAAACAACAGATGGCACTGGGGGTGACTCCAATTGTAGACATATCCAAGTTTGGAACCAATGGCCCTGGAAGCAAGACCCACTGGAGGGCTGAGCTGAGTTACAGCGAGATGATGGCCTGATCCACCTGTGCCCCACCCACCTCGCTGCCACTCACTCCTCCTATTTGTCCTCTGAGCCCTGTGGACCACTTCAAGTCCAGTTGAGCTGGTCTTGCCTCAGTTGGCCAGCAGATCCATCCACAACTCCAAGAACAGTGCCCGCTAGACAGTAGGCACGCCGCAGATACATGCAGGAGTGAAGGGGACTAGGCAGCCAACATCAGGTCCTAACCAGGGGGCACACACCCCACTTGCGCCCCTGTCCCTGAATACTTCTTTAGCTGCTGGAGGCAGCCAAGGACAGATAGATTTCTAGAATGCTGTGTTCCCGAGTGCCAGAGATGCAGCTCATCCTCCTCGTCCTGCTCTGGCCCCTTTCCAGGGCGTGGCTTCTCCAGGATGAATCAGAGCCTTGAAACAAAACCTTGTCCCTGTTAGAGTGCCATGTTCCTTCCCTTTCCCTTGGAGGCTGTGAAACATATTTTGGGACCTCTTGCTCCCTTCATTCCCAGATGTTTGGAAGCTGGTATCTGGCCAACCATGGGGAAATGAGGGAGGGCCAGGCTCTGCAGCATGGCCAGCCACAGGCGCTGGAGGCAGGGTGACCCTGGCTGACAGGTCCCATGGGGACTTCATGACAGCTCAGGCTGCCAAGTCAGTGCAGAAGACAGATGGTGGGTCTTCAGAAACCAGCCTGGGCTGGCTGCAGCCCTGTGCTCTGCAGGATCTCTTGGCCTCACCATCTCTGGTGAGATGAAGTTTGTTTCTTAGGTCAAGTGTACACCTTGGCTGGGCGCAGTGGCTCACGCCTGTAATCCCACTACATTGGGAGGCTGAGGCGAGAGAACTGATTGAGCCCAGGAGCTCGAAACCAGCTTGGGCAACATGGCAAAACCCCATCTCTATTTAAAAAAGGAGAAGAAAAAGAGCATACCTTGATCCTAGCTCCTGCCCCGCCCAGGCCCCGGCCAGCCTGTGTCACCAGCCCAATTCCTCTACCCCCTGCCTACCCCTGCCATACCCTGGGCAGCTGAGACACACTTCTGGCTCTGACATCCCCTGTTAAGGCTTCCTCTCCAACTGATCTGTTCCTCACAGGCCCCAGGGTGCTTGGCAGGAGGCAGATACAGACTGTGTCAGTGTGACCATAGGACACCAATACCTGCATGGGGAGTTTAGCAGCCCACAAGCTATTAAGAGTTATTCAGGGGTGGGAAGGATACTTCTTGGCTCTTCTAGGAGACAGGATCTCTAAACCCTAAAGACCGGGCTCAAAGGGGCAGTTCACTGAAGGACATGAATTTGGGAGAGGGAGGCTGGAAGTAGATCCCTGTTCTGGAGACAGAGCATGTTAGTTTCTCTGGAGGAAATTCTGGGCATCTGCTTGAAGCCAGCTAGAACGGAAGTGGTTAGGAACACAGAGGTTCTCTAGGTTTTGAGACCTCCCACCCCAAAGCACCCTCCAGACCCTCAAGGGAAGGGAAAATGAGAGGTAGGGGGCACAGTGATCCTGGACAGCACAGCCCATGGTCCTTCCCAGTCCCGTCCCTGAGGAAGACAGCTTGGGAGCCCCTGGAACACAGCAAGTCCTCACCCAGCCCAGCTAGCTGGTGCCAGCCACTCTAAGGACAGGGAATGTTTGTGCTGGTTTTACAGAACTGGCATAAAAAGCAAGGAGAGCCACCTAGAGACTGCGCTCCCTGCTTCCCTGGCTCCCTGTGTTCCTAGTGGAGGGCCAGGTTACGGTCACCCTGCTTTGGTAGTCATGATTCCACAAGGTGTGGTCCACGTGAGACAGGAATGTGCTTGTAAACAGTCATAACAGAAAAAAAAAGACCAACAGGTTTGTGTTTAAACCTGGTTCACCTGTTACGTAAGATGCATACTAAAAAGGGGAGCTTTGGTTTTTACTTGTCTTGTATTTTGCACAAATTGAAAGGAAGTGGAAGCCTTCTTGGCTTATTATAGCCACAGAGAAGGTTTCCAGACAGGAGCTACAGCAATGTCCCCTCTGTCCAGACAGCAGCAGGAGAGAGGGGACATTGCACATCACCAGAAAGATAGCAAGGGCAGACCGTCAGAACTTGGGGCATTTCTCTTGGCCTTGGAGTGGAAGGGCAGACAGGGTCTTAAAGCGGCAGACAGGAATAGGGTGGTAGTGGGTGGCAGGACAGAGGCTTCCATCCGGCCCAGGGCCTGAGGGAAGGCTTGAACTTCCTATCTTACTTTCACCATCTTATAGGAAGGAGGGCAGAACAGCCAAGTGAAGTGGAAGCTGCGGAAGGCTGTTCTTTATAAGTTGTTTCTTTAAAAAATTATAAAAGGCCAGGCCTGGTGTCATCTGCCTGTAGTTATGGCTACTCAGGAGGCTGAGGCAGGAGGGTTGCTTGAGTTCAGGAGATTGAGACCAGCCTGGACAACGCAGTGAGACCCCTATCTCTACAAAACAGAAAACAAAACAGGCGTGGTGATGCAGACCTGTGGTCCCAGCTACTCGGGAGGCTGAAGCTGGAGGATTGATTGAACCCAGGAGGTCGAGGCTGCAGTGAGCCATGATGGTGCCACTGCACTCCAGCCTGGGTGACAGAGTGAGACTTAAAAGACAAACAGGGCCGAGCGTGGTGGCTCACGCCTGTAATCCCAGCACTTTGGGAGACTGAGGTGGGCGGATCACGAGGTCAGGAGATCCAGACTATCCTGGCTAACACGGTGAAACCCTGTCTCTACTAAAAATGCAAACAATTAGCCGGGCGTGATGGCGGGCGCCTGTAGTCCCAGCTACTTGGGAGGCTGAGGCAGGAGAATGGCGTGAACCCAGGAGGCGGAGCTTCCAGTGAGCCGAGATTGTGACACTGCACTCCAGCCTGGGCGACAGAGCAAGACTCCGTCTCAAAAAACAAACAAACAAACAAAAAACCCAAACAAACAAAATGGCTGGGCTCGGTGGCTCACGCCTGTAATCCCAGCACTTTGGGAGGCCGAGGCCGGCGCATCACGAGGTCAGTAGATGGAGACCATCCTGGCTATCAGGGTGAAACCCCGTCTCTACTGAAAATACAAAAAATTAGCTGGACGTAGCGGCTAACGCCTGTAATCCCAGCTACTTGGGAGGCTGAGGCAGGAGAATCCCTTGAACCCAGGAGGTGGAGGTTGCAGTGAGGTGAGATTGCACCACTGGACTCCAGCCTGGGCGACAGGGCGATCCGTCTCAACCAAAAACTTAGCTGGGAATGCTGGCACATGTTGTAGTCCCGTCTACTGAGGAAGCTGAGGCAGGAGAATCGCTTGAACCTGGGAGGCGGAGGCGGGGATTGCAGTGAGCCGAGATAGCACCACTGCACTCCAGCCTGGGTGACAGAGTGAGACCTTGTCTCAAAACTAATAATAATTAAAAGTAAATAAATAAAAATGTATACAGTAAAAATGAGTTAAGCCCCCAATGTTAGTAACCTTTTTTTTTTTTTTTTTTTTTTTTTTTTTTTTTTTTTTTTTTGTAGAGATGGGGTTTCACCGTGGTCTCGATCTCCTGACCTCGTGATCCGCCCACCTCGGCCTCCCAAAGTGCTGGGATTACAGGTGTGAGCCACCGCGCCCGGCCAACCTTTTTTTTTTTTTTTTTTGGAGACAAGAGTCTTGTTCTGTCACCCAGGCTGGAGTGCGGTGGTGCGATGTCGGCTCACTGCAATCTCTGCCTCCAGGTTCAAACACATCACCTGCCTCAGTCTCCCAGGTTGCTGGGATTACAGGTACATGCCACCACGCCCAGCTAATTTTATATTTGTTTTTTTTTTTTTAGTAAAGATGGGGTTTTGCCATGTTGGCTAAGGCTGGTCTCGAACTCCTGACCTCAAAGCAGTCCATCCACCTTGGCCTCCCAAAGTGCCTGGATTACATGTGTGAGCCACCACACCTGGCCTGTTTGATTGATTCTGGTGTTACTATTGTAAATAATTCTGCAGTGAATATCCTCATACACATCTTTGCACACCTTTGTAACCATTTTTATAGGGCAGATTTCTAGCAATGGAATTGCTAGGTTGGAGTATACACCCGTTTGCATTTTTGATGGATGGCTTCGAACTGTCCTCTAAGAATCTTGTATCAGTTTCCATGGCAGTTGATTCTCATGTCACCCTCTTGTCCCTGCAGGATGAATCAGGCGCCAACCGTGGGCTTTGAGCAGGATGTTGGCAGCCGAACCACCCACCATTTCATGTACCCTGAGAGTGCCAAGAACCTGCCCGCCAACGTCAGCTTCGTGCTGGTGCCCTTCAAGGTCCTGGACCTTCTGTGGATCGCCAGCGCCTTGTCCACGGGGCAGATCCGATTGTGAGCTTCTTGCTGGCCTGGGTAGAATATGGGTGACAGGACCATCTTGGGCAGAGTCTTCTAGGGGCCAGATTGTAGGATTCCTTTCATTGAACATTTTGGCCAAGAGGGGCTGGTGAGAAGGGAGGGCCTAAGTTGGTGGGTGAGCTGAAGGCACAGCTTGCTCTGTGTCACCTCCTGTGTGGTGACACAGCATATTGATGGTGGAAAGATGAGGAAGGATCTGTTTTTTTGTTTGTTTTTTTTTTTTTTTGGAGACAGAATTTCGCTCTTGTTGCCCAGGCCGGGGTGCAATGGCGCGATCTTGGCTCACTGCAACATCCGCCTCCCGGGTTCAAGCGATTCTCTTGCCTCAGCCTCCTGAGTAGCTGGGATTATAGGGATGCACCACCACGCCCGGCTAATTTTGTATTTTAGTAGAGACAGGTTTCTTCATGTTGGTCAGGCTGATCTGGAACTCCTGACCTCAGATGATCCAGCTACCTCGGGCTCCCAAAGTGCTGGGATTATAGGTGTGAGCCACCGCACCCGGCCAGACCATCTGGTTTTGGTCTCCTTTCTGGGTGATGGCTCCTGACTGAGGGAGCTCTGCCTTCTGAGGACTTTCTTTGGGGGTAGTTGTCCCATCATAGCCGGGAACCATGGGAAATCTAGTTCACCAAGTATATTTTTTAACAGCTTTATCAAGATATGATTCATATCCCATACATCTCACCTATTTAATGTGTATAATCCAGTAACTTCTTATATATTCAGAGTTGTATAACCATGACTACAATTAATTTTAATTTTTTTTAATTTTATTTTTTTTTGAGATGGAGTCTCACTCTCTTACCCAGGTTGGAGTGCAGTGGCGCAATCTTGGCTCACTGAAACCTCTACCTCCCGAGTTTAAGAGATTCTCGTGCCTCAGCCTCCCGAGTAGCTGGGATTACAGGCACATGTCACCATGCCTGGCTAATTTTTGTATTTTTAGTAGAGACGGTGTTTTGCCATGCTGGCCAGGCTGGTCTCAAACTCCTGACATCAAGTGATCCACCTGCCTCAGGCTCCCATCGTGTTGAGATTACAGGCATGAGCCACCACATCCGGCCCACAATTAATTTCTTTTGAAACGGAGTCTCATTCCGTTGCCCAGACTGGAGTGCAGTGGCAGAATCTCAGCTCACTGTAACCTCCGCCTCCCAGGTTCAAGTGATTATCCTGCCTCGGCCTTCTGAGTAGCTGGGATCACAGGCATGTGTCACCACAGACCTGGCTAATTTTTGTATTTTTAGTAGAGATGGGGTTTCGCTATGTTGGCCAGGCTGGTCTCAAACTTCTGAGCTCAGATGATCTGCTCACCTTGGCCTCCCGAAGTGCTGGGATTATACGGCATGAGCCACCACACCCGGCCCCACAATTAATTTTAAAACATTTTCATGGCCGGGCACTGCGGCTCACGCATGTAATCCCAGCACCTTGGGAGGCCAAGGCGGGTGGATCACAAGGTCAGGAGTTAGAGACCAGCCTGGCCAACATGGTGAAACCTCATCTGTACTAAAAATAAAACAATTAGCTAGGCGTGGTGGCATGCGCCTGTAATCTCAGCTACTCAGGACGCTGAGACAGGAGAATCGCTTGAGCTCAGGAGGTGGAGGTTGCAGTGAGCCAAGACCACACCATTGCACTCTAGCCTGGGCAACAAGAGCAAAACTCTGTCTCAAAAAAAATAAAAAATAAAAATTTTTGGCCGGGCATGGTGGTTCATGCCTGTAATCCCAGCCCTTTGGGAGGCCGATGTGGGCGATCATGAGGTCAAGAGATCAAGACCATCCTGGCCAACATGGTGAAACCTTGTCTCTACTAAAAATACAAAAATTAGCTGGGTGTGGCCGGCCAGGCGTGGTGAGTCACGCCTGTAATCCTAGCACTTTGAGAGACCAGGCGGGCGGATCACAAGGTAAGGAGATGGAGACCATCCTGGCTAACACCGTGAAACCCCATCTCTACTAAAAAATAATAAAAAAAAATTAGCCGGCCGTGGTGGCAGGCACCTGTAGTCCCAGCTACTGGGGAGGCTGAGGCAGGAGAATGGCGTGAACCCGGGAGGCGGAGCTTGCAGTGAGCCGAGATCGCGCCACTGCACTCCAGCCTGGGTGACAGAGCGAGACTCCGTCTCAGGAAGAAAAAAAAAAAACTAGCTGGGTGTGGTGGCGCACGTCTGTAGTCCCAGCTACTTGGGAGGCTGAGGCAGGAGAATCGCTCGAACCTGGGAGGCAGAGGTTACAGTGAGACGAGATTGTGCCACTGCATTCAAGCCTGACGACAGAGATTCCGTCTCAAAAAAACAAAACAAAACAAAAAAAATTTTCATGTTCTGCCGGGTGCAGTGGCTCACACCTGTAATCCCAGCACTCTAGGAGGCCAAGGAGGGTAGATTGTTTGAGTCCAAGAGTTTGAGACCACCTTGGGCAACATGGCGAAACTCTGTCTCTGCAAAAAATACAAAAATTAGCCAGACATGGTGGCATGCTCCTGTAGTCCTAGCCACTCAAGGATGAGGTGGGAGGATCGGATCACTTGAACCCGGGAGGCAGAGGTTGCAGTGAGCTCAGATCGCGCCACTGCACTCCAGCCTGGGCAACAAAGCAGGGCTCTGCCTCAAAAAAAAAAAAAAAAAAAAAAAGAACCAAAAAAGGAACATTTTCATGTTCTAAGGGTCTTTAATCTAAAGATACCCCCGGATCCCTAAGCCATCACCCCCACTCCTCCCACCCCGAGCCCTAGGCAACCATTAATCTACTCTGTCTCACCATATATTTTTGTTGTGTGGTAAAATATACACAATATAACATTTGCCATTTTAACTATTTTTAAGTGTAAAGCTCAGTAACATTAAGTATATTCACATTATTGTATAGCCATCACCACTCTCCATTTCCAGAACGTTTTCATTATCCCAAATGGAAACTGTACACCTTAAACACTAACTCTCCATTCTCCCCTCAACCCCAGGTAACCTTATTCTACTTTCTGTCTCTATGATTTAACTATTCTTTTTTGTTTGTTTGTTTGTTTGTTTGTTTTTGGAGACAGAGTCTCACTCTGTCACCCAGGCTGGAGTGCAATGGCGCCTTCTCGGCTCACTGCAACCTGGGTTCAAGCGATTCTCCTGCCTCAGCCTCCCGAGTAGCTGAGACTACAGGCAAGCACCACCACGCCCAGCTGATTTTTTGTATTTTTAGTAGAGACGGGGTTTCACCGTGTTAGCTAGGATGGTCTCGATCTCCTGACCTTGTGATCTGCCCGCCTCAGCCTCCCAAAGTGCTGGGATTACAGGCAGGAGCCACCGCACCCGGCCTGTTTGTTTGTTTTTGAGCCTGAGTCTTGCTCTGTTGCCCAGCATGTAGTGCAATGGCATGATCTTGGCTCACTGCAACCTCTGCCTCCTGGGTTCAAGCGATTCTCGTGCCTCAGCCTCCCGAGTAGCTGGGACTACAGGCATGGGCCACCATACCCGGCTAATTTTTGTATTTTTAGTACAGATGGCCAGGCTGGTGTTGAACCCCTGACCTCAGGTGATCGGCCCAACTTGGCCTCTCAAAGTGCTGGGATTACAGGCATGAGCCACCACACCCAGCCTGATTTGACTATTGTGTTTTTTTTTTTTTTTTTTTTTGAGACAGAGTTTCGCTCTGTCGCCAGGCTGGAGTACAGTGTGGCACAATGTCGGCTCACTGCAACCTCAGACTCCCTGGTCCAAGCGATTCTCCTGCCTCAGTCTCCCAAGTAGCTGGGACTACAGGCGTGTGCCACCACACCCAGCTAATTTTTGTATTTTTAGTAGAGACAGGGTTTTACCATGTTGGCCAGGATGGTCTCCATCTCTTGACCTTGTGATCTGGCCCCCTCGGCCTCCCAAAGTGCTGGGATTACAGGCGTGAGCCACCGCACCCGGCCCTGATTTGACTATTCTTTATGCCTCATGTAAGTGGGATCATAACAGTATTTGTCCTTTTGTCTGACTTACTTTACTTAGCATAATGTCCTCATAGTTCATCCGTGTTGTAGCATGTGTCAGAATTTCCTGTGTTTTTTTTAAAGGCTGAATACTATGCCAATGTAGGGATATACCCATTTTGTTTATCCGTTTATCCTTCAAGGATGCTTGGTTTGTGTTCTACCTTTTGGGTATCATCACCATGTATTTTATAAACACAAAAGTAATGAGTTACAGTTTCCTGACTTAGGATGTTCATTATCTCATGTTTGGGAGACCTGAGGGCTAAAATGGATGCAGTAGAGTTGAAGTACCATAGACACTCAGAGAAGGGCATGTAGGTTACGGGGGCCGTGGCTGGCTACAGGGAGGTGTGGTCTGGGAAGCCTGAGGGGAGTGGATCGAGGGCAGGGGTGAGAGCAGAGACATGGTGGATTTGAGATGATTGCCACCTCTAATGGAGCAGAGAGCTAGGGGAGGAAGGTTGGGGCTGGTCTAGGGAAGGCCCCATCGCTTGCTGAAAACATTCCCATTTTATCTTGGATGCCATGGGGACCGTTGAAGGCTTTAGAGTAAGGCATGGCAATGATGAACAAGCCACGGGAGAGCAGTCCAGAAGCAGAGCAGTCTGGAAGTTGTGGGGCTGACATTGCTCAGGCCTGGCGTGGGGGGCATCCCTAGGTCCCATGGGGCCACCTGAAATGTTATCTTTTCTTCCTTTCCTTTCTCCTTTCCTTTCTCCTTTCCCTTCTTTTCCTTTCTCCTTTCCCTTCCTTCCCTTTCCCTTCCCCTCCCCACCCCTCTCCTTTCCTTTCCTTTCCTTTCCTTTTTTTTTTTGACAGTCTCACTCTGTCACCCAGGCTGGAGTGCAGTGGTGTGATCTCGGCGCACTGAAACCTCAGCCTCCCAAGTAGCTGGGATAACAGCTGTGCTCCACCACACCCAGCTAATTTTTGTTTTTTTAGTAGAGATGGGGTTTCACTATGTTGGTCAGGCTGGCCTCAAACTCCTGGCCTCAGGTGATCCGGCTGGCCTCGAACTCCTGGCCTCAGGTGATCCACCTGCCTCAGCCTCCCAAAGTGCTGGGATTACAGGTGTGAGCCACCGTGCCCAGCCTGAAATGTTATCTTTCTTTCTTTTTGCTTACAGCACCTACGCCCCAGTGAAGTCCTTCCTTCGAGTGGATAAAGAAAAGGTAAGCTCCCCACTTCTTCCCCACCTCAGTGGAAACAGTGCTGGCCCAGCCTGTGTGCCTGGTCCTGTAGCTCAGGTGTTCCATTTCCCCTGCAGAACCTCAGGGTCCCCATCTGCCGAGATGCCTGACCCTAGCAGGTGCCACACGATTCAGGAGACACAGACGCACAGGTCTCTGACAGGCATAGACAAGTAGAAGCTGCTCAGTCTAGCCTGAATCTCTGCCCCTAAACCCCTCATATACCTGTCATCCCTTCTCCTCCCAGGTCCAGATCTACAACCCAGCCTTCTTCAAGTATATCCACGACAGGTGGACAGAGCATCACGGGCGGTACCCTTCCACGGGGATGCTGGTGCTTTTCTTTGCCCTGCATGTGTGTGATGAGGTGGGTAGGCCCGTGGTGTGGGTGGTGGGAACCCATGGAACAGAGGAGTGCAGGCCTTCTCGGGTCTTAGCAGGCTAACAGAGGAATGTGCTTCTGTAGGCAGAATCCATGTGGCCTTGGTTTCCCCCATCTCTAGGCTGTAAAGTATAGATATGCCTTTCCCAAACGTTTCTGCTTTCATGATTCTACCAAATCCAAAATCTCTTCATTAAAAAGTTATTGGCCGTGCGCGGTGGCTGACGCCTGTAATCCCAGCACTTTGGGAAGCTGAGGCGGGCGGATTACTTGAGGTCAGGAGTTCAAGACCAGCCTGGCCAACATGGTGAAGCCCCATCTCTACTAAAAGTACAAAAAATTAGCCAGGCGTGTTGGGGCACGCCTGTAATCTTAGCTACTCGGGAGGCTGAGTCAGGAAAATCGCTTGAACCCAGGAGGCGTAGGTTGCAGTGAGCCGAGATAGCGGCATTGCACTCCAGCCTGGGCGACAGAATGAGACGCTGTCTTGAAAAAGAAAAGAAAAAAAAACATAAATAGAATGGAGAGTGTATGTAGTTGAATTTCAGCTGGACGACTGCCCCCACCAGCTCTGAGCCCCAGGCCTACTTCGTGTAAAAATGGAACTCAGTCGTTCAGAGAACCCGTTCCACCAGTGGCCAGGGCTGCCTTGCAATGAAGAGCAGGGCTGAGGCCCGGCAAGTGCTTCACTGAGTGGTGCTGATCAAAGTACTCCATTAAAAAAAAAAAAAAAAAAAAGGAGGAATTTGCAAGGGCTGCAAAGGGAAGGTGGTGTCCCCATGTGAGTCCATGTCCTTAGGCCAGGCCTGGGGGCTCCTGCATCTCCCCGGGGCCTCCCGTCCCCTCTCCTCCCTGTCATCCCGAGCCCGCCCCGCGCCATCCTCCAGGTCCCCGCCTGGGGTGACGCTCCGCTGCGCTTCCCCGCAGGTGAACGTGTACGGGTTCGGGGCCGACAGCCGGGGCAACTGGCACCACTACTGGGAGAACAACCGGTACGCGGGCGAGTTCCGGAAGACTGGCGTGCACGACGCGGACTTCGAGGCCCACATCATCGACATGCTGGCCAAGGCCAGCAAGATCGAAGTCTACCGGGGCAACTGAGCCGGGCCTCGCCGCGACCCTTCCGGCCCATCTATCGGGCACCGGGGCTCCGGCCCGGGACCCAGGACCAGCAACCCGCGACCAATCATGCTGCAGCCCAGGGGCGTCTGCTGTGCCCCGCCAATCACGAGACTGGGGGACCGGCCGGGCCTGGCACCAATCTGCGCTGCGGTCGGGCGGAGCTTCTGTTTCTCCCAGCCAATCATGTGACTCAAGGAAAACTTCCGGCGCTGTGTCCAGTCTCCTCCAATCAATGGCCTTCGGGGGCGGGCCAGCGGCCGCTCAATCCCCACTCCCTCATGCTTTGGGTTAGGGTTTTCTTTCACGCTTTCTGAGGAGGAGAGCATGGCGCGGGCCTCGGCGAAGCACTTCCGTCAGCCTCGGGCGGAGGATCGTCTTAGTAGCTGGCCAGACCTGGAGGAGAGCGGGCGGTCTTTGCGGGCCTCAGGAGATAGGTGGCCGCCCGGCCCCTTTCCCCGCCTGCCCGGATAGGTGCGTGCAGACCCACCAAAGAAAAGCGGTCGCTGCGGGACCCCCAGTCCCACCTCGGCCGCGCTGTGGGATGGCTGCGCCCCCAGGGCTTCCTGCGTCTCCAGGAAGCCGGGAGTGGCGCCCTCTGCGGGGTGGGGTGCTCCCGGGCCGAACTCCGGACAGGTGGAGGGGACAGGGCAGAGCTCGAGGAAGCCCTGTCCCCTTCAGTGCAAGGTGCTGTCACTCACGTGTGCCCTCGACCCTCCCGTTCACCCGCAGCCTTCTCAGCGCCTCTCCCTGGGCCGGAGGCCTCCTCACCAGCCTACCTGTTGCTCTGGAAAAAAATCCCGTCCCCCGACTCCGTCCCTACCCCCAGTCTTCGGCCGGCTCTGGCCCCTGGGGAGGGGGCTGCACGGCGGAAGGAGGCTGGCTATGGGCCCGGCTGCCCGCTGCATGTACCTCCTCCTCCACCCATCGCCTCTTGCCTGGGGGTAACTTTGCCTGGGGCTCATTCTTTGGTTAAGCTGAAGCTGCCGTGGGTGGCCAAACCGCAGATTCTTTGCAAATTCTGAGCTGGCAGAGCTCGCAGCCGGGAGCCGGCCGGGGAAGAGGAGACTTGCGCGCCGCAAGCCGCCTGCCTCCACCCTGCTCTCCATCTCCCGCTCTAGAAGGGCTGGGAAGCTCGCGGCCGGGGTTCCACCTGGAAGCTGCTTGCATGGCTGAACCCAGCTTAGGTCCCTGACGGGGCTGCTGGTGGAATTCTCCCCCTTCGAAGCTGGGGAGGTTTAGGAGGGGGAAGGCTTCTGTGAAGCTCTCAAACCACTAATAGAGCCCCCTCCCCAACAGTGACGGCGCAGATGCTCCCCCTTTTCTTAGTTGACACCACCAGGCAGCTTCCTGGCCGTTGGTAGGTTCCTGCAGCTGGCTGAGGGAACAGGGACCGGCAGGGGACTTTGTTAGGGGAGGGTTGGGATGGGCAGTGGGCCCCTGAAAGTTAATATATTGGAACCTAGCTCGAGTGTCGTTCTTTCCAATTCCGAAAGTAGAAAGAGTAAAAATAGGGGTGATTGGGGTGGGGTTAGTAGAATGCCTCTCTCAGGGCGCTCCCCCCTCCCCCACCGTTTTAGAGAGCTAGGCCTCAGCCAGTCTTGCCACTCCCATCTCAGTGCTTCCTGAAGAGGCTGTTTTGAGTGTTGATGAAAAGCAATGCAATTATGCCAAACAGTATTGAGCAGAATAATTTATTTCTTTTTTTTCTTTTGCTTTAAATCATGAATCCCGCCAGGTACGGTGGCTCACACCTGTCATCCCAGCACTTTGGGAGGCCAAGGCGGGCGGATTACTTAATACTTAAGGTCAGGAGTTCGAGACCAGCCTGGCCAATATGGTGAAACCTCGTCTCTACCAAAAAAAAAAAAAAATACAAAAATTAGCCAGGCGCAGTGGTGCGCACCTGTAATCCCAGCTACTTGGAAGGCTGAGGCAGGAGAATCCCTTGAACCGAGGAGGCGAAGGTTGCAGTGAGCCGAGATTGTGCCACTGCACTCCAGCCTGGGCGACAGAGCAAGACCCTGTCTCAAAAAAATTAAATCATGAATCCCCATCCTGGAAGAGGTAGGTCCCAGCATCCAGCCAGATTTTCTGCAATAGTAATTTAAACACACTTTTTTATTTCCTTCCCTTTCTGAATTAAAAGGAACAAAAAACTGTCTAGTCCTTCATTGTTCTGAAATGGGCATGATGGAAGAAGGCGGGTCTGGTAGGATAGCTGTGACTGATAATGGCTGAGAACGTTGGGGGATATGGGAGGGGCGAGATGACTCCCAGATACCCTCCCCCACCTATACAGGAGGCACCTCATTCCTGGACTCTGCGCTCCAAGACACTGAAATCTGAGCGGGTACAAGCATTTTGGTTAAAAATCAGCTCGTTGTCGCCTCTTGAGTTTCCTCCAGGAGAGGAGTTCATTGGAGAGGATTCCTGGTAGCAGCTCCTCGCAGTGGCTGTCCTGTAACCACTTTGGCCTCTGTCAACATGATGTCTCCAGGTATCCATCAGGCTCCGATACATTTGGGTGGCCACAGGCTGGGCTGTCCCCACCTCTCAGGGAAGTGCATCTAAGTCAGGTTTTCCCCTCTGGCACAGCCCTGCCTCCACAGCCCAATTTCCACCATGCCACAGGCAACCCGCATTTTTATTTATTTAATTTATTTATTTATTGAGACAGAGTCTTGTTCTGTTACCCAGGCTGGAGTGCAATGGCCCGATGTCGGCTCATCCCAACCTCCACCTCCTGGGTTCAAGCGATTCTTCTGCCTCAGGAGAGTAGGGAGTAGCTGGGATTACAGGCATGCACCACCACTCCCGGATAATTTTATATTTTTAGTAGAGACGGGTTTTCTCCATGTTGGTCAGGCTAGTCTTGAACTCCAGACCTCAGGTGATCTGCCCGCCTCGGCCTCCCAAAGTGCTGGGATTACAGGCGTGAGCCAGTGTGCCTGGCCGATTTTTTTTTTTTGAGACTGATTCTCACTCTCGCCCAGGCTGGAGTGCAGTGGTGGGATCTCGGCTCATTGCAAGCTCCGCCTCCCGGGTTCACGCCATTCTCCTGCCTCAGTCTCCCGAGTAGCTGAGACTACAGGTGACCGCCACGATGCCCGGCAGTTTTTTTGTATTTTTAGTAGAGACGGGGTTTCACTGTTAGCCAGGATGGTCTCCATCTCCTGACCTCGTGATCTCCCCGCCTCAGCCTCCCAAAGTGCTGGGATTACAGGCGTGAGCCACCGCGCCTGGCTTTTTTTTTTTTTTTTTTTTGAGATGGAGTCTTGCTCTGTCACCCAGGCTGGAGTGCAGTGGCGCGATCTTGGCTCACTGCAACCTCCGCCTCCCAAGTTCACCCACCTCAACCTCCCGAGTAGCTGGAATTACAGGGGTGTGCCACCACACCCAGCTAATTTTTGTATTTTTAGTAGAGACGGGGTTTCACCATGTTGGCCAGGCTGGTCTCGAACTCCTGACCACAGGTCATCCACCCCCTTTGGCCTCCCAATGTTTGACCACACCCAGCCCATAATAGATTTTTAAAACTCCTATAAATATCATTCTACTTCCCTTTATTGCTAAAATGGGAGCTTTTTCATCCAGTTTTTTGGGTGTGTTCCAAATATTTTGTTAAATTTCCCGTCTATTGCTGTTATTGTTTCCATTTATTTGCCCATGTGAGTTGATACCTTTTTCATTCCTTTCCCATAGCTTTAGTGACGTTGTGGGAAGGGAAGTTAGGTAAGTGATGTTTCATCTTGTACTTACTAGACACCTTTTTCTTCCTTGATTTCCTGAGTTCCCTGCCTCCACAGGTGTGTTTCACTCCTGGTTGCTTATATTTTTTTATTTTTGAGATGGAGTTTTGCTCTGTTGACCAGGCTGGAGTGCAGTGGCATGATCTCGGCTCACTGCAACCTGTGCCTCCTGGGTTCAAGCGATTCTCCTGCCTCAGCCACCCAAATAGCTGGGATTACAGATGCGCACCACCATGCCCAGCTAATTTTTGTATTTTTAGTAGAGACGGGGTTTCACCATGTTGGCCAGGCTGGTCTTGAACTCCTGACCTCGTGATCTGCCCACCTTGGCCTCCCAAGGTGCTGGCATTACAGGTGTGAGCCACCGTGCCCGGCCTCTGGTTGCTTATTTAACCCCTTTGTCACGATGGAGGCTTTTCTCTTTTTTTTTTTTTTTTTTCAGATGGAGTCTCTCTCCATTGCCCAGGCTGGAATGCAGTGGTGCTATGTCCGCTCACTGCAAGCTCCGCCTCCCGGGTTCACACCATTCTCCTGTCTCAGCCTCCTGAGTAGCTGGGATTACAGGCATGCACTACCACGCCCGGCTAATTTTGTATTTTTAGTAGAGACGGGGTTTCTCCATGTTGGTCAGGCTGGTCTTGAACTCCTGACGTCAGGTGATCCGCCTGCCTTGGCCTCCCAAATGGTAGGATTACAGGCGTGAGCCACCAGACCCTTTTTTTTTTTTTTTTTTTTTTTTTAAGAGACAGGGTCTCCTGTCGCCCAGACTGGTGCAGAGCTCACTGCAGCCTCAAAAACTCCTGGATTCAAGTGATCCTCCCACCTCAGCCTCCAGAGCAGCTAGAGCCTAGCTAAAAAATTTTTTAAAAACATTTTATGGCCAGGCACGGTGGCTCATGCCTATAATCCCAGCATTTTGGGAGGCTGAGGCAGGTGAATCACGAGGTCAGGAGTTCAAGACCAGCCTGGCCAAGATGGTGAAACCCCGTCTCTACTAAAAATACAAAAAATTGGCCAGGCTTAGTGGCAGACGGCTGTGATCCCAGCTACTCGGGAGACCGAGGCAGAGAATTGCTTGAACCTGGGAGGTGGAAGTTGTGGTGAGCCGAGATTGAGCCACTGCACTCCAGCCTGAGCGACAGAGTAAGACTCCGTCTCAAAAAAAAAAAAGTATTTTACCCATCCACAGGCAGCAGACAAGGAAGTACCTTCTGTGACTGTCTGGCAAGGTCAGAGGCATCAGGGAAGGTAAAATACTGAAACTATATTTTTAAAAATAAAAGTATTCCCTTTTGAGTGTGAATTAGGAATCAATGCCCCTTCTCACTACTTTTGTGAAAAAAATCACAGCTCCTGCAGCAAGTCTATGCCTGGGTAACAACCAACCCACAAAATCCAAGAGGAGGTCCCCCTCTCCCGCCTCTGTGAGGCTTGAGGAGCAGTATGTATCTGGGCCAGCCTGGTCCTCAGAGTGTGGAATTAACACCTTTCCTCTAGCAACTGTTTGTGCTGCTGAGAACAGCACAGACTCTCTGGCAGCCTGGTTCTCTCCAGAGGGAAGCCTGTGAAGCAGAAGAAACATATGGCATCTGCACTCAGGGCGCCCAGTTCCATCCGGCCTTGCTATAAAATGACTTTGCCTTTCCTTTTTTAAAATTACAAAAATAATTCAACCAATACATAAACATATGAAGTGAATCACGGAGGGCCTTCCTGCGATATCTTTTTTTGCCTACCATTTGTCATGGAATGGGTAAAGGGGACCACAGAGGGAAGAGACGCTGCCCCTTCGCAGGGCCATGGCAGTCCCCTGGGCTGCGTCTCCACGGTGCTTCCTGTGAAACGCTGTTACCACGGGCACCGCACTGGAGACCATGAAAGGGAAGAGTTTGACATCTCAGCTGTCTTTGCTATAAATAGAAATAAATAAACCTTAACTAAGGCTTGAGTACACTTAGGCCGGGCAAGGTGGCTCACACCTGTAACCCCAGCACTTTGGGAGGCCAAGGTGGGTGGGTCATGAGGTCAGGAGTTTGAGACCAGCCTGGTCAACATGGTGAAACCCTGTCTCCACTAAAAATACAAAAAATCAGCTGGGTGTGGTGGCAGGTGCCTGTAGTCCCAGCTACTCAAGAGGCTGAGGCAGGAGAATCACTTGAACTCAGGAGGCAGAGGTTGCAGTGAGTCGAGATCAAGCCACTGGAGTCCAGCCGGGGCAACAGAGCGAGACTCCATCTCAAAACAAAAAACAAAAAAAAATTTTTTTATCAGTCACCTTAACCAAATGATCAAGGTACATCACCAGTCTAATACTAATAAAAACTCTGTACATGATTGAATAAATTAATCAGTGGGGGAGAAGAGAGAATTCTCCCTTGCAGAGGAGTTGAATAATTAATGTAGGTAGCTACTCTGCCCTTAAGGAGAGCATGTAACTTCCTTGAGGTGTGGGCTGCATGTACATAATGACTTCCTTTCAAAGAGTAGGATACAGGCCAGGGCTCAGCACAGTGGCTCATGCCTGTAATCCCAGCACTTTGGGAGGCCAAGGTGGGCGGTTCGCTTGAGGTTGGGAGTTCAAGACCAGACTGACCAACATAGAGAAACCCCATCTCTACTAAAATACAAAATTAGCCCAGTGTGGTGGCAAATGCCTGTAATCCCACTTGGGAGGCTGACGCAGGAGAATCGCTTGAGCTGGAGAGGCAGAGGTTGCAGTAAGCCAAAACCGTACCATTGCACTCCAGCCCGGGCAACAAGAGCAAAATTCCATCTCAATAATAATAATAATAATGTAGTGAGACAAGAATGGGCAGCTCCCCAACAGAAAAGATTTTCTAAGAAACTTAATGTTTGCCAAGCCTCACTAAATCAAAATCAAACAATGACATAATCTGTTTTTGCCACTTAGACTGGCAAAGTTTTAAACATTGATAATACTGTTGGCAAGCACGTAATTTTTGTATCACAGTAACATAAATTGGTAAAAACCTTTGGCAAGTGTAAATGACAATGAATTAAAATTTTAAATGTCCCTACTCTTTGACCCAACAATTCTACTTCCAGGAATAATATCCTGAAGTGATTTTCACCAACGCTCAAAAATAAGAATAAGGTTGGGCATGATGGCTCATGCCTGTAATCCCAGCACTTTGGGAGGCCCAGGCGGGCAGATTACTTAAGCTCAGGAGTTCAAAACCAGCCTCGGTAACATGGTGAGACCCCATCTCTACAAAAAAAAATACAAAAATTAGCCGGGTGTGGTGGTGCAGGCCTGTAGTCCCATCTACTTGGAGGGGTGAGGCAGGAGGGTCACTTGAGACTGGGTCGAGGCTGCAGTGAACCGAGATCATCATGCCACTGTATTCCAGCCTGGGTGACAAAGTGAGAGCTGGTCTCAAAAAAAAAAAAAAGAGAACAAAGATGTTCAGTTTGGGTCAAGGGCTCATGCCTGTAATCCCAACTACTTAGGAGGTTGAGGTAGGAGGATCAATTTAGCCCAGGAGTTTGAGACTGGACTGGGCAACTTAGTGAGACCCCATCGCTACAAAAATAAATAAGCAATAAATCTTTTTTAAAAAGATGTTCAGGCCAGGCACAGTAGCTCACGCCTGTAATCCCAGCACTTTTGGAGACCGAGGTGGGCGGATCACGAGGTCAGGAGTTTGAGACTAGTCTGACCAACATGGTGAAACCCCGTCTCTACTAAAAATACGAAAATTAGCTGGGTGCGGTGGCATGTGCCTGTAATCCCAGCTACTCAGGAGGCTGAGGCAGGAGAATCGCTTGAACCCAGGAGGTGGAGGTTGCAGTGAGCTGAGATCACGCCACGGAATTCCAGCCTGGGCGACAGAGTGAGACTCCGTCTCAAAAAAAAAAAAAAAAAAATGTTCGGCCAGGCGTGATGGCACCCACCTATAATCCTAGCACTTTGGGAGGCCGACAGAGGTAGGCAGACCACTTGAGGTCAGTTCGAGACCAGCCTGGCCAACATGGCAAAACCCCATCTCTACAGAAAATATAAAGATTAGCTGGGCATGCTGGCATGTGCCTGTAATCCCAGCTACTTGGGAGGCTGAGGCAAGAGAACTGCTTGAAGCTGGGAGGCAGAGGTTGCAGTGGGCCGAGATCACGCCTCTGTACTCCGGGCCAGAGTGACACTCTGTCTCAAAAAAAGAAAAAAAAAATGTTCATTGTGGTACTGTGGATAACAGCCATGTACTAGAAATCCCCCATGCCTGTCACTAGAGGAACCAGGAGATAAATGCCGGGACAGCTACACGCAGAAAGGAAGGTGGATGGTGTTTCCAGGGCAAGGAAGATGTGTGTGTATTGGACATGTCAACATGTCTAACACATGCTGATCAGTGAAAGCAGGTTGCATAGTAGTGTGAACAGAATGTTCCTGTTTTTGTAAAAGAAAAATGGGTTTATGCAAATAAAAGGCAATATGGTAGAATATTCACCAAGCTGCCAGGAATCAGGATCCCAGAAGAGAAGGGATAGAGAGCACTCTCACTTTATATACACACACGCCTTTTTAAAATGAGTATATATTTGTCTAATAAGCAGAAAAATACAAATAAAAACAAATCATTAGTAGAGCGTTTCTCATAATTACTTTAAAATGTCTTAGCATAATGAATGGTGCATACGCTACAATTTATCCATCCTTATTTATTTATTGAGTCGGGGTCTCGCTCTGTTACCCAGGCTGGAGTGCAGTGGCGCCATTTCAGCTCACAGCAGCCTCTACCCAGGCTCAAGCGATCCTCCTACCTCAGCCTCCCGAGTAGCTGGGACTACAGGCGTGCGCCACCAGGCCCGGCTATATTTTTTTCTATTTTTGGTAGAGACGGGGTTTCATCATGTTGGCCAGGCTGGTCCCGAACGCCTGAGCTCAACCGATCCGCCCGCCTCAGCCTCCCAACGTGCTGGGATTATAGGCATGAGCCACCACGCCCGGCCTATCCATCCTTATTCATATTATGTAGGAATCAGAGCTCTCCATAATGTCCACTATTATAAATGAACAGCATAATTCCCTTGGTCATAACTTCCATTCCAAATTCTTGCTCAGCTCTCGGCCCCGTGTGACACCTGGGGGTAAGAACCAACTACGTATGCGCTCAGAAACTCACCTGGGGTCTCCTGGCTGCCGTGACTGAGTACCAGGGGCCTAGGCAGAGGGAGCAACCGAGAGAAGAGAAGGCAAGACCAGGCCCAGCCCCTTCATCGGCCCTCGCCAGATCACTCTCTCTCAAGGGGTCAGGATTCAGACTTTCGTGTTTCTCTCCAAATCTGAAGTTTACAAAAGTAGCCGAGCTGCTCATCAGGGATATGCAAGTCTGCTTTCTGCAGCAGAGAACAGAAGTGAAAGGGAGAAGGGATGAGCAAGAAAGTCTCTGGATTTCAGGAGAAGGAAGACAGCCCCAAGGGCAGGAGAAACACTTGTGAAGGGTCCATTGAAGAGACAGAGAGGGGGCAGCTCTGGCCTCTCTGCTGCCACTTCCCTCATTCGATGCACAGCGGTGGGGCTCACACCATTTTCCACTCAGCCTCTTCCGCACAACCTGCACATCTATCGTTTCTTCAGGGGCTGGAGCTGGTTCCACGATGCCTAGCCAAAATCAGGAGGGGGTCCTGGGGCCAGCGACTACCACTGTGACCAGATTATTATAAAGATGGGGGAATGTGGCTTTAAAAAAGTGGGGAAAGGACCCAATTTTCCAAAATGCAAATTTTTTCTTCTATTGCCCCCCATCATTTGCACCTATTTTTGTCAAGTCCAAACATAATTTGAAGTGAGGTAGGTAGTTTCTCTCTACTTCTGCCGTTGTCCTTGGGGTGATGTCGGGGCCTGTGCCCTAAATGCACTTGTCTCCTGTGCAGGGGCAGTGCCAGGGCTGGCATCAGTGGCTGGTGGAGCTTCTCAGTTGGCTATTTTCTCAATCTCGTCCAAATCATCTGTGTCCAATCTTTCTATCTTCTTATCTGGGGGAAAGATACACAAGTCTCTACCCTGCCCAGGAATGTGCCCCACCTCAGGCCACAGCAATCATTCATTCAGGCCCAAAGGCTCCGGGTGCCTAAGCAGGGGGCAGCAGGGCCCCTAGTCACTGACAGCAACAGTCAGAGCCCCACGCCCCGAAGCCCAGTCACAGGGGAGCTGTCCTTGGAGTCCCTGGGTCCTGAAGTCTCCAGGTGTGCTCCCTGAGAACTGCCATATGGTCAGAAAGGAGGGGAGTGTGCTAGGGACAGAGCCTCTCTTGGGGCTACAGAAGATCCTACCCCTTTCACCACCCCGCCCTACTTAGCAAAGGGCGCCAGGCACAGGACCCTCCCCGGGACTCACTAAAATGCTCCTGGATTCTGTTCAGGATGTTCATGCTGTGCTTGCTGTCCACCATGTTCACTGCCAGGCCCCTCTTGCCAAAGCGGCCCGTGCGCCCGATCCGGTGCAGGTAGGTCTCATTGTCAGGATTCCCGTCCTTGTCCACGGGAAGATCAAAGTTGATGACGACAGACACTTGTTCAACATCAATGCCTGCAGGAAGGAGAGTTGGAGGCTGAGAGGACTAAGGACAGGAGACAGAAATCACTGTCATCCATAGGTAGGTCAATGCGTACCAACTTTGGGATAGAGGGAAAGAATTTGGGACAGGCCAACTCTGGGTACAAGAGAGGGCACACATATAGGCAGGCAACAGAACCCAGAGGAAAAGAAGAGAACTTTGGCAAGTGCCAACAAAATCATGAGATCAGTCGGTAATCCTCTGGGAGACACAATGTTCTGGAGATGGGCGCCCCTGGAAGAGTAGGCTCCGTTCTCTACCAGTCAGATGCCTGTACATTTCCTTCCACCAAGTCAGGACTACTGGTTTCTGCGGGAGTTCCTTTTCTTTCTTTCTTTTTTTATTTTTGAGACGGAGTTTCGCTCTTGTTGCCCAGGCTGGAGTGCAATGGCGCGATCTCACTCACCGTAACCTCCACCTCCCGGGTTCAAGCGATTCTCCTGTCTCAGCCTCCTGAGTAGCTGGGATTACAGGCGCATGCCACCACGCCCGGCTAATTTTTGTATTTTTAGTAGAGATGGGGTTTCACCATATTGGTCAGGCTGGTCTCGAATTCCTGACCTCAGGTGATTCGCCCACCTCGGCCTCCCAAAGTGCTGGGATTACAGGCGTGAGCCACTGGGCCTGCCCTCTTCCTTTTTTTTTTTGGAGACAGAGTCTCACTCTGTCACCCAGGATGGAGTGCTATAGCACATTCTCGGCTCACTGCAACCTCTGTCTCCAGGGTTCAAGCAATTTTCCTGCCTTGGGATTGCAGGCATGAGCCACCGCACCTGGCATGTGTGAGTTCTTACCACCTCAGGGAAATCCAAACAGTCTCTCCTAGAAAGGAATAGTGTCACCAACCCCACCCATCTCCCTGAGACCATCCGACTTCCCTGTATACAAGGATTTCTGGCTCTAATTGGGCCTGGGACCCCGAGCCTGGCAGACCAGGTGGGACACGTCCTCTGCTCACCGCGGGCACACACGTTGGTGGTCACCAAAACCTTCTCTTTGCCCTCTCGGAAGCGCTCAATCACCGCAGCCCTCTGCTCCACCATCATCTCCCCACTCAGCAGAGCCACCTGGTGGCCTTCTTTTGAGAGCTCTGCTGCCAGCCAACTAGCTGTTTTGCGAGTCTGGAAGAAAAAAAACAATTGAGAAATGAAAGTATTTGAGTATATATTTTTTCTTTTTGAGACACAGTCTTGCTGTCACTCAGGGTGATCTAAAAAGTCCTGGGCTCAAGTCATTATCCTGCCTTGGCTTCCCAAAGGGCTGGGAGTACAGGTGTGAGGCACCACGCTCAGCTGAAGATATTTTTGATCTGGAAGACTGTACCTGAAACTTAGCAGCTAAAAGCTAAATTTCTTAAAATTGTAAACCCGATATAGTGCAACAGGAAGTAACAATGTCACCTGGCTTGTAATCTTACGAAAATATTTGTACCTGGCTGGGCATGGTGGCTCACACCTGTACTCCTAGCACTTTGGGAGGACGAGGCACGTGGATCGCTTGAACTCAGGAGTTCGAGACCAGCCTGGGGAACATGGCCAAACCTGTCTCTACAAAAAATTTAGCTAGGCATGGTGGTGTAGGCCTGTAAGTCCCAGCTACTTGAGGGAGCTGAGGCAGGAGAATCGCTTAAACCTGAGAGGTCGAGGCTGGTGAGCCAAGATTGCACCATTGCACTCCAGCCTGGGTGACGGAGCAAGACCTTGTCTCCAAAAAAAAAAAAAAAGAAGAAAAGAAAAAAAAAAGAAAATTTATACCACAAAAATATTTAACCTGGGGCAAGATACGGTGGCTCACGCCTATAACCACAGCAATTTGGGAGATCAAGTGAAGGATCACTTGAGCCTAGGAGTAAAAGACTACCCTGGGGGCCAGGCGCGGTGGCTCATGCCTGTAATCCCAGCACTTCGGGAGGCCGAGGTGGGCCGATCGCGAGGTCAGGAGTTCAACACAAGCCTGACCAACATGGTGAAACCCCGTCTCTGCTAAAAATACAAAAATTAGCTGGGCGTGGTGGCATGTGCATGTAATCTCAGCTACTCAGGAAGCCGAGGGAGGAGAATCGCTTGAACCCGGGAGGCAGAGGCTGCAGTGAGCCAAGATCATGCCATTGCACTCCAGCCTGGGCAAGAGGCGAGATTCCGTTTCAAAAAAAAAAAAAAAAAAAAAAAAACCAGATTGGCCGGGCACGGTGGTTCACGCCTGTAATCCCAGCACTTTGGGAGGCCGAGGCGGGCGGATCACCTGAGGTCAGAAGTTTGAGACTAGCCTGACTAATATGGAGAAACCCTGTCTCTACTAAAAATACAAAATTAGCCAGGTGTGGTGGCACATGCCTGTAATCCCAGCTACCCGGGAAGGCTGAGGCAGGAGAATTGCTAGAACCCGGGAGGCAGAGGTTGTGGTGAACCGAGATTGCACCACTGCACTCCAGCCTGGGCAACAAAAGCAAAACTACATCTCAAAAAGAAAAGACTACCCTGGATGCTTCAAGATGTCATTGTAATGAGAGGCAATAAAATAAAGGTGAGGAAATTCTTCTAGATTTAGGAGTCTTAAGAGACATGACAACTAAATGCAACAAGCAAAACTTGACTGGCTCTTGGATTTAACAAAACAAAAAGCAATAAAGATGAGCTGGGCACAGTGCCATGTGCCTGGAGTCCCACCTACTTGGGAGGTTGAGGTAGGAGAATTGCTTGAGCCCAGGAGTTTGAGTCCAGCCTGGGCAAGATAGTGAGACCGTCTAAAAAAAAAAAAAAAGAGTATTTTTTGGCGTCAGGCGCAGTGGCTCATGCCTGTAATCCCAGTACTTTGGGAGGCCATGGCAGTTGGATCACCTGTGGTCAGCAGTTCAAGACAAGCCTGGGCAACATGGTGAAACCCCCTGTACCAAAAATACAAAAATTAGCTGGGCATGATGGCGGGCGCTGGTAATCCCAGCTACTCTGGAGGCTGGGGCAGGAGAATTGCTTGAACCCAGGAGGCGGAGGTTGCAGTGAGCCTAGATCACACCATTGCACTCCAGCCTGGGTGACAGAGCTAGATAGACTCGGTCTCAAAAAAAAAAAGAATACTTTTGGCACAAGTGGAGATAGGAGAACGTGGATTATATTTGAGAGATATATTACTGTTATCACTGTATCATTGCATTGTATGTTTCCTTGTTTTGAGACAGAGTGTTGCTTTATGACCCATGCTAAGTGCAGTGGCGTGATCACAGCTGACTGCAGCCTCTAACTCCTGGGCTCAAGGGATCCTCCCACCTCAGTCTTCCGAGTAGCTGAGACTACAGGTGTGTGCCACCACATCCAGCTAATTTTTTTTAAGTGTTTTAGAAATGGGGTCTCCCGACGTTGCCCAGGCTGGTCTCAAACTCCTGGGCTGAAGCAATCCTTCTACCTTGGCCTCCAAAGGTGTTGGGATTACAGGCGTGAGCCACTAAGCCTGGCCTCTTTTTTTTTTTTTTTGAGACGGAGTCTCGCTCTCTCACCCAGGCTGGAGTGCAGGGGCACGATCTCAGCTCACTGCAATCTCCGCCTCCCAGCTTCAAGTGATTCTGTTGCCTCAGCCTCCCGAGTAGCTGGGATTACAGGCATGCACCACCACACCCAGTTAATTTTGTATTTTTAGTAGAGACGAGGTTTCTCCATGTTGGTCAGGCTGGTCTCCAACTCCCGACCTCAGGTGATCCGCCTGTCTCGGCCTGCCAAAGTGCTGGGATTACAGGCATGAGCCACCGTGCTCCGGTGTCTCTTTTATTCTAAAATCATTTTGACATTTTCTTCAGAGATCTTAAATATTTATTTTTTCTATTATCAATGAGATCTATGCTTCCATTTTCTAAGTATTTGTTGTTTGAGACTGGAAAACTATGTGTGTGAATGTTATGACTATCTTGTTGAACTTTTTTTTTTTTTGAGACGGAGTCTCTCTCTGTTGCCAGGCTGGAGTGCCGTGGTGTGATCTCGGCTCACTGCAAGCTCTGCCTCCCGGGTTCACACCATTCTCCTGCCTCAGCCTCCCGAGTAGCTGGGATTACAAGCGCCCGCCACCACGCCGCGCTAATTTTTTGTACTTTTAGTAGAGATGGGGTTTCACCGTGTTAGTCAGGATGGTCTCGATCTCCTGACCTCGTGATCCACCCATCTCGGCCTCCCAAAATGCTGGGATTACAGGCATGAGCCACCGTACCCGGCCATCTTGTTGAATTTTTTATTTTTCTTACAAATATGAGTTGATTCTCTTGGGTTGTGCAACAATACATCATCCACAAATAAGACATAAAGTTCAGGGGCTCTATCTTTAGGCTATGTATCCCTTGGGATACTACCATTACCCCCACTAAAGGAGAGCCTGTCTCTTACATCTTCAAAAAGCACTTCCCTTCTTTCCATGGCGCTCAGGGGCATCCAGTCCTCCTGAGCCCTGTGGGGAGCTGGCTGAGAGGGAGGGGCCAGGCCTGCCACTGCCGCTGCTACTCACATGGCAGAAGATCATGGCTTGAGCAATGGTGATGGCCCCGTAGAGGTTACACAAGGCCTGGAACTTCTCGTCTCTGCTGCTGCACAGGACATAGTACTGCTTGATGGTATCCAGGGTCTCTTCCTCACGCTTCAGTTTGATAACATTTGGGTCTGGGACCACTTTCTGGGCAAACTTCCACACAGAGTCTTCAAAGGTGGCGGAGAAAAGCAGCATCTGGCAGTTCCTGGGCAGCATCCTGCAAGGGAAGGCCCGGGTAGATGGCCCCAGGTGGCCCTGGGAAGCAACGGAAGCACAGCCTCCCCAGCTGGGAGGGTCTAGATGCCCAGGAAGGCTGATGGGGGAGGAGCATCTTGGGGAGGAGGAGCAGCAGGCCTGGGATGGGGACAAGGGTTGGGGAAGAGTCCCTAGGTCTCCTTTCTCAACCCAGGTTGGGAGGGACTGTGATCAGCGCTGACATGGAAATGGCCCGTCAAACAAATGCTGCTGAGAGTACGAGAGCCAAGACCCAGGCAGAAGCCAGAGGAGGCGTCTGAAGTGAAGGGAGAAGACACTGCAGATGGGGAGTCTGAGGAGTCCCCCACCCTCGAGATCCCTACCTCTGGATGCGGATGCTCTGATCTTGGTGGCCCTGAGTGGCTATCATGACATCAGCCTCATCCAGAACAAACACCTTGATTTTCTTGGGATCAATGAACTTGAGCTTGGAGCACCAGTCCAGCACGGTCCCAGGGGTGCCAATGACAATCTGCTCACTGATCTTCTGGCCTCTTTCCACTGTGGAGACCCAGGTGATTTTCATAGGTATTTCAAAGGCAAAGCCAGCTCTGGAAATCAAAGCCCTGCCCATCCTTCTAGGACTAGGAGAACAAGTTATTTCCAGATTTCAAAACACACATGAGTGTTCCCCTCAGTCTTGGTCTCTTCTGCTGTGAAGTGGGCAGAATGACACCTATCTCAGTGCACTGTGGTCAGGATCAAATCCCACACAGCAATCCTTCAATAAGCATCAGTTCCCTTCTTCTTCCTCCTATAATCCAACATCATCCAACTCTTTTTATGTTTATTTATTTATTTATTTTGAGACAGGGTCTCACTCTGTTGCCCAGACTAGAGTGCGGTGACACAGTCATGGCTCACTGCAGCTTTGACCACACAGGTTCAAGCGATCCTCCTGCCTCAGCCTCCCAAGTAGCTGGGACTACAAGCTGGCACTTCCACGCTTGGCTATTTTTTTTTTTTTATTTTTTGTCTTACTATGTTGCCCAGGCTGGTCTCGAACCATGTGCTCAAGCAGTCCTCCCACCCTGGCCTCCCAAAGGGCTGGGATTGCAGGTGTGAGCCACTGTACCTGGTTTTGCTTACTTTTAAAGAAAGGGAGCTGACCCCAACCTTCCATCCTCAGTCCTGTTAATCCCTCTTTGGTAGCAGGTCCCAGAACTCTGGACGCTAAATTCAAAACTCTACCTTCTGAGCGAAGAACTCTAGATATTAAGAACTCTGTGAGCCATGCGTGGATTTTTTTTTTTAATCAACCGAAAATCTTATTTTAAGACTGAAAAAGACTGTTAACAAATTAGCAGGTATTCAAATAGATTCAAATAGAGCAACACAGTTAGGCTCCAGGGTCAGACTGAATTAGAAAGTTGAATACGGTCATCGCATCTTCAAAATTCAAACGCCCAACCCCCTACCCTGCTCACTGTTCAGTTGTCGCCTGCCGTACTCACATTTATTGCCTCGAACGGCATAGGCAAGCTTCAGTTCTGGGTAAAATTTGCCCATCTGCTCAATCACTTTTCCTGTTTGAAGCGCCAGCTCATATGTTGGGGAGAGGCACAGACACTGACAGAAAAATCATAAAGGATGAGTTTAGGAGAGCCATTTGGTAACAGACCTGAAGGCACCCAGTATGCTGATGTTATTAGCACTTGAATAGCACAGGGAAGCATGTCCTCCCATCCAGGCCCACCTTTCAGCCATAGACTGAAGCCTGCAGCAGGTAGCCCTGGCTTGGCAGAGGCCTTTGCAAGCCATGGTCTAAGGCTGCTGCTTTCAAGCACATTCTCCCAGGTCAGGGCCTGGTGTAGGAACTTGCTCTGCCTGAGCCACAGCCTAAGGTGTCAGAAGCTTCAGACCTCTCGTTACTCCTCACCAGATGGCACTGCGCTCCCCAGGGCAGGCAACCTAGGACACCCAGCCCCGCAAGCCCTCACCTGGGGGTATCTGTCTGATGGCTCCACTCGGCTGAGCATGGCTAAGACAAAGGCAGCTGTTTTACCAGTGCCAGACTGAGACTGGGCAATCAGATTCTGTGGGCTGGATCAAGGAAGAACAGAAATGAAACTTAAATTGGTGAAACTCAGTAACATGTCAAAATGTTCTTTCTGAATGAAAGGCATATTTCCCCCTTCGTGCTTCTCTATATTACCCAGGTTTTCTCCATTGAGCACAAATTACTTTCATACATTTTTTTATACGCTGTTAAAAAGCTGCTTAAATTGTAAAATAAATGATTATTTTAAATGGGCTCACACCAAGAAATTCTCATTCTAGCCTCTAGCACAGCTAAAGGACCCCAGTTTTGCACCCCAAGGGGCACAGGGAAATCAAGTGTGCAGAGTAAGATCTGTGCCCAGACAAGACCCCAGCAATATTTTTGGCTGAGCCATGATGCATTCCCAGAATTTGGTTCCTTCTGTGTGTGCCTTTCCCCAGTTTTATGGACAAGATGCTAAGTCAGGTGGATGTTTTAGAGGGAACTTTTACATTCCATTTTATGGGACCCAGCATCATGGGAATAGGTGGCATGGTTGTCATTAAAAAAGATAAATATGGCTTACGCCTGTCATCCCAGCACTTTGGGAGGCCGAGGCAGGCGGATCACAAGATCAGGAGATCGAGACCACCCTGGCTAACACAATGAAACCCCGTCTCTACTAAAAATATAAAAAATTAGCCGGGCGTGGTGGCGGGTACCTGTAGTCTCAGCTACTGGGAAGGTTGAGGCAGGAGAATGGCATGAACCTGGGAGGCGGAGCTTGCAGTGAGCAGACGTTGCGCCACTGCATTCCAGCCTGGGCGACAGAGCGAGACTCCATCTCACAAAAAAATAAATAAATAAATAAATAAATAAACTAAGGTGGGCAGATCACTTGAGGTCAGGAGTTCGACACCAGCCTGGCCAACATGGTGAAACCCCACCTCCATTAAAAATACAAAAATTAGGCTGGGTGCGGTGGCTCACGCCTGTAATCCCAGCACTTTGGGAGGCTGAGCCAGGCAGATCACGAGGTCAGCAGTTCGAGACCAGCCTGGCCAACGTGGTAAAACCCCATCTCTACTAAAAATACAAAAATTAGCCAGGCATGGTGGCAGGCACCTGTAATCCCAGCTACTCGGGAAGCTGAGCCAGGAGAATCACTTGAACCCGGGAGGCGAAGGTTGCGGTGAGCTGAGACCGCGCCATTGCACTCCAGCCTGGGCAACAGAGCGAGACTTCATCCCAAAAACAAACGAACAGACAAAAAAATACAAAAATTAGCCAGGTGTGGTGGTGTGCGCCTGTAATCCTAGCTACTCAGGAGGCTGAGGCAGGAGAATCACTTGAACCTGGAAGGCAGAGGTTGAAATGAGCCAAGATTGCACCACTGCACTCCAGCCTGGGCGACAGAGGAGACTCCATCTCAAAAAAGAAAAAATGATAAATATGCCAGGTGCAGTAACACATGCCTATAATCCCAACACTTTGGGAGGCTGAGGCTGGAGAATCACTTGAGGCCAGGAGTTTGAGACCAGCCCTGGCAACATAGTGATACCCTGTCTCTACAAATTTTTTTTTTTTTTTTGAGACAGAGTCTTACTCTGTCGCCCAGGCTGGAGTGCAATGGTGTAATCTTGGCTCATTGCAACCTCTGTTTCCTGGGTTCAAGCGATCCTCCCACCTCAGCCTCCCTAGCAGCTGGGATTACAGGTGTGCGCCACCAAGCCCGGCTAATTTTTTTGTATTTTTTGTAGAGACGGGGTTTCACCATGTTGGCCAGGCTGGTCTCAAACTCCTGACCTCAAGTGATCCACCTGCCTCAGCTTCTCAAACTACAAAAAAGTTTTTTTAAAGTCAGCTGGGCATGGTGGCACATGCCTATAGTCCCAGCTACTCCGGAGGCTGAGGTGAGAGGATTAATTAAGCCCAGGAGGTCGAGGCTGCAGTGGGCTGTAATTGCACCACTGCACTCTAGATGGGGAAACAGAATGAGACCCTGTCTCAAAAGGAACTTAGTCTTGTCAGGGTGGGAGAAGGATGTGGAAGGAGGGGAATTCAGGGGCTTCAACTATCAACTGGACCTGCTTCCTTTCTTGGCAGGATAGGGCTACAGAGGTGTTCTTGGTATTGTTCTTTACACCTTTGTGTAGGTCTCAAAAATTTCCAAATAATATTTTGTTTGTTTTTGAATTTATTGCAACACCATTCACATCAAAATAATATTTTTTAAACCCAGTTTTTTTTTTTTTTTTTTTTTTGAGACAGAGTCTATGTTTCCCAGGCTAGAGTGCAGTGGCATGTCTCGGCTCACTGCAACCTCTGCCTCTGGGGTTCAAGCAATTCTCCTGCCTCAGCTACATGACCACAGGTACGTGCCACCATGCCAGGCTAATTGTTGTATTTTTAGTTTAGTTTTTTTTTTTTTTTGAGACAGGGTCTTGCTGTCACCAGGCTAGAGTACAGTGGCACCATCTCGGCTCACTGCAACCTCTGCCTCCCGGGTTCAAGCAATTCTCCTGCCTTAGCCTCCTGAGTAGCTGGGACTACAGGCACATGCCAACAGGCCTGGATATTTTTTTTTTTTTGATTTTAGTAAGACGGGGTTTCACCATGTTGCCCAGGCTGGTCTCGAATTACTGAGCTCAGGCAATCCGCCCACCTTGGCCTCCCAAAGTGCTAGGATTACAGGTTTGGGCCACCGTGCCCAGCTAATTTTGTATTTTTAGTAGAGACAGGGTTTTGCCATGTTGGCCAGGCTGGACTCAATCTCCTGACCTCAGGTGATCCGCCCGCCTCGGCCTCCCAAAGTGCTAGGATTACAGGAGTGAGCCACCATGCCCGGCCTTAAGCCCAGTTTTTAAGATAGCATGGAATAAAGCACTACCTTTCTCTATAAGTTTCTATTGTTAAGTGGGAAAGGCAGAAACTGTAGCTAACTCCATCCGATTCTCTCTGCACTTGCCTAAGCTGTATTCCTGAGGAAACACGTGGCCCCAAACAGCTCCTTCTGTTCTCAGGCACAAAAACGCAGTTTGGGGAAGATTGATCTAATCACACTGGGTGAGATGCGCTTCATCTGCATACTCACGGTTCAGCAAGCATCATGGGTAATGCGTTCTCTTGTATCTTGGAGGGTCGATTGAAGCCCATGGCATAGACTCCCTGGAGAAGCTGTGGTTTCCTAGGAAGCCAGGAAGACAGAGGATGGATGCCTAGAAGTTAGAATTGTTTTAGAGGCCTAGAATCTTATCTTTTTCTATAGAAAGGAATGATGCCTCCTACCTCTGTCAGACGTATTTTCCTATGCCTTAAAAAAACACTGTCAAAAACCAAACCAAATCAAACCAAGCTACCGCCCTTCCCTAAGGAATCTTAATCTGCAACTATTCTATAATTCATAAAATACAGAATGGTTTCTTTTCTTAGAGAAATTAATGCTTTCAGCAGACCCGCAAATCTGGCTGGCCTTGGAAGACAAGTGTTCCCTGGACACAGCAAGGGTGGTGGTTATTAATTCATAGCATTACATAAATTATAAAAGATATATCTAAAAACAGGTCAGGTACAGTGACTCATGCCTGTAATCTCAGCACTTTGGGAGGTCAAGGCAGGCCAACTGCTTGAGGCCAGAAGTTCGAGAACAGCCTGGGCAACATGGTGATACCTCGTCTCTACAAAAAAATACAAAAAATAGCTGGACACACCTGTAGTCCCAGTTACTCAAGAGGCTGAGGTGGGAGGCTCACTTGAGCTCAGGAGGTCAAGGCTGCAGTGATCTGTGACTGAGCCACTGCACTCCAACCAGGGTGACAGAGTGGGACTCTAAAGTAAATAATAAATGAAAATAAACACTATTTACTATACTGCTAAGATTTAGAAGTCCTTTTGTTCCATGTTCCTTCCAAAGCCAGCTATGCAAATACTCCAGACAATCAATAGGTAAGGAAATTGATGGGCTGGGCGTGGTAGCTCACGCCTGTAATCCCAGCACTTTGGGAGGCCTAGGTGGGACGACTGCTTGAGGAGTCCAGGCGTTCAAGACCGGCCTGGGCAACACAGTGAGACCCTGTCTCTAAAACAAAACAAAACAAAACAAAACAAAAAAGAAAAATGAGCTGGGCATGGTGGCATGCACCTGTAGTCCTAGCTACTTGGGAGATTGAGGCAGGAGGATTGCCTGAGGCTAAGAGTTAGAGACTATAGCGAGCCATGATTGCCCCGCTGCACTCTGGGCTGGGCAACAAGGCCAGGTCATCTCTTAAAAAAAAAAAAAAAAAGAAAGAAAGAAAGAAAAAAGAAAAAAAAAATTTTTTTTTTTGAGATGGAGTCTTGCTCTGTTGCTCAAGCTAGAGTGCAATAGCGTGATCTTGGCTCACTGCAACCTCTGCCTCCTGGGTTCAAGCGAGTCTCCTACCTCAGCCTTCTGAGGAGCTAGGATTACAGGCGCATACTGCCACACCTGGCTAATTTTTGTATTTTTAGTAGAAACAGGGTTTCGCCATGTTGGCCAGGCTGGTCTTGAACTCCTAATCTCAGGTGATCCACCTGCCTCGGCCTCCCAAAGTGCTAGGATTACAGGCGTGAGCTGTAGCGCCCGGCCATAAAAAAAGAAAATTGATGAAGCCAGTTTCTAGTAGCTGATATACAGTAAATAAAGGTGGTTCGATTAACCTACTAAACTTTACAAATGCTCAGATTCACTTAGGTCTAATCAAAATAAACAGACAAACACTAACTACTTCTTTCTGAGAGACGTTCTCACTCTGTCGCCCAGGCTGGAGTGCAGTTGTGTGAACTGGGCTCACTGCAACCGACACCTCCCAGGCCTCAAGAGATCCTCCCACCCTTGAGTAGCTGGGGCTGCAGGCACATGCCACCACACCCGGCTAATTTTTTTTTATTTTTTGTAGAGATAAGGTTTCACCATGTTGCCCAGGCTGGTCATGAACTTCTGAGCTCAAGAGATCCACTCACCTTAGCCTCCCAAACTGCTGGGATTACAGGCGTGAGCCACCGCACCTGGACACCAACTTCTTATGTAAACAGCTACACAAGAATTATCAATTTAAGTTGCTCTTACATTGCATTTACAATCAGCTCTCTGCTACCTCTAAATTGACAAGATGTTTAAGAAAAATCATACCAGATTGTTTCTAAAGAAAAGGCAACCCAACTGTTCTCTAAGCCTTCCTTGGAGTTTAGCAGGCTCTCTAAAAGGCAAATTCTCTGGCGTATGTTGGTTCTCAGACACAAAGAAATTTAAAAACATAATCTTTCATATCTTCCATTTGGGAGAAAATGCTGTGACACTCGGCAGCTTCTGACTTGGTTGCCAAGGAAACAAAGTCACTACCTTAATTGGGACTCAAATGATCCAACAGCTTCCACTGACTCAGTTTTCTTTGATTTTGCAGATTAACTCAAATATTTTAGGTACAAAGCAGACCAAGTACATTAGGTGATCTTGGTTTCATTCTTTGTTTCCTTTTCCTACCAACAACTAAATCAGAGAGAACCTGTCTTTTACAGAGGACAATTCATCAGTGGTTAAACTGAGAGCTCACGTCTTCTAAAGGGAAGAAATTTAAAAAGGCAGTTGATACTTGGAGGAGCAAACTGTCACTCTAAGGAAATCATACCACATGTCTAGCTGTCCTGATACAGCTTAAAAATAAAAGTGGAGATGACAGATTTGGTGAATAAAGTCCTTGACAGAGAAAACACATAGAAAAGCATAATTTCCGTTTGAGAAGGAGTTTCGCTTTTATCTCCCAGGCTGGAGTGCAACGAACGGCATGATCTCGGCTCACTGCAACCTCCGCCTCCTGGGTTCAAGCAATTCTCCTACCTCAGCCTCCTGAGTAGCCGGGACTACAAGCCATGTGCCATTACAGCCGGCTAATTTTTTTGTATTTTTAGTAGAGATGGGGTTTCATCATTTTGACCAGTCTGGTCTCGAACTCCTGACCTCAGACAATCCACCTGCCTTGACCTCCCAAAGTGCTGTGATTATAGGCGTGAGCCACCGTGCCCGACCTAAAGTATAACTGTTTAAAAATACATTTTTGGTCTGGCCTGGGCAACATGGTAAAACCTCATCCTATTAAAAAAAAAAAAAAAAAGTTATTGGGCCAGGTGCAGTGGCTCACACCTGTAATCCTAGCAATTTTGGAGGCTGAGGCAGGAGGACTCTTTGACCACAGGAGTTCAGGAGCAACCTGGCCAACACAGTGACACCACATCTCTATTTTTAAAAATAAAAAAATAAGGCTGGGTGCAGTGGCTCATGCCTGTAATCCCAGCAGCCTGGGAGGTTGAGGCGGGCAGATCGCTTGAGGCCAGGAGTTTGAGACCAGCCTGGCCAACATGATGAAACGCTGTCTCTACTAAAAATACCAAAATTAGCCAGGTGTGGTGGCTCAGGCCTGTAATCCCAGCTACGTGAGAGGCTGAGGAACGAGAATCGCTTGAACCCGGGAGGTAGAGGTTGCAGTGAGCCAAGATTGTGCCACTGCGCTCCAGCCTGGGCAACAGAGTGAGACAGTCTCAAAAGTAAATAAATAAATGAATAGAAATAAAAAATAAAAATAAAAAATTGTTCTTCAAGATTACTTAACAACTAGTTAGCTTTCTTGTTTTAAGTGTCTCTTTCTCAGTGGTAATAGCTGGAAGGAATGTGGCTTCAATTTGTCCATAGTGGCCATACTATAGATTTTGCTGAACTAAGGCAAAGAATCCATTGATTCCACCATATTCTTATTCATCAGCTACTTTCTATGATTGTGATCCTGGCAGGCAGCAAGAATAATAAGTAGGTCTTGTGTTCCTTGTAACATCCAGCACAGTGGCATGTATATAACACAATGATCCACACTTAATCCTCTATTAATTTACTGAAGTAAACCTAAAACGTAAGGCCGGGCACAGTGGGTCATGCCTGTAATCTCAGCACTTTGGGAGGCCGAGGCGGGCAGATCATGAGATCAGGAATTCGAGACCAGCCTGCCCAACATAGTGAAACCCTGTCTCTTCTAAAAATACAAAAATTAGCTGGGTGTTGTGGCACACGCCTGTAGTCCCAGCTAACTCGGGAGGCTAAGGCAGGAGAATCGCTTGGACCTGGGAGGTGGAGGTTGTGGTGAGCTGAGATCACGCCACTGCACTCTAGCCTGTGCAACAGAGCACGACTTGGTCTCAAAAAAAAAAAAAAAAAAAAAAAAAAAAAAAAAAAACAAACCAAAAACAGATTTGACAGATTTTTTAAAAAGCAGATAAACTGTAAGACTGTAAACCCTATAGTCTAAATATACATATATATATATATATATTTTTTTTTTTTTGAGAGAGAGTCTCGCTCTGTTGCCCAGGCTGGAGTGCAGTGGCACGAACTTGGCTTACTGCAACCTCCGCCTCACAGGTTCAAGTGATCTCCTGCCTCAGCCTCCGCCTCCTGAGTAGCTGAGATTACAGGCCTGTGATATCACACCTGGCTAAGTTTTGAGTTTTGTATTTTTAGTGGAGACAGGGTTTCACCATGTTGGTCAGGCTGGTCTTGAACTCCTGACCTTGTGATCTGCCTGCCTTGGCCTCCCAAAGTGCTGGGATTACAGGTGTGAGCCACTGTGCCTGGCCTTTTTTTTTTTTTTTTGTAAAAAAAAAACAAATAGCACATGTTCTCACTTAAGGGCTTACCTAATCAGAAATGTTCCTGACATCCAGAAATCACCTGTCAGCCAATATTTTATTGAAAGTTCTAAGAGTATAAGAGAAATAAGACTTTTAGCTATGATAAATCAATTTGAAGCATTAAAAAATTCCTACCAAGAGAACAGGATAGCCAAGGACACAAGGGTGGGAGATTAATACTGCAAATTTTTTCATACTTTTTGACTTTTGAATCATGTGACTTATTCATGTGACTTCTTTTCAAAGAAAAAAAATAGCCAGGCACGGTGGCTCACGCCTGTAATCCCAGCACCTTGAGAGGCCGAGGCAGGCAGATCACCTGAGGTCAGGAGTTCAAGACCAGCCTGGCCAACATGGTGAAACCCCGTCTCTACTAAAAATACAAAAAATTAGCTTGACATGGTGGTGGGCGCCTGTAATCCCAGCTACTTGGGAGGCTGAGGCAGGAGAATCGCTTGAACCCGGGAGGCAGAGGCTGCAGTGAGCTGAGATCACGCCATTGCACTCCAGGCTGGGCAACAGGAGCGAAACTCTGTCTCGAAAAAAAAAAGGAAAAAATACACTAAATTTTTAAAAGTAAAATTCTCACAAGAATCTCTCAGATGCTAAGTTTTATGTGGGGAGAGACTGGCAACGAAGAGCTGTTGAAAGGAGCGAATACTCACAGCCGAAGCTCTTCAAACGACTTCACCGAGTACAGAGGGGAGTTTGGATCCCGTTGCAGGACTTCCACTTGGTTTGTGTTATCAACAAGGTTGCTTCTGATCAGCTTGTTGAGTAAGGACTGGGCAGCTCTGTCCTCTGTCAGGAAGAAACCAGTAGATCTTCATACTCATCTGGCAAACCCCAGGCTTATGAAGCCACTCTTTCTCCCTCTCCACACTAGCACCTGGGCAGTCAAGCACGGCTGGAGAAAAACCATCACACTGATAGGTCTCTATTTATTTATTTTAGAGATGGGGTCTTGCTGTCACCCAGGCTGGAGTGCAGTGGAGCAATCAGAGCTCACTGTAGTCTAGAATTCCTGGGCTCTGGCAATCGTCCCACCTCAGCCTCCCAAGTAGCTGGGAGTACAGGTGTGTGCTACCACACCCAGCTCATTTTGAAATCTTTTGTAGAGATGGGGTCTCAGTATGTTGCCCAGGCTGGTCTTGAACTCCTGGCCCAAAGGAATCCTCCCACCTCGGCCTCCCAAAGTGCTGGGATTACAGGTGTGAGCTACCGCTTTCGGACTTGTTTTGTTCTCCTCCTCTCACTGACTATTCCTTCTCTGATTCCTCTCATCTCCTGGATCTTGTAGCTTGGAGTGCCCCTGGCTCCAGGAAGGCAAGCCCTGGGTCATACCGTCTCTTGCCAAGGGCATCCAAAAGTAGTTACCTTTCTCCTCTTCATCTGTTTTCTCGGCAGTGGTACTGGTTTTGATAATACCTACACAAGAAAACAATTGTCATAATTAGAAAGGCAAATATGAGAACCACCAAAAATGTGGGACAATATAAATAAATACACTGAAATTTATTTTATTTTTTTATTTTTCAGACGGAGTTTTCCTCTTGTAGCCCAAGGCTGGAGTGCAATGGCGCAACCTTGGCTCACTGCAACCTCCACCTCCTGGGTTCAAGCAATTCTCCCGCCTCAGCCGCCTGAGTAGCTGGGATTAGGCACGCACCACCATGCCTGGCTAATTTATGTAATTTTAGTAGAGACGGGGTTTCACCACGTTGGCCAGGATGGTCTTGAACTCCTGACCTCGATCAAGTGATCCGCCCACCTTGGCCTCCCAAAGTGCTGGGATTACAGGCGTGAGCCACAGCGTCCAGCCTGAAAAGTTATTTTAAGTAATCAAAATATAAATAGTTGGCATTTCTTTATGTTTAGTGAATTTTTATTTCTAGAAATTTTTTTTTTTTTGAGACAGGGTCTCCCTCTGTTGCCCAGGCTAAGGTGCAGTGGTGCAATCATAGCTCACTACAACCTCAACCTCCTGAGCTGAAGTGATCCTCCCACCCCAGGCTCCCACTTAGCTGGGACTACAGGTGCATGCCACCACATCCTCCTGCCTTAACCTCCTGAGTAGCTAGCACTACAGGCATGCACCACTATTCCCAGCTAATTTAAAACAAAAATATTTTCGTAGAGATGGAGTCTTGCCATGTTGCCCAGCCTGTTCTCAAATTCCTGGCCTCAAGTAATCCTCCTGCCTTGGCCTCCCAAAGCACTAGGATTACTGGCATGAACTACTATACCTGGTGAAAAATTTTAAATTTCTAGAAATTTTGACTAATTTCAGACAGATCAGAATATGTTACCTCTTACTAGCCCTACTTTAAAATACAGCCTTATTAGCAAACATAGTCTACCATTTTTTACCTATCAGATTGGCAAATTCTAAAAGTTTGACTATTAATTCTGTGATGAGATTGTAGGGAAACACTCTCATTCTTGCTGATGGAAATATTAATTGGTGGCTGGGCACAGCGGCTCATGCCTGTAATTCCAGCACTTTGGGAGGCTGAGGCGGGTGGATCACCTGAGGTCGGGAGTTTGAGACCAGCCTGACCAACATGGAGAAAACCTGTCTCTACTAAAAAATACAAAATTAGCTGGGTGTGGTGGCGCATGCCTGTAATCCCAGCTATTCGGGAAGGCTGAGGCAGGAGAATCGCTTGAACCTGGGAGGCGGAGGTTGCAGTGAGCTGAGATTACGCCATTGCACTCCAGCCTGGGCAACAAGAGCAAAGCTCCGTCTCAAAAAAAGAAAAAAAAAAACCCCAGAAATATTAATTGGTATAATACCTAAGGAAAAGACTTTGAAAATACTGACAAAAATTGCAAATGTCAGCCTGGGCAACATAGCAAGACCTAGTCTCTACTAAAAATTTAAAAAATTAGCCTATAATCCCAGCTATTCAGGAGGCTGAGGCAGGAGAACAGCTTGAGCCCAGGAGTTTGAGCCACTGCACTGCAGCCTGGGTGACAGAGCAAGAGCCTGTGTTTTTTTTTTTTTTTTTTGAGACAGAGTCTCACTCTGTTGCCCAGGATGAAGTGCAGTGGCACGATCTCGGCTCACTGCAACCTTTGCCCCCCAGGTTCAAGTGATTCCTCTGCCTCAGCCTCCCGAGTAGCTGGGACTACAGGCATGCACCACCATGCCCGGGCAATTTTTGTATTTTTAGTAGAGACAGGGTTTCACCATATTGGCCAGGCTGGTCTCAAACTCCCGACCTCAGGTGATCCACCCGCCTCAGCCTCCCAAAGTGCTGGAATTACAAGCATGAGCCGCTGTGCCCGGCCACCAATTAATATTTCCATCAGCAAGAATGAGAGTGTTTCCCTACAATCTCATCACAGAATTAATAGTCAAACTTTTAGAATTTGCCAATCTGATAGGGCTGACCTCATGATCTGCCCGCCTCGGCCTCCCAAAGTGCTGGGATTACAGGCATGAGCCACTGTGTCCAACCTACAAGATCACGTCTTAAAAAAAATTTTAAAAAAAGGCCAGGCGTGGTGGCTCGTGCCTGTAATCCTAGCACTTTGCGAGGCCAAGCGAGCGGATTGCCTGAGCTCAGAAGTTCAAGAGCAGTCTGGGTAATACGGTGAAACCCTGTCTCTACTAAATACAAAAAATTAGCTGGGCATGCAAGGCAGGCACCTGTAATCCCAGCTACTCGGGATGCAGAGACAGAAGAATTGCTTGAACCTGGCAGGCAGAGGTGGCAGTGAGCCCCCACTGTACTCCAGCCTGGGCAACAGAGAATCCATCTCAAAGAAAAAAAAAAAGAAAGAAAGAAAAAATCGCAAATGCATATACCTTTGACCTAGCAAATCCATTTTTGGGGAATTTATCCTACAGACACTTGCATACATGTAAAAAGAGCTAAGTTCATGGTTATTTCATGAAGCATTATTTATAATAGCAAAAGAATGGGACCACCCAAACATCTATGATTGCTTTAAAAATCATGGTATATCAGCCAGATGCGGTGGCTCAAGCCTGTAATCCCAGCACTTTGGGAGGCTGAGGTGGGCGGATCACCTGAGGTCAGGAGTTCGAGACCAGCCTGACCAAGATGGAGAAACCCCATCTCTACTAAAAAAACACAAAATTAGCCAGGCGTGGTGGCACATGCCTATAATCCCAGCTACTTGGAAGGCTGAAGCAGGAGAATCGCTTGAACCCCGGAGGTGGAGGTTGCGGTGAGCCGAGATCACATCATTGCACTCCAGCCTGGGCAACGAGTGAAACTTCATCTCAAAAAAAAAAAAAAAAAAAAATCGTGGTAGATCGACACAATGCAGTATCACATAATTATAAAACACAAGGAAGGGCCAGGCACAGTGGCTCACGCCTGTAATCCCAGCACTTTGGGAGGCCGAGGCGGGCAGATCATCAGGTCAGGAGTTCAAGACCAACCTGGCCAACATGGTGAAACCCCGTCTCCACTAAAAATACAAAAATTAGCTGGGCATGATGGCGGACACCTGTAATCCCAGCTATTCAGGAAGCCGAGGCAGGAGAATCGCTTGAACCCGGGAGGCGGAGGTTGGAGTGAGCCAAGATTGCACCACTGCACTCCAGCCTGGGTGACAGAGAAAGACTCTGCCTCAAAAAAAAAAAAAAAAAAAGACATGGATGAAACTGCATGTATTGATATGGAAAGTTTGCCAAGGGATACTGTTGAGTGAAAAAGTAAGTATACTGTATATATCACGCCACGTTTTGGTTGAGAGAGAGAATATGAGAATCTACACTTATATTTGCTTTGCATAAAGTCTTTGGAAGAATATTAAAAATCCATGAACAGTGGCTACTTATGGGATAGGATGGTGTTATGAGCTGAATTGTGTGTGGCCCGCTGACCTCAAACTCATATATTCAAGTCCTAACCAGTACCTCAGAATGTGACCTTATTTTGAAATAGGGTTGCTACAGCTGTAGTTAAGATGAGGTCACTAGGGTGGGCCCTAATCCTTGTACTTTATTATACTTTCTGAGTTTTGAACCCAGATTCACTTTTCAAAAAGTTAAAAAATTTACCTCATGCAGGATCTGGATTTTATTTAAAAAAATAAAATAAAATTGGCCGGGCGTGGTGGCTCACACCTGTAATCCCAGCACTTTGGGAGGCCAAGCGGGGTGGATCACGAGGTCAGGACATCGAGACCATCCTGGCTAACACGGTGAAACCCTATCTCTACTAAAAATACAAAAAAAAAATTAGCTGGGCATGGTGGCGGGCGCCTGTAGTCCCAGCTACTTGGGAGGCTGAGGCACAAGAATGGCGTGAACCTGGGAGGCGGAGCTTGCAGTAAGCCGAGATCACACCACTGCACTCCGGCCTGCGTGGCAGAGTGAGACTGTCTCAAAAAAAAATAAAAATAAATAAATAAATAATAAAATTAGGCCAAGTGCAGTGACTCATGCCTGTAATCCCAGCACTGTGGGAGGCTGAGGCAGGCAGATCGCTTGAGCTCAGGAGGTCAAGACCAGCCTGGGCAATATGACAAAGCCCCGCCTCTACTAAAAATATAAAAAATTAGCCAGGTGTGGTGGTGGATGCCTGTAGTCTCAGCTACCTGGGAGGCTGAGGTGGGAGGATCTCTTGAGCCTGGGTGGCAGAGGTTGCAGTGAGCCAAGATCACGCCACTCCACTCTAGCCTGCACGACAGAGTGAGACCCTGTCTCAAATAAAATTTTAAAAATCTAATATAAAAAATAAAAAATTTAGGCCGGGCACAGTGGCTCACACCTGTAATCCCAGCACTTTGGGAGGCTGAGGTGGGTGGATCACGAGGACAGGAGATCAAGACCATCCTGGCTAACACGGCGAAACCCTATCTCTACTAAAAATACAAAAAAAAAAAAACTAGCGCGTGGTGGCAAGCGCCTGTAGTCCCAGCTACTCGGGAGGCTGAGGCAGGAGAATGGTTATGAACCCAGGAGGCAGAGCTTGCAGTGAGCCAAGATTGTGCCACTGCACTCCAGCCTGGGCGACAGAGCGAGACTCCGTCTCAAAATAAATAAATAAATAAATAAATAAATAAATAAATAAATAAATAATTTGCCAAAATATTATCAAATGAACAGTAGCAGTACAATCCAATAGAGAGACTCTTAATTTTAAGAAGTCAAAGGATAAAATGTGGAAAATCGACATATCCCTTCAGTAACAAAATCTAATTCACTGGCTTGTAAACAGCTGAAGTTTACACGAAATGACAGCTCTTTGTACAATGCAGCTATGAGTGCAAAGCAGCGGCCCACATGGAACTCTTTTCTAGCTTGTAGTTACTAGTGACTCACCATTGGTATCTGCTTTGACTTTCTCTTCCTTGATCTGCAAATTGGTCATCTGAATAGAAATAAAAGAAAACAGAGTTAAGCAAAGGACCCAATAAAAGGAAGGTCCCTAAGAAAAGAAAAACTTTCTAGTAAAAGTCTAGTGTGAAACTTTCAGCACCAGTATTCAGGGAGTCGGTTTGTTCCCTCAAAGTAGAGTTGCTGAAAGTCTGTGTGAAACCATCATTTCAAATATCTTCAACAGCCTTAAAACAAGGGGAGGGGTGGACTAAATATAATGGTTGGGGGGAAAGTTTCAGAAAACCTCAACCTCTGCTCATCTCCCAACTCAAGTTCTTTCTATTTATTTATTTTCTGAGACAAGGTCTCACTCTGTCACCTAGGCTGGAGTACAGCAGCACGATCATGGCTCACTGCGGCCTCAACCTCCTGGGTTCTAGCGATCCTCCCACCTCAGCCTCCCTAGTAGCTGGGAACACAGGTGTGGACCACCATGCCTACTTGAACTCAAACTCGAACTCCTGGGCTCAAGCAATCCTCCCACCTTGGCCTCCCAAAGCACTGGGATTACAGGTGTGAGTCACTGCACCCAGCCTTCTGTCACTTTCATTGGTTATCTCTACACTAGAGAGCAGAACCACATGATAACCTAAGACCATGAATCATTTATTAAGTGAAGGTACACAAGTCTACATGGTGAAAAAAAAGGTCTTCTCCAACTATTAGGAAGCCTTTATTTATACCAGCCTTCTGATAAGCTGGATGCTTAGAACCAGATACCAAGTATGTTTAGGCCTATATTTGTGATATTCATGTCACAGCTAGGTTAGGATCACAGATTTCACAAGGTTTGAAACCAATTCTCAGTAACTCTTTCAGAGAAGATCTGATGCTAAACGCTAGATTTTAAACTCCAGAGTGCAAGGACCATGCCCTTGATAATGCTTTGTAATTTCTTTGTGGAAACTGCCAGTTTTATACCTCTGACCTGCTCCTTCTCCTGAACTCCAGTGCTGTATTTCCAAATGTCTGATGGCTACCGGGCAGAAGAGAACACAGCAGGCCTGACCGCTCTCCTTAGGAAAGCCTATTTGCAAGGCTGGCCCTTGGCTGTCACCTGCGAACTTGGACTTTGGGAAGGTTCCCATCATTCCTAGAACTGATAAGAGGGGGTCAGTCTGCCTCAACTCTTTTTAAAAACAGTTGCATGTAATTTATGCTAACCACCTGCATTCCTTCTGGAAGTCTGGAATTCTGGTACATGCTAGGCACAGGGTGACTATATGACAGCCCCCCAATAAAAGCCTCAAGTAGAGTCTCTAACAAGCTTCCCTGACACCACTTCATATGTGCTGTTACAATTTGCTACCGGAAGAATGAAGCACACTCTGTGGACTCCATTGGGAGATAACTTGGAAGTTTGCCTGGTTTCCTCTGGACTTAGCCCATGAGCCTTTTTCCTCCACTAATTTTGCTTTGTATCTTTTCACTATAATAAATCATAGTTGTGAGTACAACTACATACTGAGCCTGTGAGTTCTCCTAACAAATCGTCAAACCTGGCATCTCTTGGGGACTCCCACAACAGGTACTTACCAAGATGTTTCCTTATTTTAAATTCAGAACAGCCAAACCTGAACTCACCATTCCCTTTTTTCTTTTTTTGAAACAGGGTCTCACCGTCACCCATGCTGGAGTGCAGTGGTGTGATCACAGCTCACTGCAGCCTCAACCTCCCTAGGCTCAGGTGATCCTCCCACCTCAGCATCCTGAGTAACTGGGACTACAGGAGTGTACCACCACCCCGCCCAGCTAATTTTTTTTGTATTTTTGTAGAAATGGGGTTTCGCCATGTTGCCCACACTGGTCTTGAACTCCTGGGTTCAACTGATCTGCCTGTCTCAGTTTCCCAAAGTGCTAGGATTACAGGTGTGAGCCACTGTGCCCAGCCTTCACCTCTTTTTTTTTTTTTTTTTTTTTTTGAGACAGAGTCTCACTCAGTAGCCCAGGCTGGAGTGCAGTGGCGTAATTTTGGCTCACTGCAACCTCCACCTCCCAGGTTCAAGCAATTCTCATGCCTCAGCCTCCTGAGTAGCTGGTATTAACAGGGGACGACTACCACGCCTGGCTAACTTTTGTATTTTTAGTAGAGACAGGGTTTCACTATGTTGGCCAGGCTGGTATCAAACTCTTGACCTCGAGTGATCTGCCCGCCTCGGCCTCCCAAAGTGCTGGGATCACAGGTGGGTGCCATCATGCCCGGCTGCCTTCACCATTCTATCAAATCTGCCCTTCCTCCCACTTTCCTATTCCTGTTATTGGGACGTTAGTAGTACCAATAGGATCCAGGTTGAAAACAGAAACCTTTGGCTTTATCTCCCTTCTCTCCTTTATTATGTTAGCAAGTCCTACCCATTCTACCTTCATATCTTATACCCATCCCTTAATTTTCACTTCCACTGCCCAACATAGGCCCTCTATCTCGGGGCTATCAGAATAACTTCTACACTGATATTTCTATTAGCCATCACTTCTAACATATTCTGTTCTCTGTAGTTCAATAAATCCTTGCCAGCCTTGTCTAATTCTGTCAATAGCCCTCTCAAAAATCCCCATACCGGCTGGGCGCGGTGACTCACGGCTGTAATCCCAGCACTTTGGGAGGCCGAGGTGGGCGGATCACTTGAGGTCGGGAGTTCGAGACCAGCCTGACCAACATGGAGAAACCCCGTCTCTACAAAAAATACAAAATTAGCCGGGCGTGGTGGCGCATGCCTGTAATCCCAGCTACTCGGGAGACTGAGGCAGGAGAATCGCTTGAACCCGGGAGGCGGAGGTTGCGGTGAGCCGAGATGGCGCCATTGCACTCCAGCCTGGGCAACAAGAGCAAAACTCTGCCTCAAAAGAGAAACAACTACAACAAAAAAAAAGACAGTCCATTATCACTAAACAAACCTAAAGTTTAGGTCTTAGATATAAGAACAGAAAGCCACAGTGTATGCTGTAATTACATTCCAGTTGAATGAATATTCATTACTGAAAGAACAAGTACATGAAACCGTTACTTTACACATCAATGAAACAATTTGTAGTGCCTCCTTCCAACATCTGCAGTAGATTGAGGTATTAAATCCAAAAGTCAATCTGTTATTCTGCAAAGAGCTACAAACTACCAACCACGTTAAGCATGGATCTAAGAAATGTTAAATACAGAGTAGTACAGAAACATGCGAAGAACAGTCGCGTAATGAAAAAGAGAATCAGAATCTAAACTTGGCTTTCCTTATAATCGTCACCGAGGAGGTCAATAGAGGAATGACAGCATGCATAGTGGGGCGGATTTACCAAAGGATGAAGTCCTTAACCAGCCCAGATGGAGATAAAAAGCTCGACATTGGTCTCTTTAGCTCTAAGAGCAAATCAAGGGCAAGTGACTGCCCTAGCAAACTGCAGGAGCGCGTTGCCCAGGGGCCTCCCCAACCCGGGGAGCTCCCTGTGCTTTTGGGAGGTTTCGCTTGGGCCCCTGCTACGTCCTCCTCGCCAGGAGCTGAGCTACTGACCGACTTGACAGCCGCTTCCTGCTCGTCCACCGCCAGGGCCCACGAGTCGGTGGCCATAGTCCCGGACAAGGGAGACCCACTTGTGAAAATATGCGCTGCACCACGTCGCAACGCGGGCCCTAACCTCGCCACCGGCGCGAGAATGCACCTCACGCGGACCGGAAGCGGCGGTGAGCACAGGTGACGTCAGTTCCCACCCAGCGTGCGACATCATCATTCTGCGCGGCGCCAGGTCTCTCCTCGGGCCTCGCCTTTCCCTTCGTGCGCAAACCTCGCGCTTTTTGCTCACCCTTCCAGGACGCGGCCTCCTCGCTTCTTAAAATGTCTGAGCTCTACGAAGTGGAACTGTTAGCCCTCCGTTTATTGCCTTACTTCACACTGAAATAAGCCAACGTTTATTTTATTTTATTTATTTTATTATTTATTTTATTATTTTTTTTCGAGACGGAGTCTCGCTCTGTCCCAGGCTGGAGTGCCGTGGCGGGATCTCGACTCACTGCAACCTCCGCCTCCGTGTTCAAGCTATTCTACCTCAGCCTCCCGAGTAGCTGGGATTACAGGTGCCCGCCACCACGCCCGGCTAATTTTTGTATTTTTAGTAGAGATGGGGTTTCACCATGTTGGCCAGGCTGATCTCGAACTGCTGACCTTGTGATCCTCCCGCCTCAGCCTCCCAAAGTGTTGGGATTACAGGCGTGAGCCACCGCGCCCGGCCCCCAACGTTTCTTTTTAAGCCTGTCATATCTCACATTAAATGTGTAAGTCTCTGAACTGTAGGGCTTTGAACAAAGGAAAGTTCCATGAGAATACTATATGATGCCAATTTCTACTGTTAGGAACGCGATAACAGGTAAGAAAACAAAAACCAAAACGCAACAGAAGACCCGTAAACCCCATAATTCCACCATCCAATAAACACAACACACAATGCGTTTTTTCGTTTCTTTTTTGAGTCAGGGTCTCATTGTGTCGCCCAGGCTGGAATGCAGTGGTGTGATCTCGGCTCACTGCACCCTTGACCTCCCACCTCAGCCTCCCAGGTAGCTGGGCCCACAGGCCCGCACCACCACTCCTGGCTAGTTTTTAAACTTTTTGCAGAGACGGAAGTCTTCATTATATTGCTCAGGCTGCTTTTGATCTCCTGCTAACTCCAGAGATCCTCCTGCCTTGGCCTCTCAAAGTGTTGGGATTACAGGCATGAGCCACCACACCTGGCCATTATGTTGAAGGACCACCAAATACATAATGTATAATCTATTTATATGAGATTCAAGAATAGGACAAATAAAATCTATGCTGATAAAAACTAACAGAGCTTACCTGTGGAGAAGGATGTTTGGTCCAGACACAAGAGAACTTCCTGGGTGATAGAATTATTCTGTATCTTGATTGGGACCTGGTTACATAGATGTGTAAATTTGTTAAGTCATGCTACTTTGTATTTCTAAACTCATGGAACCATTATTTACAGATATCACCCAGGCTGGAGTGCAGTGGCCGGGTCTTGGCTCACTGCAACCTCTGCTTCCTGGATTCAAGCGGTTCTCCTGCCTCAGCCTCCCAAGTAGCTGGGATTACAGGCACACGCCACCACGCCCAGATAATGTTTGTATTTTTAGTAGAGATGGAGTTTCACCACGTTGGCTAGGCTGGCCTTGAACTCCTGAGCTCAAGGATCTGCCTGCCTGGGCCGCCCAAAGTGCTGGGATTACAGGTGTGAGCCACAGTGCTGACCTGCTTTTTCTTTTTTATAAGCAGTTCCCAAGGAAGAATAACTGTTTTTGTTTGTTTTTTGTGACAGGGTCTTGCTCTGTCACCTAGGCTGGAATGCAGTGGCACGTTCACAGCTCACTGCAGCCTTGATCTCCCAGACTCAAGTGATCCTCGCACCTCAGCTCCCCAGCAGCTGGGAATATAGCACTTCGCCACCACCCCTGGCTAATTTTTGTGTGAGAACTTGTGCATTTAAAATATCATGGTATATAAATTATACCTTTCAATAATGTTGATTAAAAATCAAAAAAAGGGCCGGGGGCGGTGGCTCACGCCTATAACCCTAGCACTTTGGGAGGCCAAGGCTGGTGGATCACCTGAGGTCAGGAGTTCGAGACCAGCCTGGCCAACATGGCGAAACCTCACCTCTACTAAAAATACAAAAATTAGGGCCGGGCGCAGTGGCTCATGCCTATAATCCCAGCACTTTGGGAGGCCAAGGCAGGTGGATCACCTGAGGTCAGGAGATCGAGACCAGCCTGGCTAACACAGTGAAACCCTGTCTCTACTAAAAATACAAAAACAAAATTAGCTGGGCGTGGTGGCGGGTGCCTATCGTCCCAGCTACTCGGGAGGCTGAGGCAGGAGAATGGTGTGAACCCAGGAGGCAGAGCTTGCAGTGAGCTGAGATCGCGCCACTGCACTCCAGCCTGGGCAACAGAGGGAGACCCGGTCTCAAAAAAAAAAAAAAAAAAAATTAGCCAGGTGTGGTGGGGTGCGCCTGTAATCCCAGCTACTCGGGAGAGGCTGAGGCAGGAGAATCGCTTGAACTCGGTAGGCGGAGGTTGCGGGAGCCAAGATTGCCCCACTGCACTCCAGCCTGGGTGACAGAGCAAGACTCTGTCTCAAAAAATAATAATAAAAAGGAATGAAATACATGCAATAACATGGATGAGAGATTTGACATCTCATCGCGTCTCGCTCTCTTGGCCAAGATCAAGTGGAGAGATTTGACATCTCATAGACATTATATTGCATGAAAGAACCCAGGTGCAAAAAGAGTACATATTGCATGATTCCATTCATATAAGCCCAAAACAGGTATATCTAATCTATAGAGATAGAAATCAGAACAGTGGTTGCCTGGGGATGAGATAGAGTGAGTAGGATTGACTGGGAAGGGGTACAAGGGAACTTCAGGGATGATGAAAATGCTCTGTATCTTTTTTTTTTTTTTTTTTTTTGAGACGGAGTCTTGCTCTATTTCCAAGGCTGGAGTGCAGTGGCGCAATCTCAGCTCATTGCAGCCTCCACCTCCCAAGTTCAAGCGATTCTCCTGTCTCAGCCTCCTGAGTAGCTGGGACTATAGGCGCCCGCTACCAGGCCTGGCTAATTTTTTGCATTTTTAGTAGACACAGGGTTTCACCACATTGGCCACATTGGTCTCAAACTCCTGACCTCAAGTGATCCGCCTGCCTCGGCCTCCCAAAGTGCTGGGATTACAGGCATGAGCCACCACACCAGCCAAAAATGCTCTATATCTTGATTGAAGCAGTGATTATACGTGTATACAATTATCAAAACTCATGAAATTTTATACCTACTATCTTTGCGTTGTACTCTATGTAAACTATAGGTAATAGACAAAGCCATGTAATGAAAAAAATCCAACTTAAAAAATACAAGTAGTAATAAATTTATTTGTACCATTAAAAAGGAGGGTGTGAGGATTTTGTTGTTGTTGTTGGGGGAGACAGGGTCTTGCTCTGTCACTCAAGCTGGAGTGCAGTGGCACAAACAGCTCACTGCAGCCTCAAATTCCCAGGCTCAAGCCATTCTCCCACCTTGGCCTCCCAAAGTGCTGGGATTACAGGTGTGAGCCACTGAGCCAGGCCCACTTCTGTTTTTTTTTTGTTGTTGTTGTTACAGAGACAGGGCCTTGCCCTGTCACCCAGGCTGGAGTACAATGATGTGATCATAGCTTACTGTAACTTCAAACTCCTGGCCTCAAGTGATCCTCCTGCCTTGGCCTCCCAAAAGCACTGGGATTATAGGTGTGAGCCACCACACCTGGTTCTTAACACACGTTAACAGGGCAGCTTTCTCTGCAGTACCCCCCTGCTGCCAGCTAGGAATTCAGTGGTGATTAAGTTAGATATACTCACTACCCTTACTGGACTTCAAATAGAAGTGAGGACATATGTTTAACCAAGAGTCCCAAAAGCAGCATGAGGCAAATACACCCTTGTGGTTAAGAGTGTGGGCCCTGGAGCCAGACTGGGCCAAATTACTAGACCTCTCTGTGCCTGCTTCTTTATCTGTAAAATAGGAATCAACACCTTTGTTGTAAGGAGTGAATGAGAGAATCTATGTAGACCTTCAGAGGTTGCCTAAGATAATGCTGATTCAGGAAGTACAGGGCACTATGGGAGATTGTGATGAAGGAACATGCCTGGCATGGTAGCTCACACCTGTAATCCTAGCACCTTGAGAGGCCAAGGTGGGGGCGGATCACCTGAGGTCAGGAGTTCGAGACCAGCCTGGCCAACATGGTGAAACCCCCGTCTCTACTAAAAATACATAAATTAGCCGGGTATGGTGGCAGGCGCCTGTAATCCCAGCTACTCGGGAGGCTGAGGCAGGAGAATCGTTTGAACCCAGGAGGCGGAGGTTGCAGTGAGTCGAGATCATGCTGCTACACTCTAGCCTGGGCGACAGCGAGACTCAGACTCAAAAAAAAAAAAAAAAAAAAACCCTTCCCGAAGAAGTGATTGTTACCTTGGGAACAGGAAGGATTAGGAAAAATGAGATGGAAGGGAAGGACTGAGTGAAGAGGAAAGAGTTCCGTTGAGAGCCCGGGACTCGCAGCCCAGTGATGGAAGAGCAGAGGCGGAACGAGGACTTTACTCACAAAGGGCGGGGGATGCTTCTGCTCACAAGTTGTTTGGGGGCAACTTGGTGGAGCAACAAGACTCCCCCTCCAGGCTCCTCTTCCCACACAGGGTGTCCAGGTCTCCAGAGCTCTTTGCGGGAGAAGGACTTAAGGGGACAAGACTGGCCACAGATGATTTGCCTCTGGGTGGAGGAGGGGAGTGTCCTCTGCAGCATCAGAGGACTCTATTTTTAGCCGCCTCTCTCTTCCCTCATGCCCATGTTAGCAGGACTCCTAGAGGTGAACACTTTTCACCTCACCCTTAAGTCCTGGCAGTTTCTTTGAATTTTTGTTTCTGCTTTAGAGTGCAGTGGGGGAGAAAATACCGTCCTCAAGATCTGAGAAACTGGAGAGGAAAAGTCACAGGACAACCAACTTCTCTATGACATAGCCCAGCATCTGAGGAAAGTCCTGCAATAGTGGAGGTGGAGCAGAGGGTATGAGCTGGGAAGCAAATGGAGCAGGTGAGTTAAGTAGGTGCCTGATCTGGAGGGCCTCACATGCCACTTAGGAAAAATGTAAATGAGTTGGGAGTCTTCAGCAGGAGTGGGGTAATCACACTCAAAGGTGGCAGAGATCTTACTGGCTGCTGTGAGACAAAGGAACTGCAGGAAAACCTCTGGGGGCATACGCACCTGCTAGGAAGCTAGTGTAGTAGACCAGATGACCACGGCAGTGCAGACCAGGGTGAATTCAGGAAGTATTAGATTGAGGCTACACAGGGTGGCTGACACGTGTAATCCCGGCACTTTGGGAGGCCAAGGCAGAAAGATCACTTGAGGCCAGGAGTTTGAGACCACCCTGGGCAACATAGTGAGACCCCTGTCTATAAAAAACTATAAAATTAAAAAACAAACTCCAAAGTATTAAATTTTTTTTTCAGACAGAGTCTTGCTCTGTCGCCCAGGCTGGAGTGCAGTGGTGCGATCTTGGCTCACTGCAACCTCCACCTCCCGGGTTCAAGCAATTCTTGTGCCTCAGCCCCCCGAGTAGCTGGGATTACAGGCATGCGCCATCATGCCCAGCTAATTTTTGTATTTTTCATAGAGATGGGGTTTCACTATGTTGGCCAGGCTGGTCTTGAGCCAGACTTCAGGTGATCCACCCGCCTTGGCCTTCCAAAGTGCTGGGATTATAGGCATGAGCCACTGCGCCCAGCCAAAATTATTAGATTGAGCCATATAAAAGTGCTGCTGCTTAGGCCAAAAATTGCCAAACTGTGGCAATTTCATTTGGTTTTACCAAATAGATGGTAGAATTATAGGCATGAAGGATGAAGGCTGGCCACAGATACTTCATAGCTTCCCCCACCAGGAGATGAGGTTTATTTCCCCACCAGTGGGATCTGGGCTGGCCCTGTAGTTAGCCTTCACCCAAAAATGTGAGAAAAGTGGCACTGGGAGAGTTCTGACCCCAGGCCTCAACAGACCTTGCAGCTTCTGCTCTTTCCTCTTAGAAAGAGCCCAGAGACCAGATCACAAGGTCAGGAGTTCAAGACCACCCTGACCAACATGATGAAACCCCGTCTCTACTAAAAATACAAAAAATAAAATAAAATAGCTGGGCATGGTGGTGGGCACCTGTAATCCCAGCTACTAGGGAGGCTGAGGCAGGAGAAACACTTGAACTGGGGAGGCGGAGGTTGCAGTGAGCCGAGATCGCGCCACTGCACTCCAGCCTGGGCGACAGAGCGAGACTCCGTCTGGAAAAAAAAAGAGAGAAGGAGCCCAGAGACCATCCACCATCCTGTGAAGACGAAAGTCACGTGGAGAGGCCTAGCAGCCATAGCTGAGTCCAGATACTAGCTGGGGGAAGACAGCTGCTTCAGCCAGCCTGGGAGAGACCAGCAGAGCTTTCCAGACAACTCAGAATTGTGAGAAAGGCTGTTGTCTTAAGCCATTGTTTTGGGGCAATTTGCAACACAGCAGTGGATAACTGATATAAAAGGACAGCAGGGCAGGGCAGGAAGATTCATGATGAACCCCAGGCTTCTGGCTTGAGTAACAGGCTATTGCAGTACCATCTTGTGAGGGGAAGTTAGAGGAAAAGCTGAGAGCAGAGCTTGGGTTTTTTGAGTGCTTGGTAGTGGCATATGTTCAATGTTGGACATGAGGACGGGACTCATAGAAGACACCCCAAGTGCAAGTGCCATGTGTGCTTTCGTTTTCATGACGCTGGAGCTCAAGGATCAGGTCTTGGTATAGATTTGGGTGTCACCAGCAGACAAATAAAGCCATAGGAATGAACAGTGTTGCCTCTGGCAGGGAAAGAGAACCCAGAATAGAGCCATGAGGAACAGGCCCATTTAGGAGGTGAATAAAGGAGAGGTCTGCCAAGAAGACTGAAGTGGTAGAGAGAAGACCAGGAAGCAAAGTGTGCGTCACTTTCCTCCCCAGAAGAGTGGCCAGAGAAAGAGACTGTTGATAGAGTTAAATGCTGCTGAGAAGGCAAATATAACAGGGATTAAAATGTAGCTTTTAAGCTGAGTGTGGTTGCATGCATCTGTAGCCACAGCTACTAGGGAGGCTGAGGCAGGAGGATCACTTGAGCTTGGAGTTCAAGGCTGCAGTAAGCTGTGACTATGCCACTGCACTCCAGCCTGGGCAACAAAGTGAGACCCCCCCCATCTAAAAAAAAAGTGGTTTTCAGATTTCGGACCTGTAAGTCATCAGTGTCTTTCATGAAGGCTATTTCAGGGGAGTGATGGAGCAAAAGTCAAGACTGCAGAGGGATGAGGAATGAGACTCTGCATACAAGCAACCTTACAAGACTTTCTGCCATTAGGAGACAGGCTGAAAGATGAGGAATAGAGGGTTGAATTGTAAAGAGCGGTCAAGTATGAACATGTTAAAATATCAATGAGAAAGAGCTGATGGGGTGGGAGAGGTAGCAAATATAAGGGGATAGTTGACAGAGCAAGTTCTTAAAAGCCAGGAGAGGGAAGTTGGTGGATTGGCAGAAAAATGTACATATTTACATATATATATATATATATATATATATATATATATTTTTTTTTTTTTTTTAAGGCAGGGTCTCATTTTGTTACCCAAGCTGGAGTGCAATGGTGCAGTCATGGCTTACTGCAGCCTCAAACTCCTGGGATCAAGTGATCCTCCTGCCTCAGCCTCCAAAGTAGCTGGGACTACAGGCATGAGCCACCATGCCTGGCTAATTTTTAATTTTTTTTTGTAAAGATGAGGTCTCCCTGTGTCGCCCAGGCTGGTGTCAGACTCCTGGGCTCAAGGGATCCTCCTGCCTTGGCCTCCCGAGGTTGCTGAGATTAGGTGTGAGTAATTTCACTCAGCTGAGAAATTTAGATAACAGGGATACATGTCTCATTGGAACAGGAGGGAGAGGGAAGGACCGGTGCTCATGGAGGAAGTTCTGGTGGCAGAAGGTTGAGGGAGTTTCTGTATGTTAGCCATTTTCTTAGAGTAAGGAGCTTATTTGCTGACACCTGAGGGGGATGATAGGGTTGGAATTATGAGGTGAGTGAAAGTCTTGAAATAGTCAGTGAAGTGTGGGGGAGTTAAGCAGAACGGTCCATGAGACTAGAGGTACTGCACCTTTTTCTGAAGTTGTCCCTTCCATTGATGTTAAATATAAAGTCAGAGTTTTTCGAAGGTAGGGAAAGTTAAAAAAAAATCAAATGAATAAAATATTTAATTTGTTCCTCTGGCATAATCCTACTTGCTATAGAAATTAACAAACCTGGCCAGGCATGGTGGCTCACACTTGTAATCCCAGCACTTTGGGAGGCCGAGGTGAGTTGCTCGCTTGAGGCCAGGAGTTCGAGACCGGTCTGGCCAACATGGTGAAACCCCGTCCCTACTAAAAATACAAAAATTAGCCGTGTATGGTGGCTCACGCCTATACACGGCAGGCGGATCACCTGAGGTCAGAAGTTCAAGACCTTGGCCAACATGGTGAAACCCCATCTCTACTAAAAATACAAAAATTACCCGGGCATGGTGGCACCTGTGGTCCAGTAACTCAGGAGGCTGAGGCACAAGAATTGCTTGAGCCTGGGAGGCAGAGGTTGCAGAGAGCTGAGATGGCGCCACTGCACTACAGCCTGGGCAACAGAGCAAGACTCCATCTCAACAACAAGAAAAATATAAAGTGCTTGACACCAAACTTGAGATATTTCAAGAAAACTTCAACCAGTATGACCATGAGCACCTCCACCACGCCGGTTCAGAATGACTGTAGAGCTCAGCCATGGGCAATCCCAATGCACAGAATGTTAAACTTTACAACATTAGTCTTGTTAAAACAAAAATACCCAAATACCAGCAATCAAAAACATGCTGCTGTTTCTCCTACCTTCTTTTTCAGGAGATGGGGTCTTGCTCTGTTGCCCAGGTTGGAGTGCAGTGGCATGGATCATGTCTCACTGCAGCCTCAACCCCCCAGGCTCAGGCGATCCTCCCACCTCAGTCTCCTGGGTAGCTGGGACTATAGGCATGCGTCAGCATACTTGGCTAATTTTTTTATAATTTTTTATTTTTTATAGATGGGGTCTCACTATGTTGCCCAGGCTGTTCTCAAACCCTTGGCCTCGAGCAGTCCATCTGCCCTAGCCTCTCAAAGTGCTGGGATTACAGGAGTGAGCCACTGTGCCTGGCTTAATTTTCTTTTTTAAACTTTTTAAGAAACAAGATATCGCTGTTTGCCCAGAATGATCTGGAACTCCTGGCTTCCAGTGATCCTCCTGCCTCAGCCTCCCAAGTAGCTGGGATTATAGGCGTGACACTCTGCACCCAGCTCTTTCCTTCTTATACTCATTAATGATTTCTTGGTAATATGAAAACTTCATAATTAAAGTTCAATTAACCTGAATTATTATTAATTAATCTTCATGTTAATCCTCAATTCAGGTTAATCTTCAATTAAAAGAATATATCAACAATTAGTTCTTATGCATACAGCCAATGAATGACACTCAAGAAAAATAATAAAATGCATTATTTATAGATAATGAATATATCCAGAATTTTCCATTGGGCCAAACATTCCTTTTCCCAAGTTTCTCTGTTCTAGAGCAGTTTATCATTTCTTTTTTCTTTTTTTTTTTTTGAGACGGAGTCTCACTCTGTCGCCCAGGCTGGAGTGCAGTGGCGAGATCTCGGCTCACTGCAACCTCTTGCCTCCCAGGTTCAAGCAACTCTCCTGCCTCAGCCTTCCTAGTAGCTGGGATTACAGGCATGCACCACCACACCCAGCTAATTTTTGTATTTTTAGTAGAGATAGAGTTTCACCATGTTGGCCAGGCTGGTCTCAAACTCCTGACCTCAGGTGATTCGCCCGCCTTGGCATCCCAAAGTGCTGGGATTACAGGCATGAGCCACTGCACCCAGTGTTTTTTTCTCTTTTTTTTGAGTCAGAGTCTTTCTTGCTCTGTCACCCAGGCTGGAGTGCAACGGCACAATCGTAACTCACTGCAGCCTTGAACTCCTGGGCTCAGGCAATCCGCCTGCCTCAGCCTCCCCAGTAGCTGGGACTCCAGGCATGAACTACTATGCCTGGCTAATTTAAAAAAAAATTATTTTGTGGAGACAAGGTCTCACTTTGTTACCTAGGCTGGTCTTGAACTCTTGGGCTCAAGCAGTCCTCCTGCCTCAGCCTCCCAAAGTGCTGGGATTACAGGCATGAGTCAACCCACCCAGCTATCATTTCATATATAGGTACTTACTAAAATCAGTAAAAGAATCCCTAGGGACCAAAGCTCACCAAGCTCAATGCAGATTTATATCACTGTTGGCTCTAGGCTACACAAGGTCACAGACGCAGCTATGGCCCTGGGAGCTAGGCACTGGCAGGAATGAATATGGAAGGAATAAGGAAGAAATATGAGCTGTAGTAACGCTGGGGTAACATTCCAGAACCATCCACAACAGTGGGACTTACCTTTTTAAAAGACATATAATCTTTTGGGAGTCTCCCCAGGAAAATATATTTTGTTGTTGTTGTTGTTGTTTGAGACGGAGTCTCGCTCTGTTGCCCAGGCTGGAGTGCAGTGGCGCGATCTCAGCTCACTGCAAGCTCCGCCTCCCGGGTTCTGGCCATTCTCCTGCCTGAGCCTCCCAAGTAGCTGGGAATACAGGCGCCTGCCACCACGCCCGGCTAATTTTTTGTATTTTTAGTAGAGACGGGGTTTCACTGTGTTAGCCAGGCTGGTCTTGATCTCCTGACCTCAGGTGATCTGCCCGCCTCAGCCTCCCAAAGTGCTGGGATTACAGGTGTGAGTCATTGAGCCGGGCCTTTTTGTTTTGTTTTGTTTTTTGAGACAGTTTTGCTCTCGTTGCCCAGGCTGGAGTGCAACAGCGCAATCTCAGCTCACCGCAACCTCCACCTCCCAGGTTCGGCCTTCCAAAGTAACTGGGATTATAGGCATGCACCACCAAGCCCAGCTAATTTTGTATTTTTAATAGAGATAGGGTTTCTTCATGTGGGTCAGGCTGGTCTCGAACTCCCGATCTCAGGTGATCCGCCCACCTAGGCCTACCAAAGTGCTGGTATTACAGGCATGAGCCACTGCACCCAGCCAGGAAAATACATTTAAACTCAAACTACTGTATATATACTTCGTAGACTCCATGAAACCCATCCAGTGAATTCTTAGAGGTCCAAGACCCCTGATTAATAACTGTTGGCTGGGCGCGGTGGCTCACGCCTGTAATCCTGGCACTTTGGGAGGCCAAGGTGGGTGGATCACTTGAGGTCAGGAGTTCAAGACCAGCCTGGCCAACATGGTGAAACCCCCATCTCTACTAAAAATACAAAAATTAGCTGGGTGCGGTGGCGTGCACCTGTAGTCCTAGGAGGCCGAGGCAGGAGAATCGCTTGAACCTGGGAGGCAGAGGTTACAGTGAGCCGAGGTCGTGCCACGGCACTCCAGCCTGGGCAACAGAGTGAGACTCCGTTTCCAAAAAAAAAAAAAAAGAACTGTTGACCTATACTTCTACCAGATTCCCATTCCTCCTGCTGTCAAAGAGTCTGCAGCACCCCGCTTCCCACTTTCCTTCTCACACTTGGGGCTACACCAGTAGAGAGGTTGTATGTGCTTGAGAAGGTGGGAGTCTGCTCTGCCTGTGGCCTACTAAAGAGTCTATACTTCTTTAATTATTGCCCTTGTTTTTAGTATTTCAGGGTTGGTCCACAGGACTCAGGGAAGGAGAAAAAAGTATAAAAATTTCTTTTCTTATTACAAGAATTCCAAGATGTGTCAGAGTTGACCAGAAGCATAGAGAAAACTACATAGTCGAGTACCCACCAGGGGAATGTGGTAGAATTGGCAGTCTGTTGGTCTCTTTGTAATGTCAGATTAAAGAAATCACCTGGAGGCTGACATTGGCCCCTTCCCTTCCCAGGAGGCAGATCTGGCCTAAATACGGAGATGCGTACAAAGAAGACCTAGGATCACAATCGTTCTTAGCCATCAAACTCTTCTTCCAGGTCCTAGAGAAAGTGGCCACTCTATACCAAAGCCAAAGAACTGCAGAGTACTCCTCTTGGTTGGGGTTTCATATTGCTCTTGCAATTCAGTTTCCTCTCATCTTTGCTGTCATTTCGTGGGTACCAACAGCCTTGGCCAGGTGTGAGAAGTGTCCATTACTATTGTTTGCTCTGACTATCTTGCGCAAAGATGCCAAGTAAGGCTGGAGCAAAGGCCTTGGTGATACTCTTGCCTTGGACAGATAAATGGTGGTAGTGTAGCTAGTCCCTCAGTTGCACCTGTTTGTATTCCAAAGGCAGTAAACACAGATGTTCAGAAGCCCTTTATAATCAAGATGTCAAATATCTGAAATTATTCCCCAGCTCTGACAAAACTTGCCTTCTGGGTGTGGAGACAAAACAAGAATTTGTGACTACTGCTGATCACATCTAGAACTGCCTTGAGGCTGGCCATGAAGACTTGAAACCACAATTTTCACTGAGGATCTAAACCTCAGATCACATTTGTTTGGGGCTACTGTGGGGTAAGGGGATATTAAGGATGTAAAAGGGATGTTGCAAATGCTCATGAGACCAGGTTTTGTGGCACGCTAGGGCCACCACTAATTCTCCATGATGACTTCTCCACAGGACTTGCTTAAGCACAGGCACAGGACCCACCAATAATCAGATGTGCACTCTACACAGACTGCACCCACCGAGAACAGGTCACAGTCCTGTGACACAAACCCATATACACAACCGAGAGGTTGGCATTTTGGTCCATGCTTATTTAACAAATTCCCTTCTGCTGTGGGCACTAGGACAGGGGGCTGGCAATACTCAGATGAGCTGTCCCACCCCCAAGTCCAAAGCAGCAGCTCTCAGGCCTCCTCTGCTGCCTCATGCCATTCCAAACATGATGGCTGGGCTTACACACCTATCTTACTGGAAGCCTCCCTCTCTGTGTTCCCTTTCCACCACTATTCCATTACTTCCACAGGAGCTGGAGGCTGCCCCATCCACTCCAAGCCAGAGAACAAGCAGAGGCTGCCACAGGAGATCCTGGGCAAGTAATCAGCCACAGCATCTAGATTAGCATGAAGGAAACACTGGCCAAATTAAAAGATGAAACTTCCAAAAGGTAAATCTCTGTGTATTCATGCCTAATCTTCCAAGGTTGTGTAAATAATTTTTTTCTACCATCCCCCATCATTTGCATACATTTTTGTCAAGTCCAAACATAATTTGAAGTGAGGTAGGTAGTTTCTCTCTACTTGTGCCGTTGTCCTTGGGGTGATGTCGGGGCCTGTGCCCTGAACGCACTTGTCTCCTGTGCAGGGGCAGTGCCAGGGCTGGCATCAGTGGCTGGTGGAGCTTCTCAGTTGGCTATTTTCTCAATCTCGTCCAAATCATCTGTGTCCAATCTTTCTATCTTCTTATCTGGGGGAAAGATACACAGGTCTCTACCCTGCCCAGGAATGTGCCCCATCTTGGGCCACAGCAATCATTCATTCAGCCCCAAAGGCTCCGGGTGCCTAAGCAGGGGGCAGCAGGGCCCCTAGTCACTGACAGCAACAGTCAGAGCCCCACGCCCCGAAGCCCAGTCACAGGGGAGCTGTTCTTGGAGTCCCTGGGTCCTGAAGTCTCCAGGTGTGCTCCCTGAGAACTGCCATATGGTCAGAAAGGAGGGGAGTGTGCTAGGGACAGAGCCTCTCTTGGGGCTACAGAAGATCCTACCCCTTTCACCACCCCGCCCTACTTAGCAAAGGGCGCCAGGCACAGGACCCTCCCCGGGACTCACTAAAATGCTCCTGGATTCTGTTCAGGATGTTCATGCTGTGCTTGCTGTCCACCATGTTCACTGCCAGGCCCCTCTTGCCAAAGCGGCCCGTGCGCCCGATCCGGTGCAGGTAGGTCTCATTGTCAGGATTCCCGTCCTTGTCCACGGGAAGATCAAAGTTGATGACGACAGACACTTGTTCAACATCAATGCCTGCAGGAAGGAGAGTTGGAGGCTGAGAGGACTAAGGACAGGAGGCAAATCAGTCATGTGGTCCATCCATACAATGGAGCATGACTCAGCATTAAGGGAACACGGCACTAAGAGACGTGCATGACATTGAGTGCAGGAAGCCAGATCTGAAAGGCCGTGCAGTATGAGATTCAGATGATGCCCCAAAGCAAAGCTACAGGCATAGATACCAAACTAGCACGGGTCAGGGGGTGGGGTGCAGGGAGAGGTGATGAATGAGTCCCTGAGAGTTGGAGACAGAGAGAAGTAAGGACAGGAGACAAAAATCACTGTTGTCCACAGGTAAGTCAATGCATACCAACTTCGGGTAAAGGGAAAGAATTTGGGGGGCCGAGTGCGGTGGCTCATACCGGTAATCCCAGCACTTTGGGAGGCCGAGGCAGGCAGATCATCTGAGGTCAAGAGTTCAAGACTAGCCTGGCCAACACTGCAAAACCCTATCTGTACTGAAAATACAAAAATTAGCTGGGCTTGGTGGCAGGCGCCTGTAATCCCAGCTACTCGGGAGGCTGAGGCGGGAGAATCACTTAAACCTGAGAGGCGGAGGTTACAGTGAGCTGAGATTGTGCCACTGCACTCCAGCCTGGGCCATTGAGCAAGACTCTGTCTCAAAAAAATAAATAAATACATTTGGGACAGGCCAACTCTGGGAATTGGGTACAAGAGAGGGCACATACAGGCATACAGCAGAACCTGGAGGAAAAGAACAAAACTTTGGCAGGTGCCAACAAAATTATGAAATCAGTCAGTAAGCCTCTGGGAGACACAATGTTCTGGAGATGGGCATCCCTGGAAGAGCAGGCTCTGTTCTCTACCAGTCAGATGCCTGTACATTTCCTTCCACCAAGTCAGGACTCCTGGCTTCTGTGGGAGTTCTTATCACCTGAGGGAAATCCAAACAGTCTCTCCTAGAAAGGAATAGTGTCACCAACCCCACCCATCTCCCTGAGACCATCCGACTTCCCTGTGTACAAGGATTTCTGGCTCTAACTGGGCCTGGGACCCCAAGCCTGGCAGACCAGGTGGGACACGTCCTCTGCTCACCGCGGGCACACACGTTGGTGGTCACCAAAACCTTCTCTTTGCCCTCTCGGAAGCGCTCAATCACTGCAGCCCTCTGTTCCACCATCATCTCCCCACTCAGCAGAGCCACCTGGTGGCCTTCTTTTGAGAGCTCTGCTGCCAGCCAACTAGCTGTTTTGCGAGTCTGTAGTGAAAAGAATTGTTTTTTATGAAGAGACCTGTTAAAAACAAAAGGAAGACAACTGCTAAAAAGTGGCTTGCCACGATTAAAATACATGAAGGCCCTGCTAAATCCAGTTAGGAGGTTAGGCTTAAAATTTCTCAATGAAGCATGGTAGTACACACCTGTAGTCCAAGCTACACACTTGAGCCCAAGTGTTCGAGGCTGGCCTGCACAACATGGCAAGAACCCATCTCAAAAAAAAATTTTTCTTTCAAATAGAATTTTAGTCATATGATTTTTTTCTTTTTAGATAAGTTATGTAACTGCTGTTACTTTTGTATCTAGGAAGAGTGTGGCTTTAGCCAAAGATCTTCATTCCTAAATAGTCTATGTTCTTGCCAGATATGGTGGCTCGTGCCTGTAGTCTTAGGCTTTGGGAGGCTGAGGCTGGAAGATTGCTTGAGGCCAGGAGTTTGAGACCAGCCTGGACAACATAGCAAGACCCCACCTCTACAAAAATAAAAATAAAAATTAGGCTGACATGCATGGGGCACATACCTGTAGCCCTAGTAACAAGAGCCAAGGCTGCAGTGAGCTATGACCATGCCACTGTATTCTGGCCTGAATGATAGAGCAAGACCTTATCTCAAAAACAAACAAACAACATATATATTTTAAAATTTTATTTTAAATTTAAATTTTTTGAGACAGGATCTCATTCTCTTGCCCACTCTGGAGTGCACAGTCACAGCTCACTGCAGTCTCAACCTCCTGGGCTCAATCAATCCTCCCATCTGAGCCTCCCAAGCAGCTGGGACCACAGGCATGCACCACCACGCCTGGCTAATTTTTAAAATTTTTGTAGAGATGGGGTCTTGCTATGTTGTGCAAGCTGGTCTTGAACTCCTGGGCTCAAGAAGATCCCCCCACCTCAGCCTCTCAAAAGGCTGGGATTACAGGCGTGAGCCACTGTGCCCAGCCATATATATATTTTTAATGATGAGGTCTCACTATGTTGCCCATGCTGGTCTGAACTCCTGGGCTCAAGCGATCCTCCAACCTCAGCCTCTTGAGTAGCTGGGACTACAGGTACTTGCCCAGCTTATACTCTTTTTTTGTTGTTGGTTTTTTGTTTGTTTGTTTGTTTTTGTATTGAGACAGAGTTTCGCTCTTGTTACCCAGGCTGGAGTGCAATGGAGCAATCACAGCTCACTGCAACCTCCACCTCCCGGGTTCAAGCGATTCTCCTGCTTCAGCCTCCTGAGTAGCTGGGATTACAGGTGCACACCACCACGCACGGCTAATTTTTTGTATTTTTAGTAGAGATGGGGTTTCACCATGTTGGCCAGGCTGGTCTTGGTCTCCTGACCTCAGGTGATCCACCCGCCTTGGCCTCCCAAAGTGCAGGGATTACAGGCATGAGCCACCGTGCCAGCCGCCCAGCTTATATTCTTAAAAATCTAAAAATTATTTCATTGGCTGTTACTTGGGGTTTTCTCCAAGTAATCACTAAGAAGTGGAATCAAAGTCTCCCTCTTACGACTCACTAAAACCTTAGGAGAACAAACCACTTCGTTTCTTCCCATGGCACCCAGGGGCATCCAGTCCTCCTGAGCCCTGTGGGGAGCTGGCTGAGAGGGAAGGGCCAGGCCTGCCACTGCCACTGCTACTCACATGGCAGAAGATCATGGCTTGAGCAATGGTGATGGCCCCGTAGAGGTTACACAAGGCCTGGAACTTCTCGTCTCTGCTGCTGCACAGGACATAGTACTGCTTGATGGTGTCCAGGGTCTCTTCCTCACGCTTCAGTTTGATAACGTTTGGGTCTGGGACCACTTTCTGGGCAAACTTCCACACAGAGTCTTCAAAGGTGGCGGAGAAAAGCAGCATCTGGCAGTTCCTGGGCAGCATCCTGCAAGGGAAGGCCCTGGTAGGTGGCCCCAGGTGGCCCCGGGAAGCGACAGAAGCACAGCCTTCCCAGCTGGGAGGGTCTAGATGCCCAGGAAGGCTGATGGGAGAGGAGCGTCTTGGGGAGGAGGAGCAGCAGGCCTGGGATGGGGACAGGGGTTGGGGGAGAGTCCCTAGGTCTCCTTTCTCAACCCAGGCTGGGAGGGACTGTGGCCAGCGCTGACACGGAAGTGGCCCGTCAAACAAATGCTGCTGAGAGTACGAGAGCCAAGACCCAGGCAGAAGCCAGAGGAGGCATCTGAAGTGAAGGGAGAAGACACTGCAGATGGGGAATCTGAGGAGTCCCCCACCCTCGAGATCCCTACCTCTGGATGCGGATGCTCTGATCTTGGTGGCCCTGAGTGGCTATCATGACATCAGCCTCATCCAGAACAAACACCTTGATTTTCTTGGGATCAATGAACTTGAGCTTGGAGCACCAGTCCAGCACAGTCCCAGGGGTGCCAATGACAATCTGCTCACTGATCTTCTGGCCTCTTTCCACTGTGGAGACCCCAAGATGTTTTCCATGTGTGGGTATTTCTTTCTTTCTTTTTTTTTTTTTTTTTTTTTGAGACAGAGTCTCACTCTGTTGCCCAGGCTGGAGTGCAATGGCATGATCTCGACTCACTGCAACCTCTGCCGCCCAGGTTCAAGCGATTCTCCTGCCTCAGCCTCCCAAGTATCTAGGATTACAGGCACCTGCCACTGCACCTGGCTAATTTTTTTTTTTTTTGTATTTTTAGTAGAGGTGGGTTTCACTCTCTTGGCCAGGCTGGTCTTGAACTCCTGACCTGGTGATCCACCTGCCTCGGCCTCCCAAAGTGCTGGGATTACAGGCATGAGCCACCGTGCCCGGCCTCCATGGGTATTTCAAAGGCAAAGCCAGCTCTTCTCTCTGAGAAATTCTAAACCTATTATATATTTTAATGCAAATGTTTTGCTGTTTGCATTAATATATTAAGGAAAGGTTAGGATATCACTATAGCATTTAATGGACATAAAAACAGACAAAAATGCTGAAAAGGTAATGGGTACAAAAATACAATTAAAATAAGTAAGATCTAGCATTTGATAGCACAATGTGGTGACTACAGTCAACAATATATTGTACATTTAAAAATAACTAAAAGGGCCGGGCACGGTGGCTCATGCCTGTAATCCCAGCATTTTGGAAGGCTGAGGCAGGCGGATCACCTGAGGTCAGGAGTTCGAGACCAGCCTGGCCAACATGGCGAAACCCCATCTCTACTAAAAATACAAAAATTAGCTGGGTGTGGTGGTGGGCTCATGTAATCTCAGCTATTTGGGAGGCTGGGGCAGGAGAATCGCTTGAACCCAGGAGGCGGAGGTTGCAGTGAGCCGAGATCGCGCCACTGCACTCCAGCCCGGAGACAGACTGAGACTCTGTCTCAAAAAAAAAAAAAAAAAAAAAATTCAGAATTCTCTACCCTTCTAATTCGAATACAAATTGCAAAATTTTAAATGATTATCTCCCAATAAGTTTCACTGTATTATTTACTTTTCAGAACTGGCCTCAAGTTGGCATTAGGACACTGTATGCAGACTTGATTTTCATAAGGTCACATTTGTTTCAGAGATCCATAAAACTCAACCAAACCTCTAACACTTTTTTTTTTTTGAGACAGAATCTCATTCTGTCGCCCAGGCTGGAGTACAGTGGTGCAATCTCGGCTCACTGCAACCTCCCCCTCCCGGGTTCAAGCAATTCTCCTGCCTCAGCCTCCTGAGTAGCTGGGATTACAGGTGTGCACCACCATGCCCAGCTAATATTTTTGTATTTTTAGTAGAGACTGGGTTTCATCATGTTGGTCAGGCTGGTCTCGAACTCCTAACCTTACAATGATCCACCCACCTTAGGCTCCCAAAGTGCTGAGATTACAGGTATGAGCCATCATGTCCGGCCAACAACACTTTTAAAATTACTTAAATAATATTAACTGTAAAACAAACTAGTGTAGAAAAAATTAGTAACAAAAAATAATTAACAGAATAAGCCCCAGAGTCAATAGCCATAAACATTCTGGGTTTTTATTCTGCTAATGAAGATAAATAAATTAGGCAATTAAACAAATTCAGTCCTGGCCTAGTGGCTCACACCTGTAATCCCATCACTTTGAGGGGACGAGGCAGGAGGATTGCTTGAGACTTGGAGTTCTAGACCAGCTTGGGCAACATAGCAAGACACTGTCTTTACAAAAAAAAAAAAAATTTGTTTGTTTTTTTTTGTTTGTTTTGTTTTGAGACAGAGTCTTGCTCTATCGCCCAGGCTGGAGTGCAGTGGCACGATCTTGGCTCACTGCAACCTCCACCTCCCGGGTTCAAGTGATTCTCCTGCCTCAGCCTCCTGAGTAGCTGGGACGACAGGCACATGCCACCACACCTGGCTAATTTTTCTATGTTTAGTAGAGATGGGGTTTCACCATGTTGGCCAGGATGGTCTCTATCTCCTGACCTCGTGATCCACCCACCTCGGCCTGCTAAAGTGCTGGGATTACAGGCATGAGCCACCATGTTTGGCCTACAAAAAAAATTTTTAGAAAATTAGCTGGGTGTGGCCAGGCACGGTGGCTCGTGCCTGGAGTCAGAACTCCAGCCTAGGTGACCTAGCGAAACTGTCTCAAAATAAAAAAAAGAAGGCGGCCAGGCGCAGTGGCTCACGCCTGTAATCCCAGCACTTTGGGAGGCCAAGGCGGGAGGATCACGAGGTCAGCAGATAGAGACCATCCTGGCTAACACAGTGAAACCCCGTCTCTACTAAAAATACAAAAAATTAGCTGGGCGTAGTGGTGGGCGCCTGTAGTCCCAGCTACTCAGGAGGCTGAGGCAGGAGAATGGTGTGAACCCCAGAGGCAGAGCTTGCAGTGAGCCAAGACTGTGCCACTGCTCTCCAGCCTGGGCGACAGGGCGAGACTCTCTCTCAAAAAAAAAAGAAAGAAGTCTGGGCACAGTGGCTCACACCTATAATCTCAGCACTTTGGGAGGCCGAGGCAGATGGATAACCTGAGGTCAAGAGTTTGAGACCAGCCTGGCCAACGTGGTGAAACCCCATCTGTACTAAAAATACAAAATTAGCCAGCCATGGTGGCAGGCACCTGTAATCCCAGCTACTTGGGAGTCTGAGGCAGGAGAATCACTTGAACCCGGAGGGCAGAGGTTGCAGTGAGCCAAGATCATGCCACTGTACTCCAGCCTGAGTGACAGAGCAAGACTCTGTTTCTAAAATAAATAAATAAAAATAAACAAATCTAGAATGTAGAATTTTTGTTTGTTTGTTTTTTGTTTGTTTGCTTGTTTTGAGACGGAGTCTCGCTCTGTCGCCCAGGCTCGAGTGCAGTGGCGCTATTTCAGCTCACTGCTAGCTCTGCCTCCCAGGTTCACACCATTCTCCTGCCTCAGCCTCGCAAGTAGCTGGGACTACAGGTGCCCGCCACCACGCCTGGCTAATTTTTTTGTATTTTTATTAGATACGGGGTTTCACCATGATAGCTAGGATGGTCTCAATCTCCTGATCTCGTGATCTGCTGCCCGCCTCGGCCTCCCAAAGGGCTGGGATTACAGGCGTGAGCCACCGCGCCCGGCCAGAATGTAGAATATTTGAAAAGCAACTAGTCTGGTCTGTGCAAAATGTTAAATATAATAGGGAGAGAAAAAGGTAGGGGTACAATTCTAGATTGAAAGAAACAAGTACAACAACCAAACGCAACGTATAAACGCTAACTTGATCTTGGTCGAAAAACCAAACAGCTATAAAGGAAGACTTTGGGAACAGCTGGGGAGGAATAAAAATGGACTGGTATTAGTTATTCTAGGAAATCTGTTAATTTTCCTGGTTGTGATAAAAGGGTATCCATAGGTATGGCAAAGAATGTCCTCATGAGGTGCATGTCTGCAGTTTACTTTCAAATGGTTTGACAAAAATGTATACATTTATGTAAAGCAAATATGGCAAAATGTTAAGTTTTTGAATCTAGCTGGAGAACATACATGTGTTTATTGTATTATTTCAACTATTGGGTGGGTTTTGAAATATTTCAAAATAAAAAGAATTAGGTTGATGATTTAGGACCAAATTCACATACTCACATTTATTGCCTCGAACAGCATAAGCTAGCTTCAGTTCAGGGTAAAATTTGCCCATTTGTTCAATCACTTTTCCTGTTTGGAGGGCGAGCTCATACGTTGGGGAGAGACATAGACACTGGCAGGAAAAGAATGCAGAGTGCAAATTCAAGACAATAGCTCTTTTGCAAAGGGGAATTACCATTAGTACTTAGCCACTCCTCCAGCTGAAGCTGAAGGAAAGAATATGTACATTAAAATGTACACCATTTGATTCTTTAAGCTACAGAGTCATAAGCTAGAATTCTTAGGGGTCAGAACTCTGGCTGGGTAAAGACACTTGAAAACAGATACTGGCCACTGCAATACAAAAACCCACCCATGAGCAAGGATCTAAAGTTCCAATTGGCATTAGCTTTCTTTTCGTTTACTCAGAAAGCTCTCAGAACTTTCTAATGGATGGCAGTTGCTGATGAAACAGGTTTTCCTGCAAGTAAAGGAGCCAAGCCTGTAAGAAGCATCCCAGAACTGGCACACCATGGAAAAAGGAAACAGGATTTTTATTGCCATTGGAAGATATCCCGTATTATTTGTGCTCAATTTAAGGAGTTTCAGTTTGTGTAAAAAGTAATGCATAGCTTGGCTTTTATTTTATTTTTTTGAGACAGAGTTTCGTTCTTTTTGCCCAGGCTGGAGTGCAATGGTGCGATCTCAGCTCACTGCAACCTCCGCCTCCCGGGTTCAAATGATTCTCTTGCCTCAGTTTCCCAAGTAGCTGGGATTACAGGCACATGCCACCAGGCCCAGCTAATTTTTTATTTTTAGTAGAGACAGGGTTTCACCATGTTGGCCAGGCTGGTCTAGAACTCCTGACCTCAGGTGATCCGCCCACCTCGGCCTCCCAAAGTGCTGGGATTACAGGCATGAGCCACTGCACCCAGCCCATAGCTTGTCTTTTAATCCATCAAATGGAAATCCCCTTCTATCTATGCATTAGTAGAAAACCTAAATTCATAAATCCTTACCTGGGGGTATTTGTTTGCAGGTTCTACTTGGCTAAGCATGGCCAGCACGAAGGCAGCTGTTTTACCAGTACCAGACTGAGATTGGGCAATTAAGTTCTGTGGGCTGCGCAAGAAACAAACTAGTTAGGAGCTTAAATCTCAACCTTTTAGTTAACAAAGTTTAAAAAAATGAGTATTAAAAATTCATTTATAGGAGACCTTGGATTATGTAGCAGAGTTACATATGCTAGCTTCACAAGAACAGGGCACTATAGAAATAAGATTTTCTGGTGGGATTTGAAGCACTCCACATCTTCTTCTTTTTTTTTTTTTTTTTTTTTTTTTTGAGATTAGGTCTCACTCTGTTGACCAGGCTGGAGTGCAGTGGCACAATCTTGGCTCACTGCAGCCTCAACCTCCTGGGCTCAAGTGATCCTCTTGCCTCAGCCTCCCAAAGTGCTGGGATTATAGGTGTGAGTCACTGCAGTTGGCCTACTGATTCTTAAAATGTGAGTCAGCTCACATTACTTCTCTGCCCAAAGACCTTCCAATAATTCCTCGTTTCATTCAGAGTACAAGTTGAAACCCTCATAATGGCATACAGGTCCTGCATGATCTGCTCCCCATTACACCTCAGCTCTCATTTCCTACTACTCTCTCTCCCTTACTTCGTTCCACCACAGGGCCCTAGTACTGCTCAGAGAACATGCCAGTCATGCTCTTGTCTTAGGGCTTCTGCCTTGGCTGTGCTCTGCTTGGGACAACTGTCCCCAGATAACATGCTAACTCCCTTCTCTCCTTCAAGTCTTTGCCCAGATATCTACTTCAGGAGATCCTACCTTAACCACTTGATTTAAAAGTGTAATCTACCTTGAAATGCCTAAAAAAAACAAGATGTAGGTTTTGGTAGCAGGGTAGGGGGTAAGAGTGGCAAGAACCAAGTCTTGCCTTGAAGGTGGCAAGAAGCAGCTCAAGAAGCAGGCAAGGCCAGGCGCGGTGGCTCATGCCTGCAATCCCAGAACTTTGGGAGGCCGAGGTGGGTGGATCATTCGAGGTCAGGAATTTGAGACCAGCCTGGCCAACATGGTAAAACCCTGACTCTACTAAAAATACAAAAATTAGCCAGGCATGGTGGTGGGCGCCTGTAGTCCCAGCTCCTTGGGAGGCTGAGGCAGGAGAATCGCTTGAACCCACGAGGCAGAGGTTGCAGTGAGCCGAGATCGCGCCACTGTACTCCAGCCTGGGTGATAGAGCGAGACTCAGTGTCAAAAAAAAAAAAAGAAAAAAGAAAAAAAGCAGGCAAGGTCAGGTGCAGTGGCTCATGCCTGCAATCTCAGCACTTCGGGAGGTTGAGGTGGGTGATTTCTTGAGCCTAGGAGTTTGAGACCAGCCTGGGCAAAATACCGAAACCCTTTCTCTACAAAAGATACAAACATTAGCTGGACATGGTGGTACATACCTGAAGTCCCAGCTACCTGGGAGGCTGACATGTGAGGATCTCTTGAGCCCAGGAGGTGGAGGGTGGAGGTTGCAGGCTGCAGTGAGCTGAGACTGCACCACTGTACTCCAGCCCTGGTGACAGAGCAAGACCCTGTCTCAAAAAAACAAAAAACAAAAAACGGAGCAGCCGCAGCAGGCCAAAGATATGGACGAGGAAAATGAGGTCTTCCGGCAGGGGAAAAAACAAACAAACAAACAGAAGAAACATGAACTAAAAGTGAAACCATGGGGAGGGCCCCCGGCCACAGGTGGAATTTTAAAATCTGGCAAAAGTAAGCTGTTCCTTATGGGGACTTTTTTTTTTTTTTTTTTTTTTTGCAACGGAGTTTCACTGTTGTCACCGAGCTGGAGTGCAAAGGCGCGATCTGAGCTCACTGCAGCCTCTGCCTCCCAGGTTCAAGCAATTCTTCTGCCCCAGCCTCCAGAGTAGCTGGGATTACAGATGCCTGCCACCACGTCTGGCTAATTTTTGTATTTTTAGTAGAGATGGGGTTTCACCATGTTGGCCAGGCTGGTGAACTGCTGACCTCAGGTGATCCACTTGCCTTGGGCCTCCCAAAGTGTTGGGATTACAGTCGTGAGCCACCACGCCCGGCCTTTTTTTTTTTTTTTTTTTTTTTGAGACAAGGTCTCACTTTGTCGCCCAGACTGGAGTGCAGTGGCACAATCTCAGTTCACTGCAACCGCCACTATGCGGATTCCAAGCAATTCCGGAGCCTCAGCCTCCTGAGTAGCTGGGACTGGTATGCACCACCATGCATGGCTATTTTTGTGTTTTTTTTGTAGAGATGGGTTTCGCCATGTTGGCCAGGCTGGTCTTGAACTCCTGACCTCAAGTGATCCGCCCACTTCAGCATTCCAGAGTCCTGGGATTACAGTTGTAAGCCACTGCGCCCAGCCGCCACACCGGTAACTCTTGATTCTATTTCTGTTTAAACATCTAGATTCCCTGTCAAAACATCTGTTGCCCCTTGTAGTTAGAATAAAGTGTTGTATATTTAATTTCTTTTTTAATTTTGCCCTTTAATACAGATGAGGTCTTACTGTGCTGCCCAGGCTGGTCTCAAACTCCTGGGCTCAAGCCATCTGCCTGCCTTGGCCTCCCAAATTGCTGGGATAACAGGCATGAGCCACTATGCCTGGCCAAAATTTATTATTAATTTTTTTTTTTTTTGAGACGGAATCTCACTCTGTCGCCCAGGCTGGAGTCCAATGGCGCGATCTCAGCTCACTGCAACCTCCGTCTCCCAGGTTCAAGCGATTCTTTTGCCTCAGCCTCCCGAGTAGCTGGGATTACAGGCACGTGCCACCATGCCCAGCTAATTTTTTGTATTTTTAGTAGAGATGGGGTTTCACCATGTTGGCCAGCCTGGTCTCGAACTCCTGACCTCAAATGATCTGCCTGCCTCGGCCTCCCAAAGGGCTGGGATTACAGGCGTGAGCCACCACGCCTGGCCAAAATTTATTTTTATTTGAAGTAAAAAATATATGTCATAAAATTTGCCCTTTTACCCACTTTTAAGTGTACTATTCAGTGGCATTAATGTTTGTAATTTATCACCTGTTATATTTTAATAAAAATGAATTAGCTATATTTCAAACTAGAACATAAGCTCCTTGTGGGCAGGAATTTTGGTCTGCGTTGTTGACTAATGTATCCAAGTGCCTAGCATAGTATCTGTTATATAACAGGCACTCAATAAATATTTGTTAATGATGAAAGGTAGTAGATAATTCTAGTAATAATGCTGGTCTCTTCTAATACTGTCAATCTAAAAATGAGCTTCTTGGCTAGGCCCAATGGCTCATGCCTGTAACCCTAGCACTTTGGGAAGGCAAGGTGGGAAGCGTGCTTGAGCGTAGGAGTTCAAGACAAGTCTGGGCAACAAAGTAAGACCCCATCTCCACCAAAAGAAAACCCCAAAACAAAACAAAAAAAAGCCTGAAGGCCGGGCGCAGTGGCTCACGCCTGTGATCCCAGCACTTTGGGAGGCTGAGGCAGGCGGATCACCTGAGGTTGGGAGTTCGAGACCAGCCTGATTAACATGGAGAAACCCCATCTCTACTAAAAATACAAAATTAGCCAGGCATGGTGGCACATGCCTGTAATCCCAGCTACTTGGGAGGTGGAGGCAGGAGAATCGCTTGAACCTGGAAGGCAGAGATTGCGGTGAACCGAGATCGCGCCATTGCACTCCAGCCTGGGCAACAAGAGCGAAACTCCGTCTCAAAAAAAAAAAAAAAAAAAGCCTAGTGTGGTGCCTCATACCTGTAATCCCAACACTTTGGGGGGTTTGAGACCAGCCTGGGCAACATAGCACAACTCTGTCTCTGATAAAAATATAAAAATTAGGCCGGGCACGATGGCTCACGCCTGTAATCTCAGCACTTTGGGAGGCCAAGGCGGCTGGATCACGAGGTCAGGAGTTCAAGACCAGCCTGGCCAACATGGTGAAACCCCATCTCTACTAAAAATACAAAAAAAAAATTAGCTGGGCATGGTGGAGCGTGCCTGTAATCCCAGCTACTCCGGAGGCTGAGGCAGGAGAATTACTTGATCCAGGACCTGGGAGGTGGTGGTTACAGTGAGCCAAGATCACGCCACTGCACTCCAGCCTGGGCTACAGAGCGAGACTCTGTCTCAAAAAAAAAAAAATTGTATAAAAATTAGCCAGGCATGGTGGCTTGCACCTGTGGCCCCCGCTACTTGGGTGGGAGGCCGAGGTGGGAGGATTGCTTACGCCCAGGAGGCAGAGGTTGCAGTGAGCCAAGATGGTGCCAGTGCACCTAGCCTGGATAACAGAGTGAGACCCTGTCTCAAAAAAAAAAAAAAAAAACTGGGGGAGGCCAAGGTGGGAGGATTGCTTGAGGCCACGAGATTAAGACCAGTCTGGGCAACATAGCAAGACCCCATCTCTATTAAATAAAGAAACTTAGCCAGGCATGGCAGCACGTGCCTGTAGTCCTAGCTACCTGGGAGGCTGAGGCAGGAGGATTGCTTATGTCCAGGTGCTCAGGGTGCAGTGAGCTATGACTACACTGCTGTACTCCTGCCTAGGTGACAGAGTGAGACCTTATCTCCCAGAAAAAAAAAAAGTTAGCATCTACAAAAATATTAGATCCACAAATATAA